>NC_000012.12:128905501-129207124 GCF_000001405.40 Homo sapiens | reverse complement strand
TGTGTGTTTTTAACTTTTATTTCAGGTTTGGGGGTACACGTACAGGTTTGTTATATATTAATAGGTCACCTGCGTGTCACAGGGCTTTGATTACAGATAGTTTCATCACCCAGGTAATAAGCACAGTACTCAAGAGGTATTTTTCTCTGATCCTCTCCCCTTCCCACCCTCCAGCCTTCCATAGACCCCAGTGTGTGTTATTCTCCTCCTAGTATCCATGTGTTCTCCTTGTTGATCTCCCACTTGTAAGCAAGAACATGGAGTATTTGGTTTTCTATTCCTGTATTAGTTAGGATAATGGCCTCTAGCTCCATCCATGTCCCTGCAAAGGACATGATCTCATTCTCTTTTATGGCTGCATAGTATTCCATGGTGTATATGTACCACATTTTCTTTATCCAGTCTAGCACTGATGGCCATTTAGGTTAATTTCATGTCTTTGCTATTGTGAATAGTGTAGCAATGAACATTCGCGTGCATGTATCTTTATGGTAGAATGATTTATATTCCTTTGGGTATGTACCCAATAATAGGATTGCTGGATTGAATGGTAGTTCTGTTTTTAGCTCTTTGAGGAATCACCAAACTGCTTTCCATAGTGGCTGAACTAATTTGCATTCCCACCAGCACCGTATCAGCATTCCCTTTTCTCCACAACCTCACCAGCATCTGCTATTTTTTGACTTTCTAATAATAGGCCATCTGACTGGTGTGAGATGGTATCTCATTGTGGTATTGATTTGCATTTCTCAAATGATTAGTGATGTTAAGCATTTTCTCATATGCTTATTGGCCATATATATGTCTTCTTTTGAAAAATGTCTGTTCATGTCCTTTGCTCACTTTTCAGTGGGGTTGGTTTTTGCTTGTAAAATTGTTTATTTTCCTTACAGGTGCGGGATATGAGACCTTTGTCAGATGCTAAGTTTGCAAATATTTTTTTCCATTCTGTATGTAGGTTGTCTGTTTACTCTGTTGAGTTTCCTTTGCTCTGCAGATGCTCTTAACTTTAATTAGATCCTGTTTGTCAATTTTTGTTTTTGTTGCAATTGCTTTTGGCATCTTCCTCATGAAATCTTTGCCAAGTTCTGTGTCCAGAATGGTATTTCTTAGGTTATCTTCCAGGGTTTCTATAGTTTTGAGTTTTACATTTAAGTATTTAATCCATCTTGAGTTAATTTTGTATGTGGTGTAAGGAAGGGGTAGGTCATTCAGGAGTAGGTTGTTTAACTTCCATGTAATTTTATGATTTTGAGTGATTTTCTTTGTATTTATTTCTGTTTTCATTGTGCTGTGGTCTGAGAGTATGGTTGGTATGGTTTCAATTTTTTTTTTTGAATTTGCTAAGGATTGTTTTATGTCTGATTATGTGGTTGATTTTGGAGTATGTTCCACGTGGTGATGAGAAGAATGTATATTCTATTGTTTAGGGGTGGAGAGTTTTGTAGATGTCTATGAGGTTCATTTGGTGAAGTGTTGAGTTCAGGTCCTGAATATCTGTGTTAATTTTCTGCTTCAATGATTTGTCTAATACTGTCAATGGGATGTTGAAGTTTCCCACTATTATTGCATAGGGATCTAAGTCTCTTCCTAGGTCTCTAAGAACTTGCTTTATGAATTTGGATGCCCCTGAATTGGATGCATGTATAGTTAGGATAATTAGGTCTTATTGAATTGAACCATGTACTATATAATGCCCTTCTTTTTTTTATCTTTGTTGGTTTAAAGTCAGTTTTTTTTTTTTTTTTCTGAAATTAGGATTGTAACTCTTGCTTTTTTTCTGTTTTCCATTTCTTTGGTAGATTTTTCTCCATCCCTTTATTTTGAGCCAATGGATGTCACTACATGTGAGATGGGCCTCTTAAAGACAGCATACCATTAAGTCTTGTTTCTTTATCCAGCTTGCTATTCTGTGCCTTTTAATTGAGGCATTTAGCCCATTTACATTTAAAGTTAGTATTGATATGTGCAGATTTGATCCTGTCTTCATGTTGTTAGCCATAGATTTGTTTGTGTTGTTGCTTTATAATGTCACTGTTCTGTGTATGGAAGTGTTTTTTCAAATTGGCTGGCAATGGTCTTTCCTTTCCATATTTAGTGCTCCTTTCAGGACCTCTTGTCAGGCAGGTCTGGTAGTAACAAATTCTCTCAGCACTTGCTTGCCTGAAAAAGGGGCTTATTTCTCCTTCACTTATGAAGCTTAGTTTGGATATGAAATTTTTGGTTGGAAATTTTTTTCTTTATGAATGTTGAATATAGGACCTCAATCTCTTCTGGCATGTAGGGTTTCTGCTGAAAGGTCCACTGTTAGCCTGGTGGGGTTCCCTTTGTAGGTGACCTGCCCCTTCTCTCTAGCTGCCCTTAACATTTTTCCTTTCATTTTGACCTTGGAGAATCTGATGATTGTGTCTTGGGGACGTTCTTCTTGTGTGATATCTCACAGGGGTGCTCTACATTTCCTGAATTTGAATGTTGGCATATCTAGCAAAGTTGGGGAAGTTTTCATGGGTGATATCCTGAAATATGTTTTCCAAGTTGCTTGCTTTCTTCCTGTCTCTTTCAGGGATACCAGTGAGTTGTAGATTTGGTCCCTTTACATAATCCCATAAGCCTTCCTCAGAGGCTTTGTTTGTTCTTCTTCATTTTCTTCCTTTATTTTTGTTTGACTGAATTATTTCAGACAGCCAGCCCTCAAGCTCTGAGATTTCTTCAGCTAGGTCTATTCTGCTTTTAATACTTGCAATTGCATTATTTAATTCTTGTAGTGTGTTTTTAAGCTCTATCACATCAGCTTCCTTCTTTTTTATAATGGCTACTTTGTTCCTTTATCATTTTATTGTGATTCTTAATTTCCTTAGATTGGGTTTGATATTCTCTTGAATCTCTGTGATCTTTGTTTCTATCCATATTCTGAATTCTATTTATATCATTTCAGCCATTTCAACCTTGTTAAGAACCCTTGCTGGGGAACTAGTGCAGTCATTTAGAAGAAAAAAGGCACTCTAGCTTTTTCAGTTGCCAGAGTTTTTGTGTTTGCTCTTTCTCATTTGTGTGGGCTGATATTTCTTCAGTATATGAAGTTGATGTCCTTTGGATGGGTTTTTTGGCTCTTTTCTTCTTTGAGGTTCTAGGGGGTTTGATTATGGCATAAGGTGGGTTCGGTTGACTGGCTTCAATTCTAGTCTGCTCCTGGGTCTCTGAGGAGCCCCCTCTGATTACTGTTTTCATGCCCATATTTCTTTTGTTCAGTATTCTGGTCCATGAGGCCCCCTCAGGCAGGAGCCACAATTGGCAGACAAGCTGTATACTTACCAGGTTGGTCCTAATCTGCTGCCCATATGCTCCCTGGGGAAATATGGGGTTGTGCCCGCCTGTCCTTAGAGCTCAGGCAGAAACAGGACTGCTGTGTTGGAAGCTCTCTGGGTGTGACACGTCTGGCTATGGGAGGCAAGAGAGGGTGGAGTTCCCTGCCCAGACATCCAGATGTTTCCAGAGCAACAGGAGGCTGTGTCCCTTGGCAAATTTAGGCAGAAGTAGGACCATTGAGCTAGAAGCTCTAGCAGGAGTGGCTTGCCTGGCTACCAGTGGCAGGGGTGGGTAACAATGCCTGCCCTGCCCTCCACATGCTTCCTGGGACCACAGGAGGCTGCACCCACTGGCTGAGTTCCCACAGAAGCAGGGCCACTGGACCAGAAGCTCTAGCAAGCATTGCCCTCCTGGCTGTCAGTCAACACTAGTGTTAAAAGAAAAACCTTAAACAAATTAAATTTAACAGAGTTTAATTGAGCAAATAATGATTCACAAATTAGGGAACCCCCAGAATCTGAACAGGTTCAGAGTGACTCTGGAGCTGTCATGTGGTCAGATAACATTTATAGACAGAAAAAGGAAAGTGGACCACAGAAAACAGAGTGAGGTGCAGATGCAGCCGGGTTAGTTACAGTTCAGCATCTGCTGTATTTGAACATGGTTTGCGGTGTTGGCTACCTGTAGTTGGCTGACACTCAGCGATTGATACAAAAGCAGGTACAGTGTGGTTGAACGTGCAGTTAGGTTACTGTTCAGTAGGCATGGAGAAACCTTTGGGCCAAACTTAAGCTACATGTGGCAGCTTTAGGCTAAACTTAACACTAGGCATGTAGCAGGTGGTTAAGAAATGTTTGCTGTCAGCAAACATTTGCTTAAATATGTTTGACAGCAAACATTTCTTGAGCAACTACTAT
Organism: Homo sapiens; assembly: GCF_000001405.40. NCBI lineage: Eukaryota > Metazoa > Chordata > Mammalia > Primates > Hominidae > Homo > Homo sapiens. Next base: position 129,202,901 of record NC_000012.12, on the reverse strand, counting down.
GTGCCTAGTGTAACGTTTAGCCTAAAGCTGCCTCACGTAGTTTAAACACTGAAGGGAAAACATAACTGCATTACTCAAGTTTTCCCTGGAGGTGTAATACCTGAAGGATGAATTTGTACCCAGTATGCCCTGCTGACAGAGGGAATGGCATGAGGAAGGGAAATAGGAGGCGGTTCTTTCTGCAGGTGGCCACATCTCCAGTCTCCAGGAGTGGCCATGTGATTCAGGGTGGCCAATCAGAACATGGCAAATTCTGGACGTGCCATTGGCTCAGGGATAGACACATTATCCAGTCAGAGCCAATGAGATGCAGGCTTCAGACTTGGGCAGGAACTCTTGAGAAAGAAATGTTTTTCCTCTCTTTGTTTCTGAGAATGACTCATGAAACCACCCTTGGAAATATAGAGGGTGCAACGAAAAATGAAAAACCTCACAGCATTTATTTTACATCCACCAATAAGCCTCAAAGCCCGATGCACAACTTAAAAATCAAAACCCACAGCTCATACAGTTGTCATTGTGGTGCTCTGTGAATCACAGATGTTGACAAAGAGTCACCTGGTACGTGTGATGTGTTGGTGTCATTTGGAGGCTGTTAAGAAAGAAAGCCAAGGGATTCTCAGAGATGTGTCACAGCCACCTGTGCAGCCCCTGGAAAGCCTCTGAGCAGAGAAGGTCGGCCTTTAAAGGCCCCAGTCTTTTTATTTTTATTTGCTTTCTCTTCTTTCCTCAGCCAAAAGCCCAACAGGCTGGTGTGGGCTTCCCCAGCCACATCAAAACCTCCTCTCAGGAAATCCACTGAAAACTCATTCCCGTTGAATTGTAAATTGCGTCAAGCCATGCTCTCTTCTGCCTCCCAAGGATGCTCGTTTTGTTTTATTTTTTTTTTCAAGAAGGCAACAGGTCCCCAGTGAAAGCATTTCAGATGTTTGCAATAATATACACTGTGATTCTCAGAGGTTGGAAATAATGGGAAATGCCACCTACATCAACAAGTTAAAAAAAATTGTCACATGATTGAAAAGTCCAGCCTGGCGCTAGCTTAGGGTGTTTTATTTAGAACTCCAAAATATATCACCGGAACATCCCCTCTCTTCCTCTCCCTCCCTCCTTCTCTCTCTTTCTCCCCCTACCCCCAATCTTTCTCTCTTTTTCTTCCTTATAGACACTCTTTCTTCTGTATGAGTTTCATTCTCACAGAGCTGTCCTTGTGGGAGCAAGATGGATGCCTCAGAACTGGTTCACATCCAATAGAAAAGAGTATTTGTCTTCTAGGACATTCCTGTATAAATCCTGAGATATGTTCTTATGGGACCTATTTAGGTCACCTTATCCTTGAGCCCAGCACTGCAGCCCAGGGATCCAAACATACTGGTTGTCCAAGCCCTAAATCATCTCAAAGCACATGAACTCAATGAGGAGTTTGGGGAGTAGGGTCCCCCAGGGCCAACCTGTGTATTGTCACTACAGAGAAGGGCAGTGGACTCTCTGCAGCAAAAGCAACCCATGTCCCCTGCAGCCACTTAGGAGTGGGATAGCCTCGGGGTTGGGGACATTGTAAGAACCCACAGATCAGCTGGTGGGAGAGCCACTCTCTCCTAAAGCCAGCCACACTGCACACACTAGGAGGAAGATTGACGTGGGCTCAAGTATTACTCCTGAAAAATTTGCTGAGGTTTTTGTTTTTGTTGTTGCAACTTACAGACTCAAGTGTTCATTAACAGGTCCTGAATAAACCAGTATCCACCAAATATTTCAGAAATGTCCACTGATAAAAATCAAAGGGGGCTGTAGCCCTACCTGATTACAGCTGCTCTTGGTGAACCTGCTTTATTATACAGCATTTCAACAGCATCAACATCCACCCTTGCTTCTGCACCAGAGACACACACCAGTGGAAATCAGGTGTATAAAGCTTGACACATTCTCCTAAGGTGGATCAAAGTGGAATCTTTCTGTGAGTGCAGCAAACTGCTGTGAGGAGAAGGAGTGTAATTTCGGGGATGGGAGCACAACGCTTAACAAGCTGAGTAAACAACTGGGAGGAAGAGACGAGTGGAAAATCAGAGAAGCTCTTCTGCAGCTATTTTCAGCATCCCTGGTGGAGTGCTTCAGTGTTGGGGCCTGAATGGCCTGGCTCCTCTTCCAGCAGCCTGTTCCTGAGGAGAGGAGAGTGGTGGAGAGCCGGCTCCCAGCAGTTCTCTTTCTGCAATCCAGCTGGGCGCCCGACAACCTGCGCAGCCACAGGGACAGCCCCCAGGAGGCAGTTTCCTAAATAGTCCCTTCTTTTTTTCTCCACCTGCAGATCCTATAACTCCCGATCAGCTTTTTTGTCCCCACCCCAAGAGTTTAGCCAAATGGCTTCAAATATTCAGCTCAGGAATGGAGAAGCTGCAGGGATTGCGCCGCCTCACTGATCCCTGCTGCCGCCTTTGAAGACTTTCCCTGTGTCACCTGCAGGGAAGAGTTCTCAGGGAGCAGACTGGCCACATAACAATAGCATCCCCCATGTATGAGCATGATACCTTTGATGCACTAACACAAGAGATGCACTTTTGATTAGTGAAGGAGTATCTCTGAGGCTCTTTTATTCGGCAGGGGTAATGGATTAGACTGGCCTCCCAATAGACACTTTCTTCAATCCATCATGTGGCAAAAGGTGGTCATTTTGATAGTAATCCTTCAATATTGGAAAGGACTCTGTAGCTACAGAGTGGGAGTGACCACCTGCGGGATACAGGGATTGGCCCTCTTGGTCCCCCCTCCATTAAGTGGAGATCCAAGTGGATTCATGGCAGGGAGAGTTAGGGGAAGATAAAGATGAACTGTACCACATAAACTTTGCATACTCACCTGGCATTATTATTGATTTTTAATCACGGCATTCTATTTGGACAGCAAATAGTGGTGATTCTTTCCTAAAGTTGACTTCCTAACGTTAGGATTTTTGTTATTGCTGGATTAGGAGTTGATATGGTTTGGCTGTGTCCCCACCCAAATCTTATCTTGAATTGTTGCTCCCATAATCCCCATGTGTCATGCGAGGGACCCAGTGGGAGGTAATTGAAACGTGGGGGCGGGTCTTTCCCATGCTGTTCTCATGATAGTGAATAAGTGTCATGAGATCTGATGGTTTTATAAAGGGCAGTTCCCCTGCACAAGCTCTCTTGCTTGCCACCATGTAAGACATGCCTTTGCTCCTCCTACACCTTCTGCTGTGATTGTGAGACCTCCCAGCCATGTGGAACTGTGAGTCCATTAAACCTCTTTTTCATTATAAATTACCCAGTCTCAGGTATTTCTTTAGAGCAGTTTAAAAATGGATAATACAGGAGTAAATATATTAGTTTAGAGAAAACAACATTTCTGGTTCCCATCTGTAGGCTCATCTTGTAAGTTCTTCTTCTGCTATGTCAATCTGTTTCTAAAACCTAATGTGTGATTTTAGAATTGTTAGTGGATTATTTCACTCCTGATGCAGATTAAAAGTAATTAGAGTTAGCTGAGCGTGGTGGTTCACACCTGTAATCCCAACAATTTGGGAGGCCAAGATGGGTGGATCACATGAGCTCAGGAGTTCGAGACCAGCCTGAGCAACATGGCGAAACCCTATCTCTACCAAAAATACAAAAATTAGCTGGGTGCATGCCTGTTATCCTAGCTATTAAGGACACTGATGGAGGAGAATTGCTGGAGCCTGGGAAGTCGAGGCTGCAGTGAGCCATGATGGCACCACTGCATTCCATCCTGGATGACAGAGCGAGACCCTGTTTCAAAAAAAAAAAAAAAAAAAAAAAAAGGTAGATGGACGTGTTATAGCAATGAGAATAGAAATTGTGATGTTTTAATACTTATTGGATGCTTACTTCATAGCAGGTAAGCGTTTGCTTCTTTAATCCTCACAGCAACCCCATGAAATAGATATTTTTATCAGTTATAGTTTAACACATATTTTCTGTTTTAATTTTTATCTTATTATAAATTAACAGTTTATAATTATATATATTTATGGAGCACAAAGTGATGTTAAGATTTATGAAAAAATGTGAAATAATTAAATCAAACTAATTAACATATCCTTCACTTCAGATACTTATTTTTTGTAGTGAGGACAGTTGAAATTTACTCTCTTGACACGTTTTGAAATGTACAATATACTATTGTTAACTATATTGTCCACACTGTGAGATAGATTTTTAAAAAATAACTTATTCTTTCTGGCTAACTGAAGCCTTGTACCAAAGCCTCAACGTCTGTAGTGACCATTTTACTCTGTGCTTTGATGACATCCATTGTTTTAGTTTAAATTCCACAAATGAGAACATGCAGTATTTGTCTTTCTGGGCCTTGTGAATTTCACTTAGCATAATGTTTTCAAATTTCATGCATATTGTCAAAAATGATACAATGTTTTTTTAATGTCTGGCTAGTATTCCATTGTTTATATGTAATGCATTTCCTTTACCCATCCATCTGTTGATGGACACTTAGATTGATTCCATAACTCCGCTATTGTAAGTAGTGCTGCAGTGAACATAGAAGTGAGACATCTCTTTCACATATTAATTTCAGATCTTTGGGGTATATACCCAGAAGTGGGATTGCTAGATTATATGGTAATTCTATTTTAGTTTTTCGAGTAACCTCCGTATGGTTCTCCATAATGACTGTACCACCAACAGTGTACAAAAGTTCCCTTTTCGTTACATCCTTGCCTACACTTGCTATCTTTTTAATAATTCTTAATGATTTTTATAATTTTATAATTTTAACAATTCTTAATAATAGCCATTCTGACAGATGTGAGGTGATATTAAAACCAAGGAATGGTTTTAATCTTCATTCCGTAGTGATTCGTGATGTTGAGCATTTTAAAATGTATCTATTGACTATTTGTAGCTCTTCTTTTGTGAAATGTCTGCTCAGTTCCCTTGCTCATGTTTTAATTGGATTGTTTCCTTACTATTGAGTTGTTTGAATTTCTTATATATTTTAGATGTTAACCCTTATTGGATGTATGGCTTGCAAATATTTTCTCCCATTCCATGGGTTATATCTTCACACTGTTAATCGTTTCCTTTGCTGTGTAGAAATGTTTATGTTTCATTCAATTTCATTTGTCTATTTTGTTTTGTTGCCTGTACTCTCAAGGTCAAGTCCAGGAAATTATTGCCCAGACACAACTCATACAGTGTTTCCCCTGTGTTTTCTTCTAGTAGTTTTGCAGTTTCTGGTTTTGTGTTTAAGTCTTTATTTTGAGTTGATTTTTGGATGTGGTGTGTGATAAAGATCCAGTTTTATTCTTCTGCATGTGGATATCCAGTTTTCCCAGTGCCATTTATCGAAGAGACTGTCCTTTCCCATTTTGTGTTCCTGGAACCTTTGTTGGAAATCAATGGACTTTACAAGCATGGATTCATTTCTAGGCTCTCTGTTCTGCTCCATTGAAAGTGGTATTATTTTTATCCTCATTTTTGGGGTGAGGGAATTGAGACACAGAGAGTTCTGATGCATCATCAGAGATCACATACGTGGTACCCATTTCCAGCCCTTTTCTATCTTGCTCTATCGCTCATCTTCTAGAATAGGGGTCGGCAAACTCTGCCTGCTTGGGGATGAGATTGGGCATGTTTACCTGTTGAGTATTGTCTATGGCTGCTTTTGTGCTACAGTGACAGAGTGGATATATAAAAATTATATAAAATCCAAAGTTCAGTATCCATAAAGAAAGTTTCATTGCCGCACAGCCACACCCACTCATTTACATCTTGTTAGTAGCTGCTTTTATGTGACCAGGGCAGAGTTGAGCTGTTGTGAGAGAAATCATATGGCCTGCAATGCTGAAAATACTTACCATCCAGTCCTCTGTAGAGAAAGTGCCAATCTCTGCTCATGGACTCTACTGGGCCTTTTCTTCACGGGTGGTGACTTACATGATTATTTACTGACACCCTACTTCCCCAGCCAAAAGTAACTCCTCCACAGATGCATGCAATTCTTCCAACAAGACTTCATGCCATTGGATTAGGCATTAATCTCTCCCTACAATCCTTCATTAAAGTTAATGCATTTCTAGGTGAGATTGTATATATCAATTCCTGGAAATTTTTGTCATAATGAATTGTTTAGATCACTTTTCTTTTTGATAGTCAAATCTGGACAAGCAGAGATTATACCTCCTGGAGAAATGGGAACACATCAAAAAATGAGAGAAAATGGGTCAAAGATGGACCAACCTTACCCTATATCTTAGGTTAGTCTAGAACAGCATCAGCAAATAAACCTCACACAAGATACTCCTCCCAGGACCATACCCAGGGCAGACATCACCAGTCAAATACACCACATCATTTTACTGTGCTGAGACATTGGTTGACAATCCCCAATACTGCCAATCATGGGCATCTTAGACCTAGAAAGAAACCACATGACCTCCCCATGCTACCCCACTTACATAGAATTTATATAAAGGATTTTGGAGAACATTTATACCAGGAATCACAAGCCCAGAAGAATACAAGAGGCAGGAGATAATTTAAATGAGTGAAAGCAATAAGGAATCATGAGGATTGCACAGACTGAGGGACACATGCCCTTTCTAGAGATAAAACCACAACTGCATCCTACCTGCCTGTTGCTGCATGAAAAGATTATAACATGCTGCTTAAGCATTTAGCTCCTGAGTCAAATTGCATGGATTTAAATCCTCGCTCTGATATTTACAAACAACAACAACCAGGGCAAGATCCATAAACTCTTTTTTTTTTCTTTTTTTGAGATGGAGTCTCACTCTGTCGCCCAGGTTGGAGTGCAGTGGCGCCATCTCAGCTCACTGTAGCCTCCACTTCCTGGGTTCAAGCCATCCTCCTGCCTCAGCCTCCCAAGTAGCTGAGATTACAGGCGTGTGCCACCACACCCAGCTAATTTTTGTATTTTTGGTAGAGATGGGGTTTCACCACGTTGGCCCAGCTGGTCTCAAATTCCTGACCTCAAGTGACCCGCCCATCTTGGCCTCCCAAAATGCTGGGATTACAGCTGTGAGCCACTGCACCTGGCCCCCGTAAACTCTTTATTCCTCAGTTTTTTTCTGTTGTTGAATGGACACGATCCATTTAACATGACAAATTTTGATTCTAACAGCTTTTTAGTTCTGTGGCCACAAAAAAACACATGTGGTTGCATTGGAAAATTAATCAATTAGAGTCACTTCAATTATGCTTAAATTCCCTTATAAGTAGGAATATGCCTTCAGCTATGTTCTTAATTTCAGGACTGTCTGCACAAAGCCTTCCCTGGTTTAACTATTTAGAACCAGATAAGTGGGTCAGGGTCACAAGGTAATATGAATTTCCTATGAGCTTCTCCTTGTTGCTTTTGATCTTGTCCCCCACCCCAAAATCCACTCCCCACCCGAGAGTCAAAGTGATCCTTTTAAAATATGGGCCACATCACATTATTTCTCCACTCAAAATCCTCCCATGGTTTCTGTCTCCCGCCCAGTGAAAGCTATGTTCCTTACAACTGCCTCTAAGGCCTATTCCATCTCCCCACCCTCCCTCTTAGCCCCTACCATCCTCACCTCATTTCCTGCAACTCTCCTTCTGGCCACACTGGGCTTCTTGATGACTCTTGGAACCTCCCAGGCCTGTGCCTGCCTGGAGACCTCACCCTGCCTTTCTCCCGCCTACTGGATGCACACAGCTCCCCCTCACTGTCTTCAGGTCTCTGCTCAAATCTCCCCAGTTTCAACAGCAGTGCCCCACCTCTGACATTCCCCATCCTTCTTCCCTGCCCTATGTTTTTTCATAGAACTTATCACCAAAGCCTTCCTATATTTTTTGCTTGTTATCTGTTCATTGTCCACCTCTACAAGGGTGAGGACTGGTTGGTTTTGATCATTACTTATTCCCCGGTGCCTGGAAAAATGCCTGCTGCCCACTGGGCTATCAATATTTGTTGAAAGAAAGATCTTATCTAAGAAGTCACAGTGGATGAGGACAGAGAGGGCCATCTCTCTTGGTTGTCACATAGAGGATTCTGGTTATCATGGGGAGGAGGAAGACTCCTCTCTTCAGTAGAAAAAAACATAGAAACAACTCTGAACATTTTCTTCATTTGGATAAGGAGACACCTGTATACTCACTGCACGGTGAATTTTTCCTGAACCTTCACATAAAAAAGTGAAAATATACCCTGGTTGTTGGATGAGACTCCCTCCAGGCCCAAATAAAAATAAGCAGAAGTTTCAAGAGCTGAATTAATGGATAATGTTTATTTTTATTTTTATTGAACTTTTAGGTTTGGGGGTACACGTGAAGGTTTGTTACGTAGGTAAACTCGTGTCATGAAGATTTGTTGTACAGATTATTTCATCAGCCAGGAATTAAGTCAAGTGCCAAATAGTGATCTTTTCTGTTCCTCTCCCTGCTCCCACCCTCCACCCTCACGTAGACCCCCAGGTCTGTTGTTTCCTTCTTTGTGTTCATAAGTTCTTATAGTTTAGCTCCCACTTATAAGTGAGAACATGCATTATTTGGATTTCTGTTGTTGGGTAATGTTTAGGATTGTATTCAGATGGCTCTGTCAGTCCAGTTCAGAAAAGAGTAAACCTATGGTGAGAATAGCTGCAGGGTTAGTGTTCTGGATGTAAAGATAAGAAAACAGGGGTGAGGTTAGGAAGAGAGGGGCCCAGCCCTAATTGCTTCTCCATATTTTCTGTTTTCTACATGGAGAGGAAAAAAATGGGACAGCAAATTGAAATTCTTTATCAGCTTAAATGAAAACAAGGAGCCATGGACCAAGGGTTCCTTTAACAGGTACTGGGTAGGTAATGAAAGCAAACCATGAGGATTGCAAATGATTGCTTCCTAACCCCTGAAGGTCAAAATGCCAAAAGTCAGGCTTTAGAGTCCAAACAAGAGACATGGTCAGAAGAGCTTCAGTTTAAGAGACGTTCAAGAAAAATCTTCACTATAGGCAAATTTTACCTTTCTGTAGACTTTAACTCTTAGGTAAAATGTGACTTCATCACACTTAGCACACATTGTAGTCCTCAGTTATCCATGAGTGGGCACATCTGATAGCGTTGGAGGAATTCAAGACTGGGGAACATGTCTTACTCATTTCTATATTCCTGGACTTACCAGAAGGCCTGGTATGTAGCAGTTGCTTAATAAATAATGATTTGTTGAATGAATGGACAACAAACCCATCTTTGTATTAAAAATTGATGAACATCCAATGAGATATAAAGTATTATATCCTTCATTTCCCTTTTATGGTATTTCCAGTTAAATTGACTTTTTAACACACATACTTTGTGTTTAATAGGTTATTTTAGTAAAATTCGATTTTGGATGTGTTATTTGCAAAATGCTCTAAAGCATGATGGGCAAGATACTATGGGTCAAGGGATTTGTAATGGTGCCACCTGGTGGCAGCAGCCCAAATTGCAGGCATAGCACCTTCTGGGTTTCTAACCTGCCTGTAAGGGTTAACGTGCTGATTTGCCTCCATTTCTGCGATGGAGAATTATTTACTTTCAGTTCTGTGACCACAAAAAAAAAACATTGCTATGTGAAGAAGGAAAACATATTGGCAACAGCTGCATTAAAGCATGAGTTATATGCCATATGTCACCTTAAAACCTCTAACTAAACATGCAGGCAATTAAACACTGTATCACATACAGAGTGCATGTAATTGGCATAAAGCTGTTGTATCTTTTTTTTTTTTTTTTTTTTTGAGACAGAATCTCACTCTGTCACCCAGGCTGGAGTGCAGTGGCACGATCTCGGCTCACTGCAAGCTCCGCCTCCCGGGTTCACGCCATTCTCCTGCCTCAGCCTCCCTAGTAGCTGGGACTACAGGCACCTGCCACCGCGCTCGGCTAATTTTTTGTATTTTTAGTAGAAATGGGGTTTCACTGTGGTCTCGATCTCCTGACCTCGTGATCCGCCCGCCTCGGCCTCCCAAAGTGTTGGGATTACAGGCGTGAGCCACCGCGCCTGGCCTGTTATATAATTTTTGAAGCCCAACATTAGAATGGTAGTGTTGTATATAGTGATTTAGGATTTGAACCTCCTTTGGTGCTAAAACGAGGCGCCCAGCTACCACCAGGCACATCACAGTTAAAATGTATCTGAGTGTGCAACACACCCGCTGTAATTCAAACCCCCCATTTGTGCCACAAAATCTCACCAGTGGAGGCAGTGATAGATAATTAGTACCCAGCCAGCCCTGTCCTCTGATACAAGAGAATAAAGATTAATAAGAAGAGACACCAATGGCAAAAATATGTGAACAACCCTAAATTTGAGATTATATTTATCCAAAAGGGGTATTTTTCATGATTAGTCTTTCAGGGCCTTAAAGTTTCTCTTATAAGAATTTGCCACAGAATCTTGATTTCAATGTTAGAGTCAGTTACAGAAGCTTCTGCCATCTTTCCCCTCATGGGAAGGTCTTTGATCCAAGAAGAGAGGAAAAACAAGTATCACATAATGAGTGTGTGTGATCAAGATGAAAACCAAGCTCAAAGTTCTTCTAAGTAAAACTAGTGATGATACACTTCTTACTTTGGAGGTCATGGCTACAGTCAAGGAAGACAATCGGTGGATTCCAAATTCCAAATGAGAACTTCTATTTGGATTCTGATATTCTTGAGCAACATTTATCATGACAAGTCACCCAGGATGGAGGCCCCAGGGGTCTCTTCCAGACCTCCCCAGTGAGTGCAGACGCAGGTCAAGGTAGTAGGAACCATTCGAGGTCCAGCCAAGAGTAAGACTCAGGCCCTGGTGAAGACCAGAAGTGAACACTGTGCCTCCACTAGATGTGAATTTGTTTTCTACAGGGCCAGGTTCAGACTTTAGAGACCCAGGGTTCAGAAGATATGATGGAAGCTTTCGTACAGAATTCAAAATTAAAATGTTTGTAACTGATTTGAATGAAGAGTCTTTGGCATAAACATAAATAATTTAACAAGTGTTTATTGAGTTTCTGATACATGCAAGCCACTGATCAGAGTGCTGGAGATTAAGCAGTAACAAAAAAGTCCCTGCCCCTCATGAGTTTCCAACTGGAGGACAAAAACAGGAGATATTTCGTGTGTGTGTGTGTATGTGTGTGTGTGTGTTCTGTGTGTGTGTATGGTTCATTATATCCTGTGATACAGTTTCATATATATAGCTTCCTCTTTAGAGAAGAAAAATAGGAGATATAGAGATATATGTATAATCTCCTACTGAGATATATATAAATATACATATATATCTCCTATATCTTATATAATTAGTATCATATATGTAGTTTCCTTTACAGAGGAGAAAACTAGGATACACACATACATCCACATATATCTCATCTCCTATATAACCTATATATAGCTATATTTATGTATATTTTATTTTCATATATATCCTTTATAATAGTTTCATATATATAGTTTCCTCCATAGAAAGGAAAATGGGAGATATTTTCATATAGATCTCTCTATTCTGTATTCTATATGTGTAATTTCTTATACATAACCTATTTTAAATATACATGTATACATCCCATATCCTATGTAGAAGTGTGTGTGTGTGTGTGTGTGTGTGTGTGTGTGTCCTATTTCCCTTCTCTGTGTCTTTTCGGCAAGATATGTGTATGTATGCACACATATATGTATAGCATATGTTATAAACATATGTACCTCACTGAAAAGGTGGCTTTGAGTAGATTCCACATAGGCTAACTGAGCAAGTCATGTGATGGTCAGAAAGGAAGAAGAGTTCAGGCACTGTGGCAGGAAGTAAGGCCCACGTCCCTTGGAGAGGAAATAGCCAGGTCTGAGGAGTCAGAGATCAGCACCACTGGCAGTGACCCGGAGGGGGCGTCTGGAGCCGGGTCTGGAAGGAGGGGAAACAGCTTGCTGGAGACCACAGGCCACACCTGAGACTACACCTTTTGTGCGGAGGCAGCACCCGGAGCCTGTCCTGAGGTCTGAGGGGGTCTCACCGGCAGGACAGCAAGAGCTCTGGGCTGCTCCACTGAGAACAGAGAGCTAGGATATGGGCTCAGAATCTGTATTAGTTTCCCACCACTGCTGTAAAGGACTACAAATTTAGTGGCTTAAAACAACACAAATGTGTTATCTTACAGTTCTGTAGGTTAGAAACAAACCTGAGTTGCGCTGGGCTAAAATCAAGGTCTCAGCAGGGCTGCCTTGTTTTCTGGATGTTCTAGGGGAATATCTCTCCTTGACTTTCCAGCTGCCAGAGGCCCCCACATGTGCAGGCCCTAGACCCCTCCCTCCATCTACAGGCCCCAGACCCCCTCCCTCCATCTGCAGGCCCCCAAGACCCCTCCCTCCATCTGCAGGCCGAGACCCCTCCCTCCATCTGCAGGCCTGAGACCCCTCCCTCCATCTGCAGGCCTGAGACTCCCTCCCTCCATCTGCAGGCCTGAGACTCCCTCCCTCCATCTGCAGGCCGAGACCCCTCCCTCCATCTGCAGGCCTGAGACTCCCTCCCTCCATCTGCAGGCCTGAGACTCCCTCCCTCCATCTGCAGGCCCCCAAGACCCCTCCCTCCATCTGCAGGCCGAGACCCCTCCCTCCATCTGCAGGCCTGAGACCCCTCCCTCCATCTGCAGGCCTGAGACTCCCTCCCTCCATCTGCAGGCCTGAGACTCCCTCCCTCCATCTGCAGGCCTGAGACTCCCTCCCTCCATCTGCAGGCCTGAGACTCCCTCCCTCCATCTGCAGGCCTGAGACCCCCTCCCTCCATCTGCAGGCCCCCAAGACCCCTCCCTCCATCTGCAAGCCTGAGACTCCCTTCCTCCATCTGCAGGCCGTCCCAAGACCCTTCCCTGCATCTTCAGCGCCAGCCGTGTTGCATCTCTGACTTTTTTCCTCTAGTCTCACCTCCCTCTGATTCTCATTTTCTGCCTCCCTCTTCCACTTTTAAGGGCTCTTTGATTACACTGCCCCACCTGAATAATCAGGATAGCTTCCCCATCTCAACATCAGCTGTTAGCGACTCCAATTCCATCAGCAACCTCACTTTCCCCTGTCATGTAACCTAACTCATTCACAGTCTGCAGGGATGAGGACACTGACGTCTTTGCCAAGCTTGACTCTGCCTGCCACAGACTCCCTTAATAATATCCCAGCAGACCAGACTTGCTTCTCTTGAAATTTAAATGGTGTTGTGCCACCTGAACCCTTCCTTGTGGACTAACTTCTTCAGTTTTGAGGTGACAAAATGGGAGAGGGAAATGTGAAGTGCATTCTCCTGTGATTTCCCGTGGGGACTCCCAGCCTTCCTCCGGATGGACCTCACGCACCCTGGGTCAGATGCACGGTGGGCTATGGGCAGCTCTCCAGGCCACAGCAGCCCTCACAGCCAGCCACACTGGCAGTGACCCCGGAGGGTAGCCCTCTTTCCTCACCATGTGCAGTCTTCACCCCCCACAAAGTTGTCTAATCTCTTGGCCCTGATTCTGAGGCCTGAGCCAGGTCCATCTTCCTTACTTCCCAGGGATTGGAAACTTGAAAGAGAGCTTTCCCATCAGCCTGTCATTTTGCCCTCTCCATTATCTCCAGGCAGCATCTGGTACTATAATGGCCTGGGATCCCAAACTTTCAGACTGGAATTGGTCCCCTGTCCCTGAGGCTGAAGGGTGGTGGTTTAGCTACCTCCAAAGGCTATGAGCAAATCTTTAGGGCTTCCCTCCAACGGCTTCATGGAAAATCACCTCTCAGGGACTTCCTCCTCTCTCATGGGGACCTGAAGGCCAGACGCACTTCCCCTTCTGGATTCCTCCCTTTCCCTGTAAAATAGCCTCTCTTATCCTGCAATCCCTACTTTTTTGTTGACCTTGTTGACCAGTAAAGGGTGAGTAGCATCAATTCTGTTGTAACCAAATGGCACTGTAGGTCCTCCAGGAAAGTGGGTGGTCTCAGCCACTCAAGCACTCAGAAGTCAGAACGGTGCATGCCAGGAACCTTACACTCTCTGCTACAGCCTTAATCAACTCAAGGTACATGGGAGCTCAGTTAGTACCTAACAACACTTTCATTTCTGATTAAGCTCATAAAAGCTGAGATCTCTCTCTTTCTCTCTCTCTCTCTCTCTCTCTCTCTCTCTCTCTCTCCCTCTCTCCCTCCCCCTCTCCCTCCTTCCCTCTCTCTCTCATTTATCTCTATTATCTATCTATCTATCTATCAATCATCTAGTTTCATCTTTTGCCCTTCAAATATCCATCCTCTGCTTCCAGACACACCTGTGCCTGACAGCTAGTATGTGTCTCCACAAGCCCACTGGGGACCAAAACTGTCCCTAGTTGGAAACCACAGGGCTAGCAAGATATGCATGGGTCAGAGCACATGAAGCCAGCATGCCATATTGCCCATGTGTATCTGGTATCTGTCACAATAATGCTACATAACAAAACTCACAACCTCTGATGGCTTGAAAGAGTGAGCATTTATTTCATCAAGAAGCCTGCGGGTCAGCTGGGCTATGCTTGAATCTGCAGTCAGCTGGAGTATTGGCCAATCCAGGAAGTCCTCATGCATACGTTGGTGGCTTTGGCAGGCTAGGTGTCGAGAGGTGACTGGGCCCCCTGAGCTGCACCCTCCAGGAGGCCAGCTGGGACCTGCTAACAAGGCAACAGCAGAGTCTTGGAGAAAGAACAGCTTCCATAGGCTTGTGGGGCCTTGTCTCAGGGCTGACACAAGTCTGTTGGCCAAAATTTGTCTCCATGTCCACGTTCAAGGGATAGAAAACAGTCTTCAACTCTTGTTGGAAGAAGCTGCAGAGTTCTGTTGCAAAGAGGATGGGTGGGTTGTGGGAGAGAGATTAAAACTGCAGCCATTGTTGCTGTCAGTCTACCGCGTCATGTTAAGACAACATATATTTGGTACATCCAACTATGATTTCACGAATATTCTTCTTTTAGACCAGACTAAATTGTAAAAGTAGTTGGTGTAAAGAAACATATTAGTAAGTAATAATACAGGATAGGGTGACAGTGAGGGTTACACACAAGTGGCCAGAAAATACTTCTTTACTATACGACTTCGTAAGAGTGGAGAAACTGTTTCCGTCAGCAGTAAGTGCAGGTAAATCTCTTTGTGGAAATGTGTGATTGCTTCGTTTTGTCCTATTTGGAAGGATGACTCCACAGGAAAAGGAACAAGGGAAGTTCCAGTGCCACAGAATGACTTACCATTTCTTAGAAGGAGGTGAGAAATAGGATGTCCTGCTGACTGTGACTATGCAGCAGTACAAAGAAGACACATTCCCATTGCACAGCTGGGTCCATTACAATTTGAAAACATTAAATGACTGGCTTAGTAATTGTGATACAGGATGATAAACTGTGGTAGTTTTTAAGTAACTCTTAAGTAATAATATTTCAGACTTTCATTCTGGTTCTCCCCTGCTCTTCCACTACCACATCCCTGACACCCTCAGCCAAGTCCTCCCAGACTCACCTTATCTCCAAGTTCTTGGCTGTTATTCTGAGTTAATGTTCTCCCATCCCTCCTCCTCCCCCTGTATTTGTTAGGGAGAGGCTTGCTTCTGTAACAAATAAATCCTCCCAATTTTGTGTGTGGCCTAACACAATTGGAGTTGATTTACCTCTTATATAACAGTCCAATATCAGTATTTTTTGTCTTCCTCCACCTGGTGACTCAGGGATCCAAGCTCTTTCCATCTTATGGCTCCTCCATCCCCCTAGGACTCCTCTATTGCCCTCTGGTGGAAAACCACACACAGTGTTTGATGCTCCTGCAAAGGAGGCTGGGAAACCCAGGCTAGCCGTGTGCCTGGGAAGAAGTAGAACACAGATACTCTTGGGTGGAGGGGATTGAGATCAAAGAAGTAGGAGAGCCCAGAGCAGCTAATTATTTATATTAAATTGACAATAGGTGTTCAATATGCATTATGTTAGAAATTTATGATTTACCTCATATTTTTATAATATGCAAAAATAGTGTGTCTAAAATGTATTACTTAGGTTTTTTAAATTTCATAATTGAAATGTTAGCATTAGACAAAATCAGTTCTGAAAAAATGGAATTGTCACTTTCACAATGACGTTGTAGTTGCTATTATCATTTAGCAAAGAATGATTACAATGCTAAATCTCCTGCGGAGTGATTGTTCTGATCCTGGCACTGTTGGATAACACTTACATGTATTAGCTCATTTCATCTTCATAACATCCCTATGGGGTAGGTTCTGTGTTACAGATGAGGAAACTGAGGCACAAAGAAGTGAAGTCGTATGCCCAAGCTTGAACCCAGGCAGTCTGGCTCCAGGATTCACAGGGTTGCCCGTCACAAATAAGCAGAGCGCTTGATGACCCAGGAGGCAAAGGAAGGAAAAGCCAGGAAAGGGGCCCAGTGAAAACTGGAGAATGGTATAGAGGGTCAAGTGGGGAGGTGCAAGAAAGTAAAGCCTGGGCCCCCTCTTCTACATAGAGGACATCTGGACCCCTCTCAGTGGAACTCAAGGAAACCAGGGGGCCTGGGAGGGATGACAGTCAGAGTCCTTGCATCAGCAGAGGCATAGAAGGAGGCAAAGCTGAGGGGTCTCTGCAGGGGCTGCCAAGGGAGCTGCCAACCTGGATAAGTTACACAGGACTCCAGATGAGCAGGATGTGAGCTGGAGATGCACCAAGGTGGCCTTTTGCTCACCTGAATTTTACACGTGCAGAGGCTTCTGCACTGTCAATAGATGAGATGATAGCATCCCCATGGGGGCCTTGGGTGGACTCCCCGCAGCGGAACAGTCAGAGGCTCCTAATGGAAGGGTCTGGCAGAATCCAAACATCTCTGTGGTCTGTGGTCAGCAGGGGTCAAGGAGCTCAGAGCCACATTCTGACTCTCTGGTGCAACCCTCCAGCAGATCTGAGAAAGTATGGTTTTTGGCAACTCAAACTAGAGGTTTTCCAGGGTGTTGTCAGAGCAAAAGAACTTTATTAAAACAAGAACATTTCCAGGGCTCTGGATTGTATCAGAAGTTCTATATGCACTCCATTTCAAAGCAAAGTGGCTTAACCTCACTAGTAAGGAGAAAAACAGATAGATAGATGATAGATAGATAGATAGATAGATAGATAGATAGATAGACAGACAGACAGATGATGGATAAAAGACAGGCAGATAGATAGATAGACAGATAGATAGAGACAGACAGACAGATAGATAAGATATGGACATAAAACTTTAACATTTCCTAAAGAAAAATAACCAACTTTGAGAAGCCAATTTTGAATATTGGTCATACTAAATTATCTATTGTTCTGTAGGTCAGATGAAAATAAAATAATATAATAAAAATAATAAAATTAAAATAAAATAATAAAATAAAAGTGATGAAAAATAAAAGAACAAATCATCTTCTGTTGATGACTTTGTAAACAACTGACTTTCTAAACAACTGGGAAAAATATTCACTTTATGCGTGGACACATTAGTCGGGAATTTAACATGCATTCACTTGTTTTCACCCATTTTTATTTGTTTTATTTTGTTTTGTTTTCAAAAGTTCTTTTGAATTGAAAATAGGATTCTTTTTTTCTGTAACTGCTACATTTTTATTCTTGGTGATGACAGATCACAGAAATCTCATTTCTTTGAAAGCTTAGAGATGTGTTTTGGAATGCCAGGGTCCTCACGCCCTGGATGGTCTGTTCATCTCTGCTGTAGTTCTGTGAGGTCATACAGATGGTCTCCAGGATCTTCTCTCCTGGAGGGAGAACTGGGAATTCTAACCTTTCAGTTCAGCAGCAAGTTTAATTCAGAGAATATTCTGGAATTTTAGAAAATAAATAAGTTCAGCGCAGGTTCAGCTCGGCTCACGATAATTGATTTTAGACTTGAGATTTAGTGAAATAATTTCCACCTAGGTCCACTGTGGTTTGTTTAGCAAATTAGTTCCTTCTCTTCTCATGTGAGACTCAGCTCTGGGGCAGCTGGGGTCATGATTCTTGAGCCCAGAGCCTGAAGCAGAAACACACACTCCCACCCCCACCCTCACCCCAAACACTCGTCCTTTCTTTCCCCTGGAACCCAGAATATCACATTTCTGATGAAACAGCCAAAGGTGATTGTCTAAGAAAGAGAAAGTGTGTCCCATGTGATCAGAGCTCAGCACCTCAACTAGATTAATGGTCTCCATGCAACCGGGAAGAGACAGGAACACCGAACAAAGAAAACAGCCGCAGGCGCCAGAGCGCAAGTTGTATCTTCTGAGAGTGGATTGTGCCTGAAGTGCAGTGAACTTCGTGTTGTAATAGCCACGGAGAGACTAAATCCAGTGTGGGCTACTCACCCCAGCCCAAAATCCACCACCCCAGCCCTTCTGGGCTAGTCCCATAGAGTATGGGAATCCCATGAAATGTGCCCTGGAGCGACAGGGTGCTGAGATCAGCCAGACGGCCCAGAAATCAACCCCATCCCGTAGGCAGGTGCTTTTCTGTTTTGTTTGTAAACAGCCCGCACAAAGGACAGCCTGTGGATGAGAACAGCTCTGCGAAACTCCAGCCTCTATTTAAATGCACACACAGGCAGGCCCTCTTGGAAGGTGACCGATTTCTGTGTTGATGTTGGTAATTTATCAGCGGTAAAGAATTCTGACAGTGAGAGCATGAGTAAGAAGAGACTCCCCATGCCCCTCCGCCTGCATGGCTGCTGCGGGTGGCCTGCAGAGACCTGGCCTAGATCAGATGTTGTCTTAACGGAAACTGCAGACTTGGTGGTGACAGGGGTGAGACGGTGACATGAGTGGGTGACATAGTGGGTCTTCAGAGGGCGTTCCTAAGGAACACACTGTCCTCCCAGCCTAGCTTTTTTTTTCTCACTGTGGTAAAAACATGGCCACAGAAAGATTTGCCCCTTCTGAAAGGAAGCCACAGCATTACTGCAATGACAAGAAACAATGGACAGGCACCTTTGTTTCGGAGACAACAGTGAGTGGTTGGGTCTCTGTTGAACTGACAGCATGGGGACAGCCACCACCCAGCTCCAAAGAATCGTCCATGCCCCTATCCAAGGGGACAGCCACCACCCAGCTCCAAAGAATCATCCGTGCCCCTACCCAAGGGGACAGCCACTACCCAGCTCCAAAGAATCATCCGTGTCCCTACCCAAGGGGACAGCCACCACCCAGCTCCAAAGAATCGTCCCTTTGACAAGACACTGGCCCAGTTCTACTAGACCTAGGGACTCTTCAAGAGAAAACAGAAATGCAGACTTTCAGGCAAAACCTCTCATCTTTTAGGTAGCCGCAACAAATGCATGTTAAAAAACAAAACAAGTCCCGTGTGGCTGAAAGACCGTTGGCATCAACCTCAGGCCCAAAACACTAGCAAGGCTCCTTCTAGAAATCCTGTTGTCTAGGAGCTCAGGTGGCGTGAAGAAGGAAATACGCCTGGGCTGCAGGAAAGGGTGAGTTGAGCTCCTACCCACAAGACAGAGTTGAAAACCAAGGCTAGAAATGGCTTTCGGCCACAGAGAGCTTTGACCATAGGCAGAAGATAATGACGGATGAGCAGGCTCTTGTTTTAGGAGCAACCTCTCGACAGCGGCCACTCTCACCTGTAATAGGCCCCTGTGACATGAAGGACTCTTTGGCTCAGCCACGTGTTGACTGGTATGGTAGACTGTTACTTTGGCTGTTCCAGACTAACCAGGCCTGCTGGTGGTTGTGCCATTCCGGAGTCTCCTTTATATTGACCCTGGTCTTGGCCATGTGGCCTGGCCCGCTTTGGTCAGAGGGATATGAACACACGTAATGCAACCAGAGGTTTGGTAAGTGCTTGCACACTGGGGCTTGTTCTTGGAGCAGTCATTCTTGGAAGCCAGCAGCCACGTGAAGAAGCCTCATTTAGCCCCAAAGAGAGAGAGAGAGAAGCCTCAGCCCTCAGCCATCCCTGCCACACCTGTTGTAACCTAACCACCACCCCATGAGCAGCTCCAGCAAAGGCCAGCAGAAGAACCTCCCTAAGGAGCCTCAGTCAACTCACGTGATCCTGAGAAATCATACAGTGGTGGTTGTTTTAGCCGCTAAGCTTTAGGGTGATTTGTTTCTCCACAGCAGATAAACAACTGGAAGATCCAATTCCCTTGTGTTAGTTAATTTTATGTGTCAACTTGACTGGGCCACAGTGCCCAGACATTTGGTCAAACATCATCCCAAGTATTTCTGGGAAGATGTGTACTTAGATGAGATTAACATTTAAATCCATAGACTCAGAAAAGCAGATTAGCCTCCATCAGATGGGTGGGACTTGTCCAGTTAGTCCAGGGCCTTCACAGAAAACACAACCAACTCTTCTCCAGGAAGAGGCGACTTTGCCAGCACGCTCCCTTCCACATGGCACTGCAGCGTCCACTCTTCCTGAGTCTGTCTCCTACCAGCCTTCCCTGCAGAGTGTGGACCTGCACAAGTGCAAATGGTTTGAGACTTGCCTATGTTCTGGTTGCAGGGTGAAGCAGTGAGATGACTAACTGTCCATGGCTCCACTTTCTTTCATTTTGAGATGGAGTCTTGCTTTGTTACCTAGGCTGGAATGCAGTGGCACAATCTAGGCTCACTGCAACCACTGCCTCCCAGGGTCAAGCCATTCTCCTGCCTCAGTCTCCCAAGTAGCTGGGATTATAGGTGTGCACCACTGCACCCGGCTAATTTTTTTGTATTTTTAGTAGAGATGGAGTTTCACCATGTTGGTCAGGCTGGTCTCGAACTCCTGACCCCAGGTGATCCACTCACCTCTGCCTCCCAAAGTGCTTGGTTTACAGGCATGAGACACCGCGCCTGGCCAGCTCCTCTTTCTATCCATAATGGTTGCAGATGAACCCCTCATCCCTTCACTCTTGCCTGTAGCCACCTTGATTCTATGTTTGATATTGTCAGATACTTTGCTAGGTGCTAGAGACACTGAGATGAATTAGACACACTGGTGGTGGTGAGAAAACAGAGAAGTTTGTCTCTACTGAAAGAAAAGCAGCTTTTCAAATCAGTGCAATAAAGTTTTACCAGGAGATGAAAGAAAATGGACAAATAAAGGATGGAATTGTCACTTCTACATAGAGGAAGAGGAAGATCAAGAAAAATATCACAGAGATGATGACTTGGAAATGGAATCTTCTAAGAATAAATAGGGTCTCTTCCAACAAAGGCATCCTAAGCAGAGGAAACAGCTTTCACAAGGACAGATAGGGAAAAAAGAGCCTGGACTCTGTGCCTGTCAGGTTTGTCTCGAGCTGGGGTGGGGCCTCAAAAGGAGATGAGGTGGGAGAGGTGGGAAGGATCGATGCAGGAGCACTGTGGAAGGATCCATATAGGAGCACTGTGTACATCAAGCCAAGGTTGGGATTTTATCCTAGGAGGACTGGGGGAGCCACTGAATGTCCTTAAGCAGTGGAATGACATGTTCAGAGTTTCATTTCAGAAAAGTCTCTCTGCTGTTGGAGGATGAATCCTAGCAGGGTGAAACCAGAGGCAGGGAGATCAATTTGGATGTGATTGCAATTGTCTGGGCAAGAGTTGATAAAGTAGAGATGGAGAGAAGGAGGTGTGTTTTAGAGGCCTGGGGAAAATAGAATCTATCTTTGATGACTGATGGGATGTTGGAAGAAATGGAGGAGGAGGAATTTCAGATTGTTTTCAGAAGCCTGGCTCAGGAGACAGGATGGAGAACAGTAGCTGCCATTTAGCCAAAGAAGGAGCAAATCTGGAGAGAAAAATTGGACTTAGTTGGGTTTGAATTGAGTATGAGGTGCCAGTTGCATTTCCTGGATCTGTCCACATCCCCCATCTTCACAGCGACTCCTGAGTCCAGCCACCACCTTCATATCCCCGATAATGGCAGCATCCTCATAACTGGTTTCCATATCTCCTCTCCTGGCCCCATAACCTCCATCGAATCATGCTCTACCCCTGTTGAAATTCTCTAAATCTTCTCATCCCACCAAGAAAACATTCTAGACTCCTCTCTGTAGCCCGGAAGGCTCAGTATCATCTGGCCCCTATGGCTCTCCCCGGCCCTGACTCGTACCACGTTCCCCTTGCTTACCATGCCCCAGCCACACTGGCCATCAGAGGCCAACTCCTGATGAAGAGAAGACAAGGGAAGTGAGTTAGGGAACTAGCCCTGTCTTTCTCCTGTCTGGAAGGTTCTTCCTGCAGATCTGGAAACGGCCTCCTTCGTGTCATTTGGGTCCAAATGTCACCTTCTCAAAAAGGCCTTTCCTGACTGCCTGCTTCTTTAACTCTCCTCCTTACTCAACCCCATAATCTCCTTCACAAATCTTAGCACTGCCTGAAATGTTTCCCATAAGGTCTGTGAAAGCAAGGACTGTGTCTGTCTCGTATTCATCATATTCTTGATGGCTAGAACCCTGCAGGGTATACAGTGGGTGCTCAGTAGGTAACATTGAACAAAACACACATGAATGGATGACTGAGTATGTGAGCAAATGAATAAATGCATACACAGGAACCCATGTACGTGAGTGAGGCAGGGACTCATCACAGAACCATAGACTGCATATGGAAAGCTGGGCGTTGCAATCCTGTAAATTGGCTGTGGACACCATGTGAGTGGATTGATTCCCCAGGAAAATCATGCAGAGTGAGAACAAATATGAAGTGCAGACTGCTTCCTCCTCCTCCTCCTCCTCCTCCTCCCCACTATCTGTGCTGCTTACGAATGCACTGGATACCCGTTGAATTGTGCTTACTGGGTTAATGGTCCATAGAGAGTGGTCAAAGTCCCAGCATGTGGCAGGTGTCCAGCAGGCCAGATTCTGCCATTTATGACAGCAGCTCTGACCTCCATGGTGTCACTTTTTTTTTTTTTATTTTCTTTTTGAGATGGAGTCTTGCTCTGTGGCCCAGGCTGGAGTGCTGTGATGCGAGCTTGGCTCCCAGGAACCTCCGCCTCCCAGGTTCAAGCCATTCTCCTGCCTCAGCCTCCCGAGTAGCTGGGATTACAGGCTCCAGCCACCACGCCTGGCTAATTTTTGTATTTTTAGTAGAGACGGAGTTTCGCCATGTTGGCCAGGCTGATCTCGAACTCCCAGCCTCATGTGATCCACCCATCTCAGCCTCCCAAAGTGCTGGGATTATAGGTGTGAGCCACCGGGCCCGGCCGGTGTCACTTTTTTGAAGCTGGTGACAACATAAAAGCTGTCAGACCATCATCCAACCGAAGTTCACATTTCATTAAATAAATAAATAACCAAGTTTCTCTGTGAGCACTGAAAAGTAGAAAAGTCCGTGAATTTTGTGGTTCGTTGTGAGTTCATTTTCCATAGGGAAGCAATTTTACTACCCTTGAACTGCCTACCAGCCTTAGTGGAATAAAAGTTAAAGTAGCAGCAGCAATATCGCCCTGCAGCTCTGGATATGAAACAACTGGAGAGAATTACTCCATCACCCTTGTCTCCCACAGAAGAGACACCAGGGATCCCCTGTCTCTTGGCTCCCAAACTGGGGAGGCTCTGGAATCTCCTTACAGCTGTCGCTTTGCACCTTGACCTTCTTAGAAAAAAAACAAAAAACAAAAAACAAAAAAAAAGGCTACCTCTGGAGGGACCACCCTTCCCCACATCTGCAAAGTTGGGTCTCAAGCTTATTTCATTGTTGGAGCAATACAATAGATAATCACTCCTCCTGCTAACCCCTTGCCCATCCCATTTCTTCTGCAAATGGCTTTTTCCATCCTCCTTTGAGATCACACTTTGAACATCCCGTTTCTGTACGCTGATGGGCAGTTCTACTCTGAACTCTGGGCTCACTCATCTGTTTGTCTACGGTCCCCAAGCAGCATGTCCTCTTTCACACAGCTGGCATTTGGCCCCATTTGGTGTGGGTGTGATTTGTGGCTGTATGATTTATGATCAAGAAGCCTAGCTTGGGCCATTCACACAGTGGTCCCAGAGTCCCGGGTGTGGCGAGAGCAAAAGCCCCGCTGCACAAGTGCTTTGTAACCCCTTGCTTGTATTACATCTGCTGGTGTTCCTTTGACCCACAGCAGCCACCTGGCCAAACCCAGGTTCAAGGAGTGCAGACATAGACTTCACCTCCTGATGGAGAATCAGTAAAGCTCCTGGTTGCAAAAGCATGTATACATAGGCATGGAGGAATTTGGGGCCATTTTTGCAATTGACCACATCATATTACTACAATTGGTAAAAGCAGTTTAAGTGATTTTCAGCAGTAATTTCTACTGCCCCCATCTTTTACCCTCTTGAAGTGTTTGCCCAAATATCACCCTAAGAAGGCCTATGTTTCTTGTTTTTCCTTAAAATCACATGTGCTTTTATGTTATTTTATTTAATTTATTAATTTTGTAAGAGTCAGAGATCTCCATTAGAGAAATGGAAATCAAAACCACAATGAGATACCATCTCATATCAGTCAGAATGGCTATTACTAAAAAGTCACAAAAAAAAAAAAAAAACAGATGCTGGTGAGATTGTGGAGAAAAAGGAACACTTTTATATTGTTGGTGGGAGTGTAAATTAGTTCAACCATAGTGGAAGACAGTGCGGTGATTCCTCAAAGACCTAGAGGCAGAAATACCATTTGACCCAGCAATCCCATTACTGAGTATATACCCAGAGGAATATAAATCATTCCCTTATAAAGATACATGCACATGTATGTTCACCACAGCACTATTCACAATAGCAAAGACATGGAATCAACCCAAATGTCCAACAGTGATAGACTGGGTAAAGAAAATGTGGTACATACACACCTTGGAATACTATGCAGCCATAAAAAGGAACAAGATCATATCCTTTGCAGGGACATGGATGAAGCTGGAAGCCATTATCCTCAGTGAACTAATGCAGGACAGAAAACCAAACACCACATGTCCTCGCTTATGAGTGGGAGCTGAATGATGAGAGCCCATGGACACAGGGAGGGGAACAACACACACTGGGGCCTACCAGAGGGTGCAGAGGGAGGAGGCAGAGCATCAGGAAGAATAGCTAATGGACACTGGGCTTAATAGCTAGGTGATGGGATGATCTGAGCAGCAAACCACTATGGTACACATTTACCGATGTAACAAACCTGCACATCCTGCACATGTACCCAGAACTTAAAATTTAAAAAAATTAAGAGTCAGGGAACTTACTTATTCTATTGCCCAGGCTGGAGTGCAGTGGTGCGATCATAGCTCACTGCAGTCTCCAACTCCTGGGTGCAAGCAATCCTCCCGCCTCAGCCTCCCAAGTAGCTGGAACTATAGGTACACACCACCATGCCTGGCTAACTTTTTCATTTTTTGTAGAGATGGGGTCTCACTATGTTGTCCAGGCTGGTCTTGAACTCCCAGGTTCAAGTGATCCTGCCACCTTGGCCTCCCAAAGTTTTGAGAATATAGGTGTGAGCAATCATCCCCGGCCACATATACTTTTAAACATCCAAACACTGGCAACCACCTCATCCTAATCTACTTTTCCCTATCATTATCACTTTCTGACATACTGTGTAATTTGCTGATTTATTTCAGTGATTGTTTATTGTCTCCCTGCCCTCTGTAGAATATATGCTTCATTGGAGCTGGGTTTTTGTTTGTTTTATTGACGACATAGCCCATAGGGGGATGTATCTCATTAGGCATTCATTAGGCCCCAATAAATATTGGTGATTTTTTAAAATAGATGAACGCACTGACTTCAAAATCTAAGTCATAAGCAAGAATGAGATACTCTTACTTGTAATTCCACTTATAAATATTTTCATTTTTTTCTTTTGTCTAGTTAATTCCCCATTTTCTAAAATTTATGTGGTTGTGCTAGCCTGTTACTTTTCAGCACTGTGAGTGCCTCCATCCATAAGGAATTTTCAAGCCATGCACCAAACCAAAGAGAAGGTTCTCAGCCTGAAGCGCGGTCAAGACGGCTGGGGGCAGTCCTGGCTGTGTTTGCATTTCCCTTCCAATATGCTCAACAGGATCTTTCCCAAATCGCAGCATTTGTTCTCAGACTAAATACACCTCCGTGCCTGGCACTTTACTTCTTAACAGCTGTCACTGGGCAATGCCCATGGCACATGCCAGGGACAGAGTTCTATTTCTTAGGAGTTAATCACTCAACTTGGTCCTCCCACCTGTGATAAGTGATGCCCAGCCTGCTCTCGTTGGCTGCCCTTCAGCGAAGTTAATTACCAACAGGAAGACATTTCATGTCCTCTCAGAGGCCCTGGCAAAAGTCTTGAAGTGGATTTTAATTCACTGTAATTATTCTCTGCAGTGTTGTGTGGTAGCGAGAGCCATCAAAGCAATTTGGGGAGGATTCTGCAAATCCCAGGAGGCAAGGAGTCCCCTCCCTAGATCAGAGAAGGAAAGACCATCTTCTTGCTATTCGCCTTCCTCTGTGGCCTTGGCCAAGCAGAGGGAAAATTTCCTGAAGTTCCAGGAGCTAGAATTACGGGTCCCAACAACAGCCTATGGCAACCCAATGGTGGCTACATCCCTCTGTTCTTCAGTGAAATAATTACACCTGCTCTTCTAAACAGTATGGTGGAGTCACACTGTATGTAAATTTGTTGTGGGAATCCAATTGCTTACATAAGCTTGGGGGGTGGGATATACAGGGAGATAAATAATAATCCCAACAGTGAGGGAGATTTTGCCACCACTCATACACTGAGCAGATACCTGGTGGCAAAGGCAAGAATGGAGTTGAAATCTGCTCTCCTCCTGACAGTCTCCCTTCTCAGATAACTCTGGAGGTATGAACATCTCTCTGCATGTGCATTTGAAGATGTCTAGTTCCACGCAACGTGGTCCTTGAACATAAGCCCCCTCAGTGGCTCCCAAGTTCAACCAAAGGAAACTATGACCAGTGTGTTCACTGGAAGGGAGCACACATATGTTGGAATTACTCCAGACTCCACTTGATGTTTTGCAAGGGTGAGGAGTAAGAAGTATGCAAGGGTAATGTGGACTCTGCCAGACATTTTACTTCACGTCTTAAACCCTATAAGAGTTTCAACTCTACTAAACCTAGAAGGATTTTGGACATAAAAAAATAAATTTTGCAAACTAAGGACACTAACTCTGAGAAGTTAGATGGACAAAGTACCATTGCATTTGCATCAGTAATAAATTATGTAAGCTACACAGGCTAAGTAGGTACAACAGCAAGATGGCTTTGCCTATTTATTTAGAGATGGAGTTTCACTGTTTTTGCCCAGGCTGGAGTGAAATGGTGTGATCTTGGCTCGCTGCAACTTCCACCTCCCAGGTTCAAGTGATTCTCTTGCGTCAGCCTCCCAAGTAGCTTGGATTACAGGCATGTGCCACCATGCCTGGTTATTTTTGTTTGTGTGTTTTTAGTAGAGATGGGGCCTTTTCATAATGATTTCATTTATAAGAACTTTACATGATTTGGAATAATTTTCTCTTACAACCTTTTCACTTAAAATATTTGTAATACAAATAAGGAAACTGAGATACATACTGTAAGTGACATACGCAATACCAGATTGGCAATAAGTGGTGGTATCAAACCCTGGCCCTTGGTGTGGAATCCTGGGCTCCCTTTACTGCAATGTACCACATCACTCTTGAAAAGCGGGGCATCCATATACAGAAAACTGAAACTGGATCCCTTCCTTACACCTTATACAAAAATTAACTTGAGATGGATTAAAGACAAATGTAAAACCCAAAACCATAAAAACCCTAGAAGAAAACCTAGGCAATACCATTCAGGACATAGGCATGGACAAAGACTTCATGACAAAAATGTGAAAAGCAATTGCAACAAAAGCCAGAATTAACAAATGGGGTCTAATTAAACTAAAGAACTTCTGCACAGCAAAAGAAACTATCATAAGAGTGAACAGGCAACCTACAGAATGGGAGAAAATGTTTGCAATCTACCCATCTGACAAAGGTCTAGTATCCAGAATTTACAAGGAACTTAAACAAATTTAGAAGAAAAAAACAACCCCCTCAAAAAATGGGCAAAGGACATGAACAGACACTTCTCAAAAGAAGACATGTATGCAGCCGACAGACCTATGAAAAAAGGCTCAACATCACTGATCATTAGAGAAATGCAATTCAAAACCACAATGGATACCATCTCATGCCAGTCAGAATGGTGATTATTACAAAGTCAAGAAACAATAGATGCTGGTGAGGCTGTGGAGAAATAAGAACACTTTTACGCTGTTGGTGGGAGTGTAAATTAGTTCAACCATTGTGGAAGACAATATGGCAATTCCTCAAGGATCTAGAAGCAGAGATGCCATTTGACCCAGCAATCTCATTACTGGGTATATACCCAAGTGAATATAAATCATTTTACTATAAAGACACATGCACATGTATGTTAATTGCAGCACTATTTACAATAGCAAAGTCATGGAACCAACCCAGATGTCCATCAATGATAGACTGGATAAAGAAAATTTGGTACATATACACCATGGAATAATACACAACCATAAAAATACATGAGATCATGTCCTTTGCAGGGACATAGATGAAGCTGGAAACCATCATCCTCAGCAAAGTAACACAGGAACAGAAAACCAAACACTGCATGTTCTCACTCATAAGTGCGAGTTGAACAATGAGAACGCATGGACACAGGGAGGGGAACAAAACACCCCAGGGCCTGTTGAGGGGTGGGGGGCAAGGGGAGTGAACTTAGAGGACGGGTTAATAAGTGCAGCAGACCACCATGGCACACATATACCTATGTAACAAACCTGCATGTTCTGCACATGTATCCTGCAACTTAAGGTAAAATAAAATAAAGAAAAGCGGGGCATCGTTATTTCAGATGCCCTAATTATTATGTTGGCTGAGTATTTATGTAACCAGGCTACGTTTGTTCTGGTCCAATTTTTATTAAAATAAATTCGTATTTCCCTCTTTTCTTGAACCACAACTTAAAATTACTCCAAAATTTGAGCAATTTGGAGATATTCGTGTCTCTCTTCGGAACATCTGAAAACCCTGAAAAAGGATTACAGATTTTCATCACCTCCTCAGCACATGCGGATTGTTAAAAATGCTGGCAACTGGGGGATGGGTGGGCTAGAAGTTGAGACTCCATCCTAAGGACTCAATCAATGCATTAGTCATTATGGATATTCACAAAAATAAAGTTATCACATGCATTACCTCTCAGTTCATAAATGCTAAGTGACAGCCTATGACTTAGCTACAAAAATGGTATTATCGAGATAAAAAGAATCTGAGAGGAAATTGAGAATGCAGGAAGGAGAAGGTGCTAGAATTGAACACTGGCGTAAACATAAATCACAAAAGAAGATTGGTTTAATGCAATATGAGAGTCAGAAGCTGAAGGTGTTATAAAGATCATCCACTCATCAGATGAAGAATCCCTCAGGCTGAAAATCTTTGGTGAGAAAAAGCATGACTTTGGACAAAAAGAGCCAGCTAGACAGAGGCTGTTTAAGCCTATATGAGAAATAACCTATCATTAGGGAATATCCTATTTTATAAATTTTAGGTACAAGGTAAGAAATATTTCTGGGAGTACAACGTATCATATCTTTCATCTCAAAGTAGTTTTGCTGAAAACAGCCCATTTTGAAGACTTTTCTTATATCCAAGGCTTATTAATCTTATATAGGCTTACCTAGCTTTACTCTGCTTCCAAGATATTGCATTTGTTATAAATTGAAGGTTCACGGCAACTCTGTGTTAGGCAAGTCTGTCAGCACCATTTTTCGAACAGCTTGTGCCCACTTCATGTCTCTGTGTCACATTTGGTCAACTCTCACAATATATCAAGCTTTTTCTTTTTTATTATACCTGTTATGGTGATCTGCAATCAGTGATCTTTGCTGTTACTATTATAATTGCTTTAGGGCCCCACAAATCCCACCCATAGAAGATGGCAAACTTAATAAATGTTGTGTGTCTTCTGACTGCTCCACCAACCCACCATTCCCCCATCATTTTCCCTCTCCTCGGGCCTGCCTATTCCCTGAGACACAATATTGAAATGAGGCCAGGCCGGGTGCAGTGGCTCACACTGTAATCCCAGCACTTTGGGAGGCCGAGGTGGGTGGATCGCCTGAGGCCGGGAGTTTGAGACCAGCCTGACCAACATAGAGAAACCCTGTCTCTACTAAAAATACAAAATTAGCTGGGTGTGGTGGTGCATGCCTGTAATCCCAGCTACTCAGGAGGCTGAGGCAGGAGAATCACTTGAACCCGGGAGGCAGAGGTTGCAGTGAGCCAAGATCTCACCATTGCACTCCAGCCTGGGCAACAAGAGTGAAACTCTATCTCAAAAAAGAAAAAGAAATGAGGCCAATTAATACAGTGGCCTCTAAGTGTTCAAATGAAAGGAAGAGTCTGTCACTTTAAATCAAAAGCTAGAAATGGTTAAGCTGAGTGAGGAAGGCAGATGGAAAGCCAAGATAGGCCAAAAGCTAGGCCTCTCGCCTCAGTTAGCCAAGTTGTGAATGCAAAGGAAAACTTCTTCAAGGAAATTAAAAATGCTACTTCAGTGAACACACAAATGATAAGAAAGTGAAATAGCCTTTTGCTGATATGAAAAAGTTTTGGTGGTCTAGATAGAAGATCAGACCAGCTGCAACATTCCCTTGAGCCAAAGCCTAATCCAGAGCAAGGCTATGTAGGCTGAGAGGAGCGAGGAAGCTGCAGAAGAAAAGCTGGAAGCTAGCAGACATTGGTTCATGAGGTTTAGGGAAAGAAGCCATCTTCACAATATAAAAGTGCAAGGTGAAGCAGCAAGTACTGATGGAGAAGCTGCAGCAAGTTCTCCAGAAGATCTAGCTAATATCATTGGGGAAGGAGGCTACACTAAGCAAGAACAACCTTCCAGGGAAAGAAGATGTCATCTAGTGCTTTCATAGCTGGAGAGAAGAAGTCAGTGCCTGGCTTCAGAGCTCCAAAGGACAGGCTGACTGTCTTGTCAGGGAGTAATGCACCTAGTAACTTTATTGAAGCCAGTGCTCATTTAGCATTCCCCAAATCCTAGGGCCCTTAAGAGTTATGCTAAATCTACTCTGCCTGTGCTCTGTAAATGGAACCACAAAGCCTGTATCGCAGCGTATCTGTTTGTAGCATGGTTTACTAAATATTTTAAGCCTACCTGTTGAGATCTACTTCTCAGAAGAAAAGATTTCTTTCAAAATATTCCTGCTTAATGACAATGCACCTCATCGCCCAAGAGTGCTGATGGAGATGTGCGAGATGAATCTTGTTTTCACACCTGCCAACACAACATCCACTCTGCAGCCTACAAAGCAAAAAGTAATTCTGACTTCCAAGTGTTACTACTTAAGAAATACATTTTGTAAAGCTATAGCTGCCAGAGACTGTGATTCCTCTGATGGGCCTGAGCAAAGTAAATTGCAAACCTTCTGGAAAGGATTCCCTATTCGCCATTAAGCACATGTGTGATTCATGGGAGGACCTCAGAATATCAACATGAACAAGGCTTTGGAAGAACTTAGTTGTTTCCAGCCCCACTAGATGACTTTGAGGGGTTTAAGATTTCAGTGCAGGAAGTCAGTGCAGGTGTGGGGGAAACAGCAAGAGAACTAGAAGTAGAAGTAGAGCCTGAAGATGGGGCTGAATGGCCACAATCTCATGACAAACCTTGAACAGAAGAAGAGTTGCTTTTTATGGATGAGCAAAGAAAGTGGTTTCTTGAGATGGAATCTACTCCTGGGGAAGATACTGTGAACGTCGTTGAAATGACAACAAAGGTCTTAGGATATTAGATAAGTTTAGTTCATTAAGTAGCAGCAGGATTTGAGAGGAATGATTCCAATTTTGAAAGAAGTTCTGCTGTGGGTAAAATGCTATCAAACAGCATCGCATGCTACAGAGAAGTCATTCATGAAAGGAAGAGTCGATCAATGCAGCAAACCTCATTGTTGTCTTATTTTCAGTCCTTGCCACAGCCGCCCCAAACTTCAGCATCCACCAGCCTGATCAGCCAGCAGCCATCAACCTCAAGGCAAGACCCTCCACCAGCAAAAAGATTATGACTTGTTAATGGCTTAGATTATCATTAGCATTTTTATCAATAACACTTTTTTTTTTTACTTGGAGTCTCGCTGGGTCGCTCAGGCTGGAGGGCAGTGGTGCAATCTCGGCTCCCAGGTTCAAGCAATTCTCCTGCCTCAGCCTCCCTAGTAGCTGGGACTACAGGTGTGCGCCACAACACTCAGCTTATTTTTGTATTTTTAGTAGAGACTGGGTTTTACTATGTTGGCCAGGCTAGTCTCAAACTCCTGACCTCAAGTGATCTGCCTGCCTCGGCCCACAAAAGTGCTGGATTACAGGTGTGAGCCATCATGCCTGGCCCTCAATAAGATATTTTTAAATTAAGGCATGAGTGTTATTTTCTAGACATAATGCAATTTCATGCTTAGTAGACTACAGTATAGTGTTAACATAACTTTTACATGCACTGGGAAACCAAAAAATTCCTGTAACTCTCTTTATTGAGATATAAGCTTTCTTGCAGTGGAGCCAAATCCACAATATCTCCAAGGTGTGCCTGTATCAACAAATATTTTCAGGGCTTATTTGCTTGCTCTCTGCACTGCAATTCATACCCCAACTCTGTTGGTGAATTACTTTCTGCTCCAAGGACCTTTGCTGCCAGCCTGAGATCTCATCATCTTTTATTTATTCACAGTTTGCATATGGTAAGAGCATGTGGGAACAGCTCCTCCTCTTTGCCTCACCCCTGACCTGGAAGGAGCAGCTCTAGATGAGAAAGGGAGTTGGAGACTTTACGATTATTCACAAAGAAGTCAGACTGCCTGGACCCAATTAAGCCCTGGCCGTGGTCCAGTGTGGCATCTGAAAAGTGTAGACATGATCAGAACCACAGCAAGCGTGAGGATTGCAGGTGCTAAATAGATCTTGTTGAAATAGAACATTTGTGTATTTGATGTAATGTGTTAGAAAATATAAGTAACATATCAAAACTGGGATTGCAAATATTTTGCTTAGAAGAAGCTTAAGGGTGTTTTTGTAAAAGAATAAAAGGTAGAATAGTGGAAGTGGTGTTTAGACACATGGCATTTTGAAAAAATAAAAATAAATGTGAAGATGTTATACACAGATGCTCAAAGCATGAGATGGCCCCTGCAGTACAATTCATTCATTCATTTAAGTGCTTCTTGAATCCCCTCTTATTGATGAAGTTCTGCTCAGCCCCTCGTCTTGATGATGGAAATATAGAGATAAACAAAAAAATCGATGAAGTAGCTTGTCCCATTGTATTTGCATGCTAAGAGGGGAATGTGTCATTTAAGATGCAATCAGATAGAAGATAACAGAACAACCAAGTAAAAGTGGTTAATAATAGGAGTTATCATCCATTCTGCATGACATCAAGCTCAGAGATTGCCAGTCCTAGATACAGCTATGTAGCAGTGCCATGCAGGGGGAGCCAGGCTGGCTTCCCAGGAATTCCTTTGACTCAGTCCTCACTGTCACATGATGGCTGCCATAGCTCCAGCCACAACATCCTCACACCATTCATGTCTCACAGTTGTGTTTTCTGCCTGGCCACAGCAGATAATTGTGTTTGAGACTCCCAGTCCACAGACAAGTAAAGGATGAGTGAATGCTCCAATGGTTCTTCTCAGAGCAGGACCCCCAGACCAGCTGCATCAGCATCACCTGATAACTTAATAGAAATGCAAGTTCTTAGGCCCCACCACAGACCTACAAAATCACAAACTCTAGGGCTGGGGGCTGGAGATCTGCATTTTAACAAGCTCTTTGGATGGTTTGGTTGTGGGTTGAAGTTTAAAGACGGCTTTACGAAAATGCTATTTGGGTAAAAAGCAGCCTGATTTCAGCAAAGGTATATTTGAAAGGTAGATTCTTAGAGTGATACAAAGTAGATATCAAGAGCTAGGGCTCTAGTCCCTCTATCGGCCGCTAGCTAACTGTGGGATTTCAGGAAGTCAGTCAGCCTTCCAGGGTTTTGTTTCTTTAAATGGTGATGGGAGTTGGGTAGAGTTTGAGAAGAGAGTTAGTTAGGTCAGCGGTTCTCAACCAAGGGTGATTCCCCACCCAGGGGACATTTGGCAATATCTGGATACCTTTTGGGTTCCCATCAAAATAAGATGAGATACCACCAGCATCTGGAAGGTAGAGGACAGAGATGACACTACACAGCCTATGACTCATAGGACAGCCCCACGAAACATAGAATTATCCAACCTTAAATGTCTGTAGAGCCCAGGTGGAACCCCCCTGGGGGAGGTGAACTTGAGGGTCCATCACAGCTCTGGGAACCACAATACAGGTGGACCTTGAGGACGTCATATTAGGTGAAGGAAGCTGGACGTGAAAGGCATGTCTTATATAACTCCATGTATATGACATGTCTAGAATAGGAAAATCCATAGAGCGGAAAGTAAATTAGGGGTCCACAGGGGCTGGCAGGAGCAGGAATGAAAGTGACTCATAATGGGTATGGGGATTCTTTTGGGTGTGGCAAAAATTACATAGTGGTCATGGTTTCATGACTCTGAGAATATACTAAAAATCACTTAATTTTATACTTTTAAAGGATAATTTGTGTGGTATGTGAATTATATATCAATAAAGCTCTTGTTGGTAAAAAAAAAATCCCAAAAGAGGAGATGGATTGAGGAGCCCAAATAGCAGACTCCTTAGTGGAAACCATAGTTAAAACTCTTAGAGAAAGCTGCAATTTTTCCAGGGACAATACCTTCACTGTTTTCAAAAGGGAACACATTTTCCAAGAATCATCATGACTGTTCCTTCTATTAACTCTGAACTTGTCATTTTATCTCAGTGAATATGGCTATAATTTTTACCTTTTGCAAAAAGCTCCATTGTTTTGGAAACCACTCAGAGGAAGCCCAGAAGAGAAAGACTTCTTTTTGACAGCTTTCTTCCTCTAAAAGCTTCCCTCCAACCATTCATAAACATTTCTCGATGGTGACAGTGAACCAGTCCTTATGCTCAGTGCAGCCCTCCTTTAGGATTCCGAATAAAGTGTGGTTCTTTTCACTTCCTGGAGCTCCCATATCTTAGAAACACTGAATCTGGGGCTTGGTGGGGTGGTTGTGGGGGCCTCCCAATTGGGCAAACTGCCATTTGAATTCACTGTTAAATTATTTTAATATTAAATAGATGTACATACTCTAGATCTAAGCTGTATCTAGTATTGTGCCAATTCCACAGTGTCAGAAGGTATGTGTTAAGGAATAGTCTTCAGTGAGGGAAATGATAAATCAAGAAGCACCAAGAGAAGACAAAGGTCCCCTGATCTTTCTTCATCCTATGGAGACCCCATGCCAGGACCAGTGGCTCCTGTACTCCTGCAGAGGCCCCTGACTCCTGTCACTCCTGCAGCTTTTTCCCAGGCAGGTGTAAAAGCAACCTTGTCACTTGGTAGACAAATAGACTGCCCAGGCACCAACAGTCTGGTTTTAGGTGCCAGCTACTTAAATGAGTTGCGTGGGGAAGCCAACAGCCACATAGCTGGAGACTTCTAGCAAATCGACGTTTCTGCCCTTCCTGCTATGGAAAGTGGGCCCCTGGTTCCTGGGAGATGCTAATTGCAGTGGTCCCACCTGCTGCGAGATGGTGAGGCCTCCTCGTCTCAGCATTCTGTGCTTCAGGAAACTTCTAGGTTCCTGAGCTCTGTTTGCTACCCATGTTGGCACTGGTTTTTTTTTTGTTTTTTTTTTTTAAACAGAGTCTCACTCTATCACCCAGGCTGGAGTGTAGTGACATGATCTCAGCTCACTGCAACCTCGGCCTCCTGGTTTCAAGTGATTCTCCCACCTCAGCCTCCAAAGTATCTGGGCCCACAGGCATGCACCAACATGCCTAATTTTTGTATTTTCAGTAGAGACAGGGTTTTGCCATGTTGGCCAGGTTGGTCTCGAACTCGTGACCTCAAGTGATCTGCCCTCCTCGGCCTCCCAAAGTGCTGGGATTACAAGTGTGAGCCACTGCGCCCAGCAACTGGTGTGGTTTCTAAGATGCTGAGCTAGCCCAGGAAAATGTACTTGTGTCTTCCGAGTTGACAACTGAAATATATATATATATATATATATATATATATATATGTATATATATATATGTGTGTGTGTATGTATATGTGTATATATATATATGTGTGTGTGTGTATATGTGTGTGTGTGTGTGTGTGTGTGTATGTGTATATATATGTCCTTGCGTAGTCCCAGGATGGCCTGGCGGTTTATGTAATGAGCTTCTTACTGGAGGTTGCATAGTCTGCTTCAATACACATTTGGTTTGACTTCGTTTCTGTGTTTTAGTAATCACATAGCAGTGGCTAACATACAGTGTCTTAATATTAAATTAGTTGACAACATTTAAATACTTACACATTTCAGGATAGAATCTAAATTTGGCCTTTACTTGAGATACTAAAAAGCCTGCCACATCCGCCCACATTCATGCATGTCAAACAGTAGCCGGAGATGAAACATACGTGGCCCTTTAGATGGAGCTCCGCCCGCATTCATGCCTGTCAAACAGTAGCCGGAGACGAAACATATGTGGCCCTTTAGACGGAGCAGGGGTTCTCCAGCTTCCCACAGTCCCCCATCCCCATTGTAGCCGCAACACTCAGTCGAATGAGAGTTAGCAGGTCCCATCGGGTGCATCCATTTACATAGAGCCCACGTTACTTATTTTTACCTGCCTAAGCCCTGTGGGCATTTGAGTTTGTGGTGCCTGCTGTGAAAATTAGAAAGACCAGTTGTCAAGTCCCAGCTCCCATAATGGTTTGCTCTGTAACTGGGCAACTTATGTAACCTCGCTGAACCTGACTTTCATCACCCACAAAACAGCGATAATAATAGCTGCTGTTTCCAATGGTGGTTGTGAGAACTAAAATAAGATGCATATAATGCATATAAACAGGATAACCCAGGGCTCAGCCCATAGTCAGCGTCACGTGAATAGCCACTATTATTCTTATCGAGAGCATCATGCCCGGGGTCATGCCAGCATCCTTTTTGTGATTTATTTTTTTCTATACTTACACAAAGGAAAACAACCTAGAAAAAGTCTAGCCAGAAGGAGTCAAGGAGTCAAGGCTCTGTGGGATGACACACTTCATATCATGTTTTAACTTTTTGTCATGCTTTGTTTTTAACATGGCAGAGTATCTCTTTTGTAGGGGAAAAAAAAAAAGAAGAAATGTTTGACACTGCTCTGCCCATGGCCAAATTTTTATTTTTAATACTGGTCAATTTCCAGTTCAGGGGAGAACACATGTGGAGAGTGGTGTTAGAGAAACAGGGTAGAGACAGGCTCAAGTTTTGTTTTATTTTGCAATGAACATTTTGCTGTGCTTGTTTTGTCACACACCTATCTATTCATCCCTAAAACAACTGATCCATTTCTTTGTCCATTTCAGTTAGTTGCAGACATCACAACACTTTATATATAAACACTTGTTTGTCTATCATTACGTAGAGTTCAATTTTTTATAGTTCATTTTTATGTAGACTTTACACACCATGAAATGCACAAATCTTAAGAGTGCCCAGTGATGAGCTTTGAGACACGTGTACACCTTTGCAACCCAAACAGTCATCCAGATGTACATCACTACCACTGCTGCAGAAAGTTCTTTCAGCTCCCTTCCAAGCCCATCCTACCCTCTCCAGGGGCAACCACTATTCTGACATCTTCATAATAGATTAGTCTGCCTATTCCTAGAATTTCATATAAATCAGATCATTCGGTGCATATGGAGGGCTTCTTCCATTCCATGCCATATTTTTGAGATTCTCTCATGTTATTTTGTGAATCAATAGTCCTTTCCTTTTTGCTGCAGAGTAATTTTCCCATGTATGAATATACCATTATCTATTTTCCTCAGGGGATTCCAGCTTTTAGCTCGTATGACTGAAGCTGGTATGAATGTTCTATATGCAAACCTTCATGAAGACATATGTTTTGATTGTTCTCTAGTAAATACCTATGAGTAGAATAGGTTGGTGATATGTTTAGGCTTTGTGTTCCCACCCAAATCTCATCTTGTAATCCCAAAAATCCCTATGTGTCAAGGGAGATACCAGGTGGAGGTAATTGAATTATGGGGGCAGTTTCCCCCATGTTGTTCTTGTGATACTGAGTAAATTCTCATGAGATCTGATGGTTTTATAATGGGCTCTTTCCCCTTCACTCAGCACTTCTTCCTGCCGCCTTGTGAAGAAGGTGCCTTGCTTCCCCTTCACCTTCCGCCATGATTGTAAGTTTCCTGAGGCTGAACTATAGTTCCTCGTGCTGAACTATGAGTCAATTAAACCTCTTTCCTTTATAAATTACCCAGTCTTGGGCAGTTCTTTATAGCAGTATGAAAATGGACCAATACAGCTGGGTATATGTTTAACTTTACAAGAAACTGTCAGACTTCATGCTGTCAAAGCCTGAGAATTCCAGTTGCTCCAAGTACTTGCCAACATTTGATTATTTTCGCTGTTTAATTGCAGCCATTATGGTGGGTGGGTCGTGGTATCACATTGTTGGGGACAAGCCTGTTTTAATCATACCAGGCCGATGGAGAGCAGTCAGCACCAGTGAGGCTAAGCCTTGACTAAGGTCAGAGGAAAGGCTGTCACGTTCCACTTTTGACATGAGTTGACCGGGAAATGCACTCCTGCGGGGCACAGAACCTGGGGCTGGATTATCTCCCACCAGCTTCCAGGCTGTGTTGTGGTTTTTTTCAGTCCAGGCTGTTTTGTTGGTTTTTTTCTGAAGAATTTGCATATAAATCGAGCTGCATACTGGGTAACTCCTTGAAGTGCTGGAGAAAGTCATGCACAGTATTTGGATCCTCAGTTCCCACCAGGGAAGGCCTGGGAACCCATTTGGTGTCACGCACTTGAACAAAGAAAAGACAATAATTTGGTATCAACTTCCATCCGGCTGGGACATCTCAGTGTTTCTCTTCCCAGGGAGTAGATTGCAATTCCAGGTGAGGAGGATGAAGGAGTAAACAAGATAAGCCTGGATTAGAATAAAGTAGCCAATTATCGCTGTATCAGTCTGGACTGACAGGAACCTCACAGAGGTGACTGGAAAGAATTGAAGGAAGGGGCATTTTCAGAGGATATGCCGGGATGGGGAAGCACCCAGGGATTCATAACAATGGGAAGCCATTAACACCCCAAGGCCCGGAGGGGCAGGGAGCGGGAGTTGGTGCTGGGCCCCAATACAGCAATAGCAGAGAGGGAAGCCTCCCAGGGAGGGGAAGCTTTGTCCATGAAGAATTAGAGGCACCCACCACTGCCCAGCAGCAGTCCAGCAGTGGGGAAGGGGAAGCAGCAAACACACCAGCCTTTCTGTCCTCCTCTGATCCTGTCAATGCCTTCCAGTGGCCAAACCCAACCCCAGATCTAGTGGGAAGAGAGGATCTGGTGATTCGACCCATAGAAGTCAGCTTCCTTGGGGAGGTGGGGGAAGAGAACGGCAGAGGATGAATCTGCAGAGGCAGAAGATGGGGAAGCAGCAGAGTCCCAGAACTCATTTAACTCATAATAGCTGTTGTTTGAATGTAGGAGGGAGAAATGAAAAATGCTATTTCAAACAAGAATCACTGCAGCTGTTTTAGCATTGTTAGCTCATGAAACGCTTCATCAATTTTGAGACACAAACACAATTACAACTTGTATTGTTGAAAACTAATTTCTTAAGGGCACACCTGCCTTATTATCAGTTTGTCTAGAATCTTCTGTACAAAGCCCACCCCTTCTGTGTCTTGCCCAAGAATTTCAGGGGCCTGCAGGGTGCAAGTAAGGTCTTGGGGATCCACCCCCAGGACGTGGTGTCGGAGGTTCCCTGCTGCTGTTGCACCTTGCAGCCACACAGTGTCAATGTTGAGAGCTGGTCCTGCGCAGTCCAGTGGCCACTTGGCTGATGCTGGGGGGATGACTGTGCTAGCCCAGGTCCCTGGCAAGTCGGCACAATGACAGATTGTGTTAGAACATTCTTTCCTTGCTATAAAGAAATACCTGGGAGTGGGTAATTTATAAAGAAACAGGGTTTAATTGGCTGACAGTTATGCAAGCCGTACAGGAAGCATGGCTCTGGCATCTGCTTCTAAGAAGGCCTCAGGAAGCTTCCAAACATGGTGGAAGGCAGAGGGGGAGATGGCACATCATTTGGTAAAATCAGGAACGAGAGTCGGGGAGGTGCCACACAGTTTCAAATGACTGGATCTCATGTGAACTCAGAGCAAGAGCACACATCACCGAGGCACTCATAAGGGATCCAACCCCATGATCTAATACCTCCCACCAGGCCCCAACTCCAACACTGGGGATCACATCTCACCATGAGAATTGGAGGGGACATCCAAACTGCATCACTCATCACTGGTGCTAATATTAATGCTCACTTTACTTTCCATGTTCACTGTATTTGTCAGCTCCGACTGCCATAACAAAATACCATAGACTGGGTGGCTTAAACAACAGACATTTATTTTCTCACGGTTTTGGAGGCTGGATGTCTAACATCAAGATATCAGCAGGGTTGGTTTCTGGTGAGGGCTCTCTTCCTGGCTTGTGCACGGCTGCCTTCTCTCCATGTCCTCACAGGGTCTTTCCTCAGTGCATGGAGCATGCAAGCTCTCAGAGGCCTTTCTTTTATTTTTATATAAGGACATCAGTCCTATCAGATTAGGGCCCCACCCTTATGACCTCATTTATCCTTAATTACTTCCCTAAAGACCCTGTCTCTGAAACAGCCAGATTGGAGTTAGAGCTTAAACATAGGGAATTGAGGGGGGACACAGTTCAGCCCATAACCCTCACCCATTATTCTCCAAGACATCATACTGTGCAAAAGGAGGAACCACATGTTTCCCAACAAAATTGTCAGGGCTTTGTGCTAAGCAAGAGTCACAGGTCTGCAAGCACAGACCTGCTTTGCACTCCAGAGGAATCCCCCTCTCTGGGTCATTCAACATTTCGATATGATTTTAAAGTCTGCCTCCTCCCCAGCAACAAAGTGGCAGTGTGAGGATCCTGCTTTAGAAGACTACAGCGTTTTCAATGCTCCACTCTCAGGACATAGGTGCCTGCCCACACTATATTTTCAGAATTAAGCAATTCTGACATGGCAAAATAGGTCAGCCTCCAGGGGGCCTGTGGCTACTACACCTTGCCAGGGGAGAGGCTGGCACGAGTTGGGTAACAATTTCAATGACTCTCCAACTTAATCTCTGTCCAGCAGAAGGACTCAGAGACAGGCAAAAGCCGTAATAGAGAAGATGGGTCTAGGAAATTATTTTGATAGATTTAGGAAATTACTTTAATAGCTGTTTGGGTACAAAAAGTAAATCAGTACTTCACTCCAACCCTGCACCATCTCCCCACGGCTGCAATCTTAAGTTTTCACCCAGCCCTCTGAAACATTTTCTTGAGATAAGTCGGTTACGATACTAAATGTCCATGGAAAGCTCAGTTCACTGGAAAGTCCTGGATTTTGATATTTGGAAACCAACTCTAAAAGTCTGAGATGTTCAGTTAAATACTTCTGCTCAGGTATTTTGTTTTCAGAATTATTTTAAACAAAAGGAATCAAGGTCCTTTTTACCATTTATTTAGAATAAATGATGACCCAAAATATGTACACAGTCTTTCCTCTTGGACTCTCCCAGGAGGAAGCCAGAATGACATCCCTCCTTCCTGCTGTTCCTCAGATGTGTTTCCATACAGGTTTGGGGAAGGAAGCAGGCACATACCCACCAGAAGATAGAGATATTTAAATAATTATTTTATGAGTTTTTTATCACATTGCTTTTTTACTCATTCAATGCATTTTTAGCGCATAGTATGCTCTGGGCAGAATCCATCGAAATAGTATTTGCAAATGCTGGATGAATTTTTCTGCAGAGAGTGATGCAACCGCATCTCAACTCAGTTCATCTAAAATCAAACTCATCTCCCTCAGCTCTTGGCCTGAAATTTCTTTAAATGGAATCATCGTCATCTTGGTCACCCACACATGAAAACTCTGAAAGTCACCTTTGACCACTCCTGTCTTCCATCTCTGATACTCAAGTAGTCCCCAAGCCCTGTTTCTTTTTTCTTTGTAGTAACCTCTAAGAACTTTCCATTTTTGTGACCTGTCTATCTATCAGGCTATGTCCTTCTAAAGCATCCAAGACTCTTCATTTGTAAGGTCAGAAAACTTAAACATGAGGGAAATTGTTGGCTCTTGTAACTAAAAAGTCAAGGGCTACATAGAATGGCTGGGTACATGGGTTCAAACACTACTATCAGGAATCAGTCTCTCTCTATGGCTTGTCTCTGGCTTCCTTCATGTTAGTTTCATTCCTAAGCAAGAGGGATGTCAGCAGATTCAGTTCCATGATCTGCTGTGTCAGCAACAAGATGGAAAGAGATGTTGTTTCACCTACTAATGCAAACTAAAGTCTTGAGACTGAGTCTTATTGGCTCAATTTGGGTGATTTGTCCATCTCTGAACCAATCAGTGCAACCAGATGGAATGGGATTTAGTGATTGGTGAGGCCTGGGCCACATGCCACTTCCCAAGCCAACTATTCCAGCCCACTTGGCCTGGGAGTAGGAGAGAGATGATTCTACAAGAAAAATGTGAATTGAATTCTGTGAAAAATAGAAGACAAAATGGATGTGGTTGAGGCCAAAACAAGTGTCCATATGACCCCAACATACACCAGGAGTTGATGCAGTAGCAAAGCATAGATTCCTCAGAAACACAATCCACTGAGATAAGTGATTTGCAGCCCCCAAATCAGAGCTCATCCCTGTTCAACAAGCTTTTTCCTCTCCTTTCAATGGAGGGTGTTTCATCCTTGCTCCATGCTCTTCTAGTTTTACTATCCCATCTCTTCTACCTCAGGCAGCATCTCAGCTCTTACTTCACGGAGAGATGAGAAACTGTTGTACAGAAACAGATTCCCTGGCTGCCCACTTGTATCCACAGCCATTCTAACTCTCCCCTGTCATCACAGTGGAGGAGGCAGCCTCCCTCCTGTCTTAGAACCATATCTGTTTTCCTCTGAATCCCCACTACTCTTGTCTTATCAATTTTCTTTCTTTTTTTTTTTTTTTTTTTGAGCCCGAGTCTCACTGTCCACCAGGCTGGAGTCCAGTGGCACAATCTAGGCTCACTGCAACCTCCACCTCCCAGGTTCAAGTGATTCTCATGCC
This sequence comes from Homo sapiens, assembly GCF_000001405.40. Classification (NCBI taxonomy): domain Eukaryota; kingdom Metazoa; phylum Chordata; class Mammalia; order Primates; family Hominidae; genus Homo; species Homo sapiens. The sequence goes on along the minus strand of NC_000012.12, from coordinate 129,159,663 downwards.
TTAGCCACCCAAGTAGCTGGGATTACAGGCATGCACTACCATGCCTGGCTAATTTATTTTGTATTTTTTAGTAGAGACAGGGTTTTGCCCTGTTGGCCAGGCTGGTCTCAAACTCCTGGCCTCAAGTGATCTGCCCACCTCAGCCTCCCAAAGCGCTGAGATTACAGGTGTGAGTGCCCGTGTCTGGTCAGTTTTCTCTTTTCTATTATGCATATGTCATTTATCTCTCTTCGTGTGTTTCTTCCCCAGTTATGAACATGTTCACATTTCCTCCGTGTTAAAGGAAAAAATGAATTGACTTTCTATATAAGGTGTCCCTCCAGCCACTGCCCGGTTTCAGGTTTTCACAGCTCATCAACATGAATGCATCACTTGCACTCATGTGGTCCCTTCTAATCCACATCCACTCTCAGCCTCAACCTAGTGCACTCTATTTATCACTGAATTAAAACTCCACTTCCCAGGGTAACAGAACCAAATACTTGCTGTTAAAACCAAGAAGTACATTGTCCATCCTCATCTACTTGAAGTCTCAGCTACATTTGAAACAATTGATGATATGGTTTGGCTCTGTATCCCCACCCAAATCTCATCTGGAATTGTAATCCCAACATGTCAGAGGAGGGACCTAGTGGGAAGTGATTGGATAATGGAGGTGGTTTCTCCCATGCATTCTTGTGATAGTGCAGGAGTTTTCACAAGATCTGATGGTTTAAAAGGGGCATTTCCCTTGCTTCCTCTCTCCTGCCACCTTGTGAAGAAGGCACTTGCTTCCCCTTCACCTTCTGCCATGACTGTAAGTTTCCTGAGACCTCCCCAGCCATGCAGAACTGTGAGTCAATTAAACCTCTTTTGTTTATAAATTACCCAGTGTCAGGCAGTATATTTATAGCATTGTGAAAATAGACTCATACCGTTGATCACTGCCTCTTCTTGAAAGACTCTTTTTTTCTGAAATTCCCCAATGTGCTCTTCCAGTGTTTCTCCTAACTTTCTTCATGTGGCTGCTCTTCCTCTGGCAACACTTGAAGACAGATATCCTTTAGGCCTCCATCCTCTGCCTCTTCATTTCTCAGGATGCCCTGAGGGATTTTGTACGTTTGCATAGATTCAATCAATGCCTGGATATACTTCTATGCCAACAGATGATTACCTAATAAGAAATTCCAAACCACTTTTATGTTCTGAGTTCCAGTTGTCTGTGCCACATTCCAACTTGGTATCACACAGATAACTTAAACTCAAGATGTCTAAAAGCAAATGCATTATTTTTTTTTTCTCAAAAACCTGCTCATGCACTTGTGTTTTCCATTTCAGGAAAAAGGAGTCCTTCTTGATTTCTCCCTCTTATCCATTTTGCCTCCTCTCCCCTGCAAAGCATGCACACGTGTGTGCAAACACAGAGTCAGCCATTAGGTCTAATGTACATGTGTATTCAGTTTCCTTATGCATCTTAGAGCAGTCCTCTCCTCTCCACCTTTATCACCATTCTTCTAAGCCCTGCTACCGTCATCTCTCACTTCAGTTTCTACAACTCCCTACGTAACTTTTTGGTCTCTGAATGGTACCCTTCCCAAACCACTCTCCATATGGTAATCTTTCTCTAAAATATAAACCTCACCTACCCCTCTGTCAGCACCAGGTGCTTCATGATGTTGCCCTACTTTATCTCGCATCTCATCTCCACCCCTCTGACAAATTCTATCTCTCCATCCAAACTGAACAATACCTCCACCAGCATGCCATGCTAAAACATTCACTCCCCTAATTGGGCCTTCACTCCCTAATAGAGAATATCTAGCATTCTAGCAAGTGGATTGACAGCTGCAGAGGAAAAAGCAATGAAATTATATATGTCATAAATTTGAAAGATAAGATTAATTACGATTATCAAAGAAGCCACATTATGTTCTTAATAATCATTACTATTTTAAAGTTATGTAGGCATTACAAAGACCAGATGGTCTGTGGTTTTGTTTTCAGCCAGCATTCAGTTATCAGGCTAAAATTATTATCAGCTAATGGAATTTTATATAATTTGTGTTTCATTTGCATTTGTAAAGTTTGCAGTGTCTGTTGCTTCCATTGTGTTTACATCATATTTTCAATTCATAAAAATAGATCAATGGCTTCACACAGGTTAACTGAAATGAAAAACTAGTAACTAAGATAGTAATGTCAGTTTTATGTCCATAATGATGATGTGAACATAAAGAGTGGACAGATGTCAAATGTAAATAGGAATGTACTGAGGCAGGTGAATCTGCAAGTATGATGATCAAGCATTGAAAATAATAGGATGTGCTCTAGTTTGAATGTGTCCCCCAGAGTTTATGAGTCGGAGACTTGATAGCCAATGCACCAATGTTGACATGTGGGACCTTTAAGAGGTGATTAGGTCATGAGGGCCCTGCCCTCACAAGTGGACTAATGCCATTATCTCCAGAATGGGTTAGATATCTCAGGAGTGGGTTAGTTATCTTGGGAGTAGGCTAGTTATGATGGGAGTGAGTGAGTTATCTCAAGGGTGGGTTAGCTATCATAGAAGTGGGATAGTTATCTCTGGAGTGGGCTAGTTATTTTAGGAGTGGGCTAGTTATTGGAGAAGTTGATTAATTATTGTAGGGGTGGGCTCATTATCTCAAGAGTGGGTTGATTATCATGAGAGTGAATGAGTTATCTCAGGAGTGGGCTCGTTATCATAGGAGTGGGTTAGTTATCACAGGAGTGGGTTAGTTATTTGGGGAGTGTGTTAATGATCTCAGGAGTGGGTTATTTATCTCAGGAGTAAGTTAATATCTCAGAAGTGGCTTATCACAAAAGTGGGTTAGTTATCTTGAGAGTGGGCTAGTTATCTTGAGAGTGAGTTATCATGGGAGTGAGTTTGTTATCTTGGGAGTGGGTTAGTTATCATGGAAGTGATTTGGTTATTGAGGGAGTGGGTTATCACAGGAGTGTGATAGTTGTCTCGGGAGTGTTATTTATCTCGTGAGTGGATTCGGTATCACAGGAGTGAGTTAGTTATTATGAGAGTGGGCTGGTTACTTTTGGGAGTGGATTCACTCCATTGGGAGGGTGTTATTTATCTGGGGAGTAGGTTGGGTACCACAAAAGTGGGTTATTTATGTTGGGAGCGGAATAGCTATCTTGGGAGTGGATTGGTTATCATGGGAGTGAACTAGCTATCTCAGGAATTGACTAGTTATCATGGGAATGGGTTAGTTATCTCAACAGTGAGTTAGTTCTCATGAGAGTGGGTTGGTTATCTTGGGAGTAGGTTTATTATATTGGGAGTGGGTTATTTATCTTGGGAGTGAGTTGGTTATCATGGGAGTATGTTCATTTTATTGGAAGTGGGTTGGGTATCACAGGACTGAGTTAGTTACTTCAGGAGAGGGTTATCATGGGAGTGGTTTGGTTATTTTGGGAGTGGGTTAGTTATCTTGGGGATGAGTTAGTTATCGTGAGAGTGGGTTGGTTATCTTGGGAATAGGTTGGTTTATATTGGGAGTGTGTTATTTTTCTTTGGAGTGAGTTGGTTATCGTGGGAGTATGTTCATTATATTGGGAGTGGGTTGGGTATCATGGAAGTGGGTTAGTTATGTCAGAAGTGGGTCAGTTATCACGGGAGTGGTTTGGTTATTTTGGGAGTTTGTTATCACAGGAGTGGGCTACTTATCTTGGGGATGGGTTAGTTATCATGAGAGTGGGTTGATTATCTTGGGAGTGGATTCATTATATTGGGAGTATGTCAGTTATCTTGGGAGTGGGTTGGTTACTGGGGGAGTGGATTCATTATATTGGGAGTGTGTTGGGTATCACAGGAGTGGGTTAGTTATCTCAGCAGTGGTTTGGTTATTTGTGGAGTGGGTTATCATAGGCATGTACATGTGTTAGCTATCTTGGGAGTGGGTTGGTTATAATGGGAATGGGCTCCTGATAAAAGGATGCATCCAGCCCTTCCTGTCTCTTACTCTCCCACCTGCTCTTGGCCTTTGGCCGTCTGCCCCCTGCTGTAGGAAGATGCAGCATGAAGGCCCTTGCTAGATGACAGCACCTTAATATTGGGCTTCCCAGCCTCAAGAACTGTGAGACATAAATGTCTTTTCTTTATAAATTACCCAATCTGTAGCCTTCAGTTATAGCAACACAAAATGCCTAAGCCAGAATGAGTAGGAAGAATGATAATGACTCTCTGAAAATTGGATTTTATTAAACCAGCATAAAGTCATGACAATATTCACAACATTTCAAAAAAAGTACCTCTCTAGTAAGCAAAAATAATGCTTTTTATACAAAACTAACATTGTGGTTAAAGGTAAAGAAAATAAAATCACTCCATAATCACCATCAAGATGCATGTACTCCCTGTAGCATAAAATGGGTACAGATCGCACCAACCTGGAGAAGCTTGGAAAGTCAGGTGCAAATTGAATGCCAGAGATGCTTGCAGAGAAAGTGCAATATGGTATTAGTGAGTTCCTTTATCAGATGGCATTCTATGTGGGAAACCAATTACTGGCATCTGTGCATTCTTGCAAATGTTTTGTTTTACAAATGTAAGGAATCATTGATGTGTGTGCTTTATACCAAGCATCTCTCGTTTGTGCACAGCACATCTATGAAACAGAAATGCTGGCTGACTTCACGTTCTGTTCTTTATTTTTTAGTCAACAGTATGTTTCCTGATCTTGATCCTGTAATGCCAGAAAAGTGTAAACATGATCTAAAACATACTGAGAAAGTGTCTTTTCAGTGGCGTGCACAGAGAAATCAACAGCAATTGCATAATTCTCAGAAAGCAATTGGCAACTAAAAGCCAGGGCAAATGCTCTGGGTCTGTGGACATTTCAAGCTTCTAGAACTGTGAGAACCAACAGACTCTAGCTGCCATCTCTAAGGAGTCAGAAAGTTCTAATTTAAAAAATAAAAAAGATATAATAAGAAAAGGAACCAAGTGGTTGAGAAAAATGGCTTAGGGGACCAACCATCTGTTACTGAACCAGATATAGATATCACAGGGAACAATCACAAACAATATGATCCATCCTTGGAATATAAGTATCATCGTTATTAAGTTTTAAAATATTACATCTTATTTACAAATTTATGATTTGTACTCAATCGCCAAACACTCATTAAATGACCTCAGGATGCTGGATGTCAAAGACACATTCCCCGAAAGCAGGGGATTTTTATACAGTTCTAGAAGCCTTGTATCGCAATGGGTGCTAAGCAGTCCATATTTGTTGAGTTAATGAATACATCAATATCCTCTCATCCTAGCTCCCTGAGTTGCAAAACTGGGGAAATGTAAGCATATTTTCTGTGGTTTCTAAAAATGAGAATGAAGGCAGCACTCTGACGTGAGTAGAGTGCACAGCCCTCTTGTGTCTGCTACCTGGTTCTTCTCCTGATGCTCTCTCCTCACCTCCCTCTGAGCTGTGTCCCACTGAGCTGTCATCCCACAAATGCACCACCTCACATTCACTCCCCTTCACTGGATCTTCAGAGCATCTCCAAATGAGGTCTGTGGGACCACCATCCATCTATCAAGCTGTTCTCAGCTACCAAAGAAAAGATGATGAAACGCCTGTGTCACAAATTTTAAATAAGAGTAATTGTGATTTCCAGAGAAGATTTTGAAAATGAAAGAGGAACCAGGAACTGAAGGAATGTCGTGAATGGTTTTGCCTGGAATGGACAAAAGCCTCAGCCACGCTGTGTCATCTCCTTCCATCTAGGTGTCCCACGCTCCTGATCAGTGCGCTTCTGGAGAAACTTTCCAGAGCCGGGAAATGATTCCCAGCCGAAATGAGAGCAGAGTCATCCAGGACACATGGAAAAAGCTGCAGAACCGCCACCCCAGCAAGCCATTGCAATCACGTCCGCCTGATGCTTCTGCTTCTGTCACTGATGCACACCTGAGCCCCTGGCCCTACTGCTGGAGGCACCCCAAACCACTGAGCTTGGGGTTCTATGAAAAGCCACCCTCCTGATTTTGGAGTTCTCAAAAGTCACTTATATAATTTTGAGGTGGAATATTTTATATTTGTTTTGGAGTATGAAAATGCCTCATGAGATCAGCTTGTGAAAATCGTTAAGAGAGGCACAGAAACGCTGTAGGTAGAAATAATTAGTATGTACTGCTCTCCTTCCATTCTTCACGGCACAGCCTGGAGTGTTCTGACATTTCACGATGACCCAAACACCGAGACCCGGCATTACAGGGGAAACGGCAAAACCTTCAGAGCATTTATTCCCATCTATTTAGGCCCGCAATCTCTCATTCCATCGTTTTCAACCTTTGTATGCCGTGAGCCAACACCACATTTAAATTCTGCATTTGGTGAGCAGCAACTCCCCGAAGAACCACAGGCATAGCTCTCTGACTTGCGGCTACTGCATTCTATCGCGGCTGACTCCTTTCCTCCCAGTGTCTGGCACAGGGCTGCACACAAAATAGGTGTGTGGAGCAAAGTCCAGTCAGGACAACAGAAACGACAGCAAAGGACTCGAGGGTTGGGATTTAGGATGTGAGCCAGTGTTGATGGGCTGGAAGGACAAAGAGGGGAGCCTGAGAAAACCTAGAGATAGTCATAGCAGGAAGCAAATACGACTGCCCAGGCTGCAAAGACAAAGGGAGGAGGTGGTGTTGCCAGAGCTCGGAAGAGTTGGCAGGAAGTGCCGGGTGGGAGCTGGAGGGATGGGAAGGACTCAGCTCCTAAGAGACACTGCCCAAAGCACAGAAAGAAAGAGGGAGAAAGATACCCTGGCATCTCCCCTCTCTCACCAGTGCCTCCTGTTGGCTGAAACTACCAGGACACCAGTTGACAAGGAAGCCCGGGAAACGGTTTGCAGAGCCTGGGATTCAGAGCGGAGCAGGGGAAGGGAGAGAAACGAACGTGAGGGCAAATGACCAACAATGTCAGGCATCCAGGAAATAATCTCTAAATTACAGAAGAGCAAAACAAGCCTACACCCAGGCCCACAGACTCTTCCTTGAGATTGCTCCAAATTCCCTCCACCTGGGAGACCTCTCTCCCCATCTAGTGAGCAAAATGCCTGCAGGGGCGGGTGGAGATTATGGAAATGGCCCTCAGCCCAGGCAAACTGCTCATTATTAAAAAGCCTCCAGACAGGAGCCCAGGCTCATGTCAGGTCAAATCTGGGGGATTTTCGAGCAGCATTTTATGCTGCTGAGTTGCTGAGCAGGAAGGTGATGAGCAGTAGTGAGATAACAAGCCAGCTGCTCCTGTCTTCCCTCCCCTGACACTGATTACAAGACAAATTGGAGATGAGATGGACCTGGGGCTCTGCTTTGTTAAAACCCAGGCTGGGAGAATTTTTAGGTTAGCAGAGATGTGGAGAAATGCTCTGTGACAACACCCCCATTACCCAGTGTGATGGAGTCTGGAGAAAACTTTTCAGCCTGGCCATAGAGCCTCTTGGTTGCTTGTTTTAGGTGAGTTGATTTAAAACTACATTGAAGGCCATAATCATGCTGTAATCCCAGCACTTTGGGAGGCCAAGGCGGGGGTAGATCAGATCATGAGGTCAAGAGATCGAGACCATCTGGCCAACATGGTGAAACCCCATCTCCGCCAAAATTACAAAAATTAGCTGGGCATGATGGCGGGCGCCTGTAGTCCCAGCTACTTGGGAGGCTGAGGCAGGAGAATCGTTTGAACCCAGGAGGGAGAGGTTGCAGTGAGCCAAGATTGCACCACTGCACTCCAGCCTGGACAACAGAGCAAGACTGTCTCAAAAAAAAAAAAAAAAAGGTTGAATCACGTGGTCCACATTAACTAAGTATTATGAATGGCATGTGGATTCGTCCAGGTAATATACAAATATTCGCAGAGGAACCAGAAGAGCACAGAAAAATCAGAAGAGAAGCAGACAGAAGACGGGGGGCAACATCTGGAAAGCCCTCTGCTCTTCCTTTTAGCTGCCGGGTAATGAGAAGGTCTAGCGAATCCCAAGAAAGAGTCTGAAGAAGCTGAGGAGGTGGATGGAGTCCTTGGGGAGATGGAGGGCTGTGCCTACTTGTCAATTAGTAGAGAAATATTCCATAATATTACACGCGCCGTGACCATATGGGTGCCTTTCAGCCGCATGTCACCCCTGGGTGTGGTGAGCGTCGCATGACGATGGCAGGTTGGAACTGAGGCATGTCAGGGAGACAAGACGGGTGTGATGGTGTCGGAGACACCGAGGGTCAGCCGCTCCCAGCCCCCTCTCTGCACCTCACGTCCCCTTCAGTTGATCATGCTCACTGGGTATCTAACCCAGAATAAGGCAACCCCAACAAATATCACCAGCAGTTGAAGGGAGTCCTGGCTCACTTCTCTCCAATGTCTTTAATGAAATAACCTAGGCGAATAACCCCGCCTGAGTCATGTTGCTGGACACCAGAGCTACTCCACTATTAACACCTCTGGATCGCTGTGGCAGAGGCAGGCTGTGTTCACTAATTTGTCAACATAGTCCATGCCCTGCATTAGGACAAAGGCTTCGATAGTCTTCTCTTGGGGAGATTGCAGCTTCTTGGTGGATGTGCCTCGTGAAGTCGGAAAATTAGATGCGTGCTCTGCAAACCCCGGGTAGTGACGTGACCACATCCATGAGAGCAGCCCTGGGCTTCTGGGATCCTCCAGGGGACAGATACAAGCCGGCAGCCACTCAGGGCAGGGGAACAGGGCAGGCCTGGCCACCACCAGCCAGGGGAGAGAACACCAGCTGGCACTCTGGGGTTGGGGCGGACAGGAGACAGGGTGAGCCCAGGGACCCCTGGCAGGCCAAACCCCACCTCTAGATCACTTTAGTCCGGGGCCACAGCTGACCCTGTCACGGGGACAGTGAGAAGAGAAGCAGGGAAGGCTCTGGGACACTGAACGAAAGAAGTGAAGACTTGGCTGAAGGCGTAGCCTGCCAGCCTCTCTGTGACTGAACCTGCCACATCTTCAGTGTCTGTGGCTCTCAATTGGAGAAGCCCAGGGTCAGGAGCACAAGCTCTGGGATCAGACCACCTGGCTTTGAATTCTGCCCCTCCTGCTGGTCACCTGGGTGGCCTCTGCAGGTTTCCTTCACCCTGCTAAGCCTCAGTCTCCTCTTCTGTGAAATGGGGCTAGTAAAATCACCTCACTTCAGGGTATTTTCTGAAGACTACATGAAATAATGTACAAGTAATAAACCATAAATCATTATAACATACTTAGTTATTTTTATGAAAAGTAATAAAAACACAAATACATTATAAAGATGATTTGTAAAGCACTATGCAAAATGACTGGCATAACAGAGTCCCCAGTGAGTGTTGGCCGTCGGCATTGTCGTCAGCCCCCTGTTCGTCGCTGTTCTAGGAGCTCCCACCCACGGGGTCCTGGGAAGCTGGAGTGACTTCTCCTCCACCCAGCACACTCTGGATGGGGCTCCCCTGGGATCAAATAGATGCTGCAGTAGATGGCTTTGTAATATACCTTTTGTTCTTAGGCCTTCCCAGATTGCCGGGAGTGAGCCCCAGCACCCACATATGTGGGCTTGCCCCTGGCCTGTGCTGTCCTCTGGGACACGATGACCCTTCTCTGCAGGAGGCGCAGCTTCTGCCTGCTGCCATCTGTAATTTACATCTGACGAAATGCAATGAATACGTCAGTCATTGTTCCCCTCTGTTGCTGGGCATACATTAGGTTTCAGACAAAGAGCACTGGGCTATTCCCAGAAAGAAAAACCAGTAAGCATGAAAGTCTTACACACCGGAGAAGCCGGTAGTTAGCTACAGGAGGAGTGTTCAGGACACACAGGAGCTTGGTCTCACTCCTTTTCTATTTCCGCTGTCTATCTGCCCCCATAGCCAGACACCAGAATGAGGTGACCACCCACTGTGGTTGGCTCCCAGCCCCCCAGTGTTGGGCAGCTCAAGCTGTTCTTGGAGTGAGTGAGGCAGGATTGAAAAGCGGGGCTGGAGCCCTACCGTTATTGCCCAGATCTCTTCTTTTACCCTGTTTTACTCTTCTCTTCTCCCTTTTGTTTTATTATCAAAGTCAGCAAATCTACACGGTCCCCAGTGCCCTGAGAGGTGCCGCACACACTGGAGACGGACAGAATAGAAACACGTCTCCTGACTCCTCCAGCAATGTCTGACTGTCCGATGAGTTGTTTTCTAACTTCAGTCCCAAGCAGTCATAAAAATGTGGGGTATGCATGTTCCTGCTTTTGTTTCAGGGACAGAAAGCCTTGAGCTCTACTTTTCAGGGGCAGCATTTTTTTTAACTTTAAGTTCTGGGATACACGTGCAGAACGTGCAGGTTTTTTACGTAAGTGTACCTGCGCCATGGTGGTGTGCTGCACCTATCAACCCGTCATCTAGGTTTTAAGCCCCGAATGCATTACATATTTGTTCTTGTGCTCTCCCTCCCCTTGCCCCCCACCCCCCAACAGGCCCTGGTGTGTGACGTTCCCCTCCCTGTGTCCATGTGTTCTCATTGTTCAACTCCCACTTGTGAGTGAGAACGTGCGGTGTTTGGTTTTCTATTCCTGTATTAGTTTGCTGAGAATGATGGTTTCCAGCTTCATCTATGTCCCTGCAAGGGACATGAACTCATTCTTTCTTATGGCTGCATAGTATTCCATGGGGCATATGAGGGGCAGCATTTTTCATTAAAAAAAAGTCCCTTTTTGTCAAAGCTGAGGAGACCCACGCTGGAGAACACCTCCCTTCCTACAAGAAAGGAGCCAGCGCCATCCGGGGCTGTTTAGGCAGATGCCTGATGTTCTGCAAGACAATTTGGAGAGCTAGAAACCCTCAGGGATGTCCTCTTGGGGAGGGTGGGGGCGGGGTGAGGGGTGTCCCCTGGCCTGCCAGGAAGCCTCTGTCACCTTACCAGCCCTGGCATGCAGCTGTGGAGGAGGGGATGGGGAGAAAATTTCCCACTGAAGTCGGTGTGTTCAATTCCTATTGCTGCTGTAACAAATAACCACACACAGGCTGGCTTTTTTAAAAATGCACAAAGTTATCATCTTAGAGATCTGGAAGTCAGAAGTCCAAACATGGGTCCTATGGGGAATAAATCAAGGCACTGGCAGGGCTGTGGTCCTTTGCAGGGGGAGCTTAGGGAGAGCTCTGTCCCTAACCTTTCCCAGCTTCCAGAGGCTCTTCACTTACTTTGGCTCATGGCACCTCCCATGAAAACCAACAACACAGCCTACTCCGTTTTCTCTGACCTCCTGCCTCCTTCTTTTAAGGACCCTTGTGATGACATTGGGCTACCCAGATAAACCAGGATAACCTCCCCATTTTAAAACCCTTAATCACATCTACAGAGTCCCCTCTGCCATGTAAGGTGACATATTTACCGGTTCCAGCAATTTGGACGTAGACCTCTTTGGGGGCCATTATTCTGCCACCCACATGGGGCTATAGATTTTATCTTAGTCAAAAGCAAATACTGAGCACCAATTTTAGGACAAGCTCCTCATAGGTGCCATGGATACAAAGAGAAAAAAATGGGGTGCTTGCCCTCAATAAGCTCATAGGCTTCATGGAGAAGGAGGTAGACAAAACAATGGCAAAACAGCCCATTACTATTATGGTAGCCTGGAGATGTAGGTGAGGGTGTCTAAGCCTACCTGGGAGAAGGAAGGAAACCATGGCATCCTGTTTAAGCGCATGGGCTCTGCAGGTGCCCATGGCCAACACGGAGAAAGTACTGGACATGGAATGTCCTGATTTTGAAGCCATCACACGAAAGTTGGTTTAGGCCAGATTCGTCAGTTCATGCTAAACCCAAGGTGGGGAATAGGAAATCTGGTGTAGCAGGAGTTCCTGTGGGCTTAAGTGTGTCCCACAAAAAGCTTGCTGCTTACAAGAAAAAATAAATAGCAACTACAGAGTGGACATAGCAGCCAACACCTTGACCAGGTGATCAAGAGTAACGAAATGACTGAAGGTCAAATAGACACCTTGCACCTGAGGATATGATGCCCTAGAAGAATACAGTACCTAACACTAATACAATGTCTAACACGAATACGTTGTCTAACACAGCACCCAATCCAAGGCTGGGTCTTGTACTGGAGGGAGAAAAAAACTATAAAGACATGATAGGTTAGTTGACAGCATTGGAAACTGGATGGAGGAATGGATACATTTAAATGAAGTGTTCACCGAATTTAATAACTATACTGCAGTAGTTATGAAAGAATATACTTATTCTTGGTCATGCAAGAGTGTGTACTTACATAAGAGGATTTTTATGCTCACGTATCCTCTAAGGGCAAAAGGCCATGATATATGTAATTTACTCTCAAATTGTTCAGAAAAAATATATATGTATATATATACATATACACATATGTATATATATACATATGCACATGTATATATATACATATGCACATATGTATATATACATAAACATATGTATATATACATACACATGTGTATATGTGTATACATATACGTAAATATATATGTGTATATATATACACACACACATATTCTCTCATACAGAGAGAGAGAATAATTTTAAAAATAAGGCAAATGGGCAAAATGGCAGTTGAATCTGGGTCAAGTGCCTCCAGGTATTCTTTTCTTTGCATTATTCTTGCTACTCTTCAGTAGGTTTGAAATCATTTTCACGTGAGTTTTCTTTTTTTAACAAAGTGGATTCCAGAGCCAAATTGCTAGGTTTGAATCTTTGCAATGCCCACGCGTTCACCGTGTGACCTTTGGCCAGTTTCTTCATTCCTCTGAGCCTCAGTTTCCCCTCTGTAGAATGAAGATAACAGCAGTACCTCTTAAAGGACTGTTGTGTGGCTCAAGTTAACCCATGTGAAGCCTTTGGAAGAGTGTGTTGCGCCCAGCAAATGCTCGTCACCGTAACCTGTTGTTATTAGTCCCAGAAAAGGTCAAACATAGGCTGAGATCTGGAGGATATGTAGCAGTTTGCCAGCTGGGTAAGCAGGGTAAGAGCATTGCAGGAAATGTGTGCAAACATATGGGAACATAGTATGCTGAGGGAAATATTGCTGAAAATGACAGTGTGTGTTGAGTCTGGACAGGTAATGTGTGACCAGATTACGAAGCACCTCTCACCCAGGCAAAGGAGTTTCTATTATTTGTTACTGTGTAGTGTGTGTGGATTATATTTGGGTGACATTAAGGGTTGATGTGATGTCATAACACATAATTTTCAAAGACTACTTTGGTGGCCATGGTAGAAATGGATCTGACAATTGAAATTACATACCAGAAAACCAGTAGGGAAGCTCTAGTGACAATTTGGGAAAGAGATGAGAGAATTACAAGCAGGAAAATTGCAGAAAGGCTAGATCAGAAAAAAGGATGTGAAAGATATCTAGCAGGTAGAATCAGTGGGATCAACACAATTTGGGTGACTGCCTTGATGTGTTGAGTGGTGAGGAGATACCAGGAATGAAAGGGGAGAGAGTTTTAGTTATGCAGGACTAATACGTTCTGGAGAGGTTCAGTACGATGACTGCAGTTAATAATAACATGATAGACTGGAACACCACTGACAGAGTTGATCTTAAAAGTTCTCGCTACGAGAGAAAAAAAAAAAAGATCAGTATGGGAGGTGATGGTTATGCTAATTAGCTTATGTAATCATTTCACAACGTATATGCATACCAAAACATCATGGTGTACCCACCTTATTTTGTTGTTGTGGCTCAGTTTTGTTTTGTTTTAGGCTTTTAGTCGCTTGAAGCCATGGTTTTTAGTTTCTGTCTCTAGTGATAAGTGGAAAAGAGAGATGAGGAAGGGGCTTTACTGGCTAAGAACCCATGACTGTATTCTCTCTCTTGGACACCCCTGGGCACACCATAAATAGATACAATTTTTATTTGTTAATGAGACTTTAATAAAGCTGGGGAGGGGGAAGGATGACTTCACAGCCTTCTGACTTGGAAAGTGACTGAAAAAGCTGGGTTTTTGGCAGAGGGTGTCGGTAACACAAAAATGGAAAAGATTTGGAAACGAATGTCTTTAGGGTGCCTTGGGGACATCCAGATGGAAATGTCTGGTAGGCTGTTGGCACTGAGCCCAGAGCTCAGGCAGAAGATCTTGGCAGGAGACAGAGATTTGGGATCATCGCCTGACAGCTTGTGATGTTGCGATCACGGATGCCATACCCAGGCAGAGTGCACGGAGCTGTGGTTAGTTCTTCACATCTGACAGAAGTCCGTGGCCTCTCCTAGCAAATGCACCTGCCCATGCTCACAGAAACTGTGTAGAAACTGGAGGAACTGCCCCTTGAAACGCATCCCTGAACCCCCCACCCGCCAAGTAAAAAACCTGTACTCTAGGGCAGGGATTTTCAAGCTGGGAGTAACAATCCAGTAGTAAGTTGTGAAACAAGCTTGGTAGGTTATTAATCAGAGTTAGTAAGAGAAACAGAAGAAGCAAGAGAGAGAACACAATGAAATGAAAAGGAAAGGAATAGAAACTACTATGAGGCATCATGTGTGGTAAAAGGAAGTCTTACTTTTTATAACTTTTCTTTTAATTATGTGTGTTTATACATATGTATACTGTCTTAGTCTATGAATACATAAAATAATTAATATAATAGTTCATATATGTTTCCATATATAGAAGCACATGTACATATATATAAATATGTGTGTGTATATATACACATATTACTGCATGAAAAACTACCCCAAAGTGACTTAAAAGAACGATCACTTTAGATAGATTAGATGATAGGTAGATAGATAGATAGATAGATAGATAGAGCAGGATAGATAATAGGTGAATGGTAGATAGATGATAGATGAATGATAGATATATACATAGATAGATAATCAATAGAGAGCTGGATAGATAGATGATAGGTGAATGACAGGTAGTTAGGTAGATAGAGCTGGATAGATAGAGTTGGTTAGATAGATGTTAGATGAATGATACGTAGGTCAGTAGGTAGGTCGCTAGATAGATAGATAGATAGATGATAGATAAGCTCAATAGATAGGTCAAGAGAGAGGGATGATTTGGCAATTTGGGCTGGTCTCATGTGGGATGACTCAAGTAACCACAGTCATTTGGAAGCCCAGCTAGGGCTGGATGGTCCCAGGTGCCTCCTCACCATGTCTAGCCGTAAGCTAGGGCTGTCTAAGCTAGGGCTGTCGGGTGGGTGTCTGAGTTCTTCTCCCTGAGCTTTAACCACATGACTAGCTTGGGCTTCAACACATGGCACCTAGATTCCTAAAGAACAAGCACTTACCAAGCCTCTGTTCTTATGATGCTTGCTGATGTCAGATTGACCAAAGCAAGTTAGAAATCATTTTGACATTACACCCAGAGTTAACATAGGAAGGAAATGCACAAGGGTCTGGATACTGGGAGACATGATTTATTGGAACCATTAACTTACCTCTACCACAGAGTGACAAGCACATAATTCCTTGTGTATATTTTCCATGTTCTGCTTGGTCTAGCGGTTTGGGGCTTAACCTTCATCCTAGATCCCACCCTTCTTTTTTGTTTCTCCCTACCTTACTTCATTAATTGAGAATCTGAAGCTAAACCACAGGGCTAGAAGTGGGGGAGGATGTAACATCTCAGCCCTCAGGTCACTGATACGCTATTTGAGCAGATAAGGGTCCCGCAAGAAAAATGTTAAATAATAAATCAAGGCAGCTGCTCAGCTCCCAATTAGATGGTCCAAGAATGGTCCAGGGAATTTCCTCTGGGAGTTCAAGAGTGAGCAGGGTCATTGTGGTCCTCTAGCAGACCTGCTCACCTCACTCTGAAGGGCACAATTTGAGTTCTCAAATTGTATCGACCTTCAGGAGAAAAGCAAGAACAAGGCCAAAGCTTAGGAATTCAGTAAAAGGTTTCCCATCTGCAGGTATACTGTGCTACCCAGAACTCAGAACCCAAAAATGGCATTCCTTTCTCTTTTTCTGCAGTTTATGTAAATATAGGATTATTGACTCTGCCTGGCCACTCCTCTTCAGTTTCCCATACATGTATTGGTTTTTATCTACAAGTTCAGGCTCATCACTCCCATAGCTTTTGTTACAGTCTTTCGTTTTAATGTTGGATATATTAGGCTTCAGGAAACAGAATCTCTCTGCTGCCGATTTTTCACCAGCCAGAGGCAGGACTCTACTTGATTATGGGTCAAAAGACCCTCATTCAGAGACAGTCCTGCCGCATATGCTGGGAGAAGGAATGCTGATATCGTGAAGCTTCTGAGGCCTGGGCTCAGGGAGCTTCCTGGTCACAGAACACGTGGAGATTTCTGGAGGGTGGCATCCTGGGAAAGCATGAAAGCTCCATGCCCCCTCCCCCATGCTTCACCCTATATGTCTCTTTGTCTGTATCCTTTGCAATATCCTTTATAATATCCCGGTAAATGTAAGTAAGTGTTTCCCTGAGTTTTGTGAGCCACTCTAGCAAGTTAATCAAACCCAAAGAGGGGATGGTGGAAACCCCAAGTCGAAGCCAGTCAATCAGAAGTTCTAGAGGACCAGACTTGCCACTGGTGGGAAGGAGAGGACAGTCTTATGGGACTGAGCCCTCAACCTGTGGGATCTGATGCTATCTTTGGGTAGACAGTGTCAGAACTGAATTAGAGGTTACCCTGCTGGTGTCTGCTGCTTGGGGGGTGGGAAAAACAACATCTTCTGTGTTGATGCTTGTTTTGATTAGAGCAGAGGAAAACACAGTTTGAGAGATTTTTTTCCTACGTAGACCACAATGAGTAGTTGAGGGATGGTCATGTCACCCAAGGGGTTCCAATGGGACTCCATCTGGAAAATTAGTGGATGCTTTGGGAAAAGTACCTAGAGCTGCTGGTAGCCATCTTCCACCAAAAGGGGCCTGCCTGCTTGAGAATATCTATGACCAGAGAACAACAAAGGCTTGGACAGAGATAATTTCCTGATGACATCATTGGTTTTGAAAAGCAGTCCCCACGACTACCTGTATTTTGTCTCTTGTCCAACTTACCAGTCGTTAAACAGTGAACATTTCTCTAAACAATGATGTGTTAGTCACGCAACAAATAAGTTTAAAACTGCTGAATTTAACAAATTTTAAAGATTAGTTTTAAGTGTTGATTATAGACTTAATCATAATTTTCTAAACATATAATTAGAATCACAAGTCTACTATATCAGATCTTCATAAATGCTTGAAACAGCTTAACAAGCAGACAGAACACACAGTAATCAAAGGATATAAAGGATATAAAGCCAGCCCATAGATGACAAGGGTGCATATAAATGAGATCTAATGCTGTGACTGTCCATGCATTCATTATCTCTAATTTCTGTTTTTATTTCTTTGGGGGATATGATCTTATTCATCTTATCCAGAGAATCAGGGTTGCTTTCAGCTGAGTTAGAAGACATACATGCAGATGATGGTCATCAACGTACGATAGGGGCAGAAAGTTCGCTGCACCTTCCAAGGGTCTTGCACAAATCTGTGACCAGTTGGACGGGATTTTCTTTATAGATACGGTATACTCACATGGAAGGGAATATGTGATTCATTATTTATGGCCAACCTTTTTATTTTTTAACAGCCTTGTCTTTTCCATCAAATGGGTACTTGTTTTGAAAGTCTAGAATGCAGGCCAATATCAGTCTATTTTTTAAAAATATATATATTTATATATATATTTAATATTGTTATATATTATCTAATACTTTATAAATATATAAAGTATTAGAGTTTTGGGGTTTTTTTAGTAATTTTAACTTTTATTATAGATTCCGGGGGTACATGTGCAGGTTTATTGCATGTGTATATTGCATGATACTGAGGTTTAGGGTACGAATGATCCCATCACCCAGGTACTGAGCATAGTACCCCAAAGTTAGTTTTTCAAACTTTGCTCCCCCTTCCTCCCTCCCTGCTCTAGCATTCCCCAGTGTCTGTCATTTCTAACTTTGTGTCCATGTGTGTACCCAATGCTTAGCTCCTACTTAGAGCTGAAAACTTGCAGTATTTGGTTTTCTGTTCCTGCATTAGGCCTACTTTTTAATCACTTATTCTGGGTCATGCTCGGTCAAATTCAGTAAAGTCTACAGGTTCTCGCCAACTTAGTTCACTAAGCTCTGACGTTTCGTTCCTACTGGCACTCCCCCAAGGAACCTTCCTGGACCACCAAATCTAAATAAAGCACTGCTCATCATCATGTTACACAGTTTGAGTTTTTCCATCATATACAGAACACCAAAAACAATCTTGTTCATCTATTTTTTCACTTTATGTATCTGCTGTTTCACCTTTTATTTTAACTTATAATCTCCATGTGATCACAAACACATGGACAGCCACAGCATTAGACACATGGTCTAATTCACAATTGTGTCCCCAAAGTCTAAAACAGGGCCTGACATAAAAAGTGCTCAGTAAACATCTCTTGGATGAATGAATAATTTCCCATCTGACCAGGCTGACCATTGAACTTGAGAAGGATCACACAAGCTGAGGACATCAACTTTCTTGTGGTAGCAAGAGTTCTAGCAATGCCAATGTTGAGTTCGCAGAAAGCAAAGCTTTTTTCCACTTCTCTATTTCTATATATGAATGATGCAACTTAAGATCTTCAGGATCATCTATAGTGTGTGCAGTGCTAAAACCAAGCCAAAATGCAGGGCCTTTAATATTATTCCCAATGACCAAAACCTGGAAGAAACTCAAATGTCCAATAACTGAGGGACAGTTAAACAAGTTCTGACACGGGCTTACAAATGAATGCTTCCTCGCGATCAGAAGGAAAGAACTATTGATACCTTCAACAATATGGGTGAATCACAGAAATTTTTTTTTTTTTTTTGAGACAGAGTTTTGTTCTTGTCTCCCAGGCTGGAGTGCAGTGGCACAATCTCGGCTCACAGCAACCTCCACCACCAGCGTTCAAGCGATTCTCCTGCCTCATCCTCCCTAGTAGCCGAGATTACAAGCACCTTCCACCATGCCTGTCTAATTTTTGTATTTTTAGCAGAGACAGGATTTCACCATGTTGGCCAGGCTGGTCTCGAACTCCTGATCTTACGTGATCCGCCCGTCTCAGCCTCCCAAAGTGTTGGGATTACAGGCAGGAGCCACCATGCCCGGTGAATCTCAGAAACACTATGCAATGTGAAAGAAGTCAAACACAAAAGACTCTATACTGTAAAATTCTATTTATATGAAATGCTAGAAAAGAATAAAACTACCATGACAGCAAACGAGTAGTTGCCTGTGGTCAGGGATTGGGGAGGGGACCAAGCTCAGAAGTGCATGGGGAAACGTTTCTGGGGGGAGACCGTCTCATATCTTTCTATTGTATATCTTTAAGGTGTGCAACATGATAGTTTGATACACATGTACATAGTGGAATAATTACTACAATCAAGCAAATTAACATATTCCTCTTCTCACATAGTTACCGTGTGTGTGTGTGTGTGTGTGTGTGTGTGGTAACAGCGCCTAAAATCTCCCTTGATAAATTTTAGTACACCATACAATTGACTGCGGCATTCACAGAATTGTGTATAATTACCCAAATGCATCAAAGTATATGCATAAGACTGTTGAATTTTACCATATGTGAACAATATCTTAAAAAAAATGAAAAAGAAGGAAAAGTTCAAGGATGATTTAAAAATGCGTGTTTCTGACTGGAAGTGGTGGTTTATGCCTGTAATCCCAACACTTTGGGAGGCCGAGGAGGGAGGATAGCTTGAGCCCAGGAGTTCAAGACCAGCCTGGGCAACATGGTAAAACACTGTCTCTACAAAAAAAAAAATACAAAAATTAGCTGGACATGGTGGCACATGCCTGTAGTCCCAGCTACTCAGGAGTCTGTGGTGGGAGGATCATTTGAGTGCAGAAGAATTAATTGAGCTCAAGAGGTCAAAGCTGCAGAGATCTGTGATCACACTACTGCACTCTTGCCTGGGCAACAGAGCAACGTCCTGTCTCAATAATAATAATTATTATGATGATGATGTATGTTTATCTGCAGACATCAACAGGTAATAAAATAGGTGTGTAAAGACAACAGAGTAGTCAACTGCTTATTTGACCAGGCACCAGATCCACAGCAGACACAAGATTTGAAATGTACTTTTGCTTGGTGTTTTCTATTAGTGGCCAGTGGAATTGGTTGGGTAAAAAGATCCCTTTCTCTGCTGCTGTCCTGACTCCACTGGGAGTCCCTGTGACCCTATGAGCAAGGTTGATGTTCAGCAGGATTGCACTGGTGCTGCTGAACAGAGGGTTTGTGGCTGGTGTCTGATTGGTTAGGCCGTCATTTCAACTGGTTGATGCCCATGCTGTACTGAGAGTTGAATATTTTGTAAATCACCACTGCATGTGACAGCAACTGAAAAACCATTCAAATCTCTCAACACACACACTTTCTTTGAAGTCAGAGACTACTGGAAATGTTTTGCTCTCTACTGGAAAGAAAGAATTTTGAGAGTCAGGCAGCCCATCACTTGCTCTGGGGCAACACCAAACTTCCTCCTTTAAGACTTGAGAGGGTTGACTTTTCTCCCCTCTCTGTTTTCCTATCTGTAAATTGGGATTCATCACTCCTACTCCCTGTGCGCCTCACGTAATTTTGCAAACACGATTTCAAAGCTGGGGGAAGGGAAGATTTTAATGTGCTTGTCCTGAAATAGTTTGACGAGGCTGCTGCTTCCAGAGCTGAAAGTCAGGATGTCAAGGTTGAGTCTGTGGGTAGTCATTTGTCATCAGAATGAAGGCAGGATCACAGGGTGGGTGCTACAATTAAAGATGCTGCAGAGCATGGGCAAACCAGCTTCCTGTCACCATGTTTCATGGTTTCCAGCATCCACATTGATGAATGATGGCAATGTGAGGAAATCCTATTTGTCAGCTTGTTTTTGCTGTTTGTTTTTATTACCAGTTCAAAGATCAAAAAAGTTCTAGCCAGCTTTCTTTCTAAAAAGGAGTCTTGCTCTGTCGCCTGGGCTGGAGTGCAGTGGCATGATCTTGGCTCATTGCAACCTTTGCCTCCCGGGTTCAAGCAATTCTCCAGCCTCAGCCTCCTGAATAGCTGCAATTACAGGTGCCTGCCACCACACCCGGCTAATTTTTGTATTTTTAGTAGAGACGGGGTTTCTTCACCATATTGGCCAGGCTGGTCTCAAACTCCTGACCTCAGGTGATCCTCCTGCCTCAGCCTCCCAAAGTGCTGAGATTGCAGGCATGAGCCACCATGCCTGGTCCTAGCCATCTTTCTTGCAATATTTTCTTTAGTCTATATCCCTAAAATAAATAAACATGATTTTGCAATTGCAGACTTTGCAAATTGAAGGTCCTTGGGTCATATCTAGCCAATACATACATTGTGTTAGGTCTTCAAGGTTTTGGATAGTGGCCAACATTTAAAAATCTGAAATTACTACTTTAAAATTTACATTAAAAATAGATTTCATCATTTCTCTTAGAAAATGGAATGCCTGGCAGCACTGAGCCCTTTTTTTCTGCAAGGCAATGGTAAGGTGATCTAACAGTTGCCCTTCTTTACCCTGGGAGGGTACCTTCTAGATCATATTTAACTCATTTATTTATGTTATTTGCCCTCTATAGTTGTATGAATTTGTGATCCCCAAATTAAACTAAAATTTTAGAAAAGAAAAATTTTAAACTTTCGAACCTTAAGCAGAAGAGAGCTTTATTTGTGTTTAAGCCTCAGTAAGCACCACACATGGATGAAAATAACATACTTCCCAGAATACCTGACAATAATAGCATTAAAAGAAAAAAAAAACCTCTTATTTGCTCATGACAAGGAGTCCAGGGCTATTGTGGCTGCTCAGCAATGTTTGTAGGGAGCCAGGCCATTTTTAATCTCTGCAGCACCATCTTTAGCAGGTTGGTTTTCTTGCTCATGTCTGTTGCCTCATGGTTGCAAGATAGCCATCATGCCTCCAGCCACAGATCTACATTCCAAGGATGAAGAATGAAGCAGGAAGGGGCAAAGAATAAATCAGAAAAGCTAAACATTCCCAGGAAATGGATGATAAGCCATTTCCTACTGTCTAGAAGGTATCACAGAGCCACTACCACCTGTAAGGGATTATAGAAAGCTGGAAACATGCAGCACAGCACTGAACATCAGACTCAAAGAGGGGTGAAGGATGAAATTTTTATTCACTAAGACTGGCATTCAAGTTCTAATTTAACCGCTTACCACCAGTGTGACCTTAAGCAAGTGACTTAGCCTCCCTGACCCTCAGTTTCTCCCTTAATAATGGGGGTAGTAATAGTACCTGTAGTGTAAGATTTTCAGGGCATTTATTGAGTTAGTGACTATGAAGTAATTTGCATAGCACATGATGATGATGATGGTGATGGTGATAGTGATAGTGATGATGGTAGTGATGGTGATAGTGATGTTGATGGTGGTGATAATGTTGACAATGATGATTGTGATGGTGATGATGATGATGGTGATGATGATGGTGATTGTGATGATGGTGGTGATGATGATGGTGATTGTGATAGTGATGACAATGATAGTGATGGTGATGATGATGGTGATGATGGTGGTGGTGATGGTGGTGATGATAGTAATGATGATGGTGATAGTGGTAATGATGACGGCGATGATGGGATGATGGTGTTGATGGTGTGATGATGGTAATTGTGATGGTGATGCTGATGATGCTGATGATGCTGTTGATGGTGATGATGATAATGATGGTGATGATGGTGGCGATGATGATGATGATGGTGGTGGTATGGTGATGATGATGGTGATGATGGTGGTGATGATGATAGTAATGATGGTGGTGGTGATGATAATGATGATGGTGGTGGTGATAATGATGATGGTATTGATGTGATGATGATGGTGATGATGGTGATGGTGATGATGGTGATGGTGATGATGGTGATGATGGTGGAGGTGGTGATGATGGTAATGGTGGTGGTGATGGGGATGATGATATTAATGATGGTGATGTTGATGATGATGGCAGTGATGATGGTACTGATGGAGTGATGATGATGGTGATTGTGATGGTGATGATGATTATGATGATGGTGATAATTTGTTTTAGTTAAATAGAAGCCATAAGCTTTCAAATAGTGTTGTTAAAGTAGTGCCAATGTACCTTCTGATATGATGTACTGAAAAAGGCAAATCACCTCTGTGGTACTCTTCCCAAAAATGCCTAACCTCAATTTAATCCTGAGAAAGCACTGGACTATCCAAACTGAGGAACATTCTACAAAATAACTGACCAAACTGGTAAGGTCAAGAAAGGTAGGGAAAGACTGAGGAACAGCCCCAGATTGAAGGTGAATAAGGAGCTCTGACACGTAAAGACACTTGGGCAATCTCAGATTGGATCCTGGAACAGTAACGGAATGAGTGTGTCAATTAACAGCATTTGAATAATGTCTGTAAATTATTCAATCAATTTGGGTGGAGCTGAGTAGAGGTTATATAGGAACTCTCTGTTCTATATTTTCAACTCCTCTTTAATTCTAAAATTACTTCAAAATTATAAAAAGTGGTGCCAAGTATGAACTTAATAAAAATTGCTCCTGACATTTCCTGGCTCTTAGGTACTCTGAGGGAGTTTTGTAATGTGCCATCTGTTATGAGTTGAATTATGTCCCCCAAAATTCGTATTTTAAAGTCCTAATCACAGGTACTTTAGAATGTGACCATATTTGAGAATAGGTTCATTGCAGATATAGTTAGTTAATTACTGCAATAAGGTGGGCCCTTAATCCAATATGGCTAGTGTCTTTATAAAAGAGAATGCTGTGTAGAGAGACAGACACCCACACAATGAGAATACCATGTGAAATGAAAGCAGAGACTGAGCTGATACGGTCTATCAGCCAAGGAACACCAAAGATTGCCAGCAAACCACCCGAAGACAGAAGAGATGCATGGAAAAGATTCTCCCTCACTTTCTCAGAAGGAACCAACCCTGCTAACATCCTAATTCCATAATTCTAGACCTTCACAACTGTGGAGCAAAAAAAAACTATTTGTTCTAAGGCACACAGCTTATAGTGCCTTGTTACAGAAGCTGCAAGAAACTGATACAACACAATTTACTAATCTATAAAGCTGTCACGCTGAGCAAAGGCCTTTATGCTCAGATAAAACCTTATGCACTTATGCATCACCCACTTGTGCCAGCGATTGCTAACCTTGATATCAGGGGAGCAGAGATGATCTCCCCAACAGTGCCTCCCTGAAATGCCACCTTCCTGGAGTCAATCCTGTGAGCTCTGACATGTTACCTGGGTAACAATGTAACTAGCTCTAGAGGAGTCTAACTCTAGAGGAGTCATCCCTTAATCAGTGATTCCCATGAGGTCATGACCATCATTCCCATGTCACTCAAAACTCTTGACTTCGAGAAACAGAAAAAAGGGAATATGTTGGTTTATATATCCAAACTGCAGGCAGAGGAGATCTGAAGTTTGTCTCTGGGGTTACCTGATGCACAAACCCAACTCCAGATGCCTCAGTGGTTCTTCCCAACCTCTCCATCTTGACATACTCTCTGTCTCTGCCCACAGGGCTGCCTCCCACATTCAACAGACTTTTCCATATCATAGGGGGTATGACCACACGCAATTCCATTGATTTCCTCCACCTGTCCCCAGCAACAAGGAAGAGGAAATAGAGACTTAAGTTTGAAATAATATATCACGTGAGGACTCTAATTGGTCCAGTGTGGGTTTGGGGCACACCTTAGACCAGTCACTGATGCTGGGCATGATGATTGGCCTTGCCTATGACATGCACCATGATGATTGACCTTGCTTGTGACATGTGCCAATAGATATCACCTGGGATGAGATCTATTTTAGGAGAAGAAGGAGAAGTAAAGACATGGCCACAAGAGGAATCACTTAGGTCTTTGCCTAGTGCCCCACACCACCCCTCTAACAAGTGACAGCACCAGGCCTCAAACCCAGTCTGTCTGTTGAAACTGGACTCCATCAATTACTTTCTGAATCACATTGGACAAATTGTTCTCTTGGATCTTCAGTTTTTTAATTATTAAATGGGGAGAATAATATAAATTATTTCACACACTAGTCAACTGGCCTCTGTAAGATAATATATACAAGATCCTTGGAAAAATGCCTGACAGAAATAGGAGCTCTAAATCATTTCCACCCCCATCGAGGTCAATGAATAAAACTTCTCTTGAGCTGAGGATATTGACATAAGAAAGAAGAAGAGCCAGCCCTGAGCCACAAAGTGAGCAGGGGACAACAATCAATCACATCCCTCCACAGTTCCATGCTGTTTGTCTGTAACCATGTCCTTAAAGAAAACAAACATATCCAAAAGTGGATAAAGAAAGTCCAGTGCCTGATGTAATTGTGTCATTTGTAATTTGGGTTTTGAGAACACTTTCCTTTACAAGTGACAAAAACCCAATTCAAACTATCAAACTAGTTTACACGCACACACACAGACACACACACAGACACACAGACACACACACACAGACACACACACAGACACAGACACACACACACAGACACACACACACACACAACACACAGACACACAACACACACACACATACAACACACACACACAACACAATACTCTATGGGTTCCTATGAGCTTCAGGTATTGCTGGGGATATATATATATATCTTCATCTCTTAACTCTGCTTCCCTACATGCCAGCTTCTTGCTCAGGTGGGCTCCCTCCCCATGAGGTGGCAGAGATGGTCTTCAGTAGCTCCAAGCGTGCATTCTACCAGTGTACCAACTCCGGAGGAAAGAGCATTTCCTTATTTTCACTACTTCATAAAATAGCCAGGATATAATTTATATTGGCCTAAGTTGCCCATTCCTGACCTAATTGGCGCGTACAAGGAAATGAGGTACTTCACTAAGTGAGGCCTGAGCCAAGTGCCTATGCAGGGACTGGGGGCCCACCACACACCAAATTCCTGGGCTAAATAGTGGAAAGCAGAATGTCTGAAAAAATAACTGGGATAAACGCAAGAAAGACAAAAGCAACAGATGTCCACCACCACCATCATAATCAGACCTAGCCCATATCTATCCTCAGGTCTTCCAATAAGCAGATACCAAGACAGACCTCCATGTTTAATTGATTTACTGGGAACATAAAGGGGGAAGAGCAGGATAAAGGGAAGGGAGGCTTCAGATCAAGAAGCAGGTCTGCATGGTGCTCTCCAGGTTCATCTGCATTGCTGCAAATGCCAATAGTTCCTACTTTTTTAAGGCTGAATAATATTTGATTATACGTGTGGACCATATTTTGCTGGTCCATTCATCTACTGATGGACATTTGATCTCAGAAGATGGGGAATTGCTGTTCACCAGGTGTATAGTTCTTGTTATGCAACATGAACAAGTCCTAGACATTTGCTACAGCCTGTGCCTACAATTAACAAGACTTATTCTGTGCTTAAAAATTTGTTGAGGGTAGATCTCATGTTAGGTGTTCTTATCACAATTTTAGAAAAAAAATAGATGCAGATCTGCTGCCTGGGAAAGGACAGCAGGAAGCAAGAAGGATTAGGGAGGAACCCCCGACTGCAGCACAGCCTGAGGATGTCTCAGGAACCCAGAAGAGAACTCTGGGAGCAAAGACTGAGCTTGGAGGAGGCACACTCAGGCAGCACCTGCCACATTCAGACATCAGAGGAGAGAGCCATCTCTGCATGAACATTCTGAATGCTGAGTCAAATCCAACGTGACGGCAACTGGAGTGAAGTGGAGTCAGCTACCCTCTCTGCAGCAAGCTCTCTCCAAGGGACTCCTCATCTCCATATCCCCATGGCCACCACAGCCTAAGCCTGCTAATCCAGGGTCAATTAAATGCTACTTTTTTCCCAGGTTCATTGAAGTCTGATTGAAGAATGAAAGGTGTACATAGTTAAGGTGTACAACGTGGTGTGCTGATATACCTGTACATTATAAAACAATTACTATAATCAAGCTATTAATAATTAAGATTTCCATCAGCTCACAGTTATAAGTTGAATGCATACACACTGAGAGTAAAAGGCCAGTTGCCAGGGTGAGTGAAATGCAGGGATTGGAGTCAAAGGGTACAAACTTATAGCTTTAAAACAAATACCTTCTGGAGACCTAATGTGCAGCATGATGACCATAGTTAATAATGTGTTATATACTTGAAATTTGCTAAGAGAGTAGATCTCAAGTGTTCACAAGTAAATCCTACTTACATTCCCAAATGGCCTATTTTTTTGTTTGTTTACAACAAAACCCTTATTTGTCTTTGAAATAGAAATTGTTGCTTTGAACTTACCAGAGAAATGATTGCTCATAATTTAAATATTCTGCAAGGCCTAAGGACCATATTCTTGTTTCCTCAAAACAAGATCTTCCTTATGTATTTAGGAATTTGTGATGATAGACAGATAGATAGGTAGGTTGGTAGATAGATAGATAGATATTACAGAGTCTCCTTTTGAACAAACAGGTTACTGCAAGCATATTTAAAGAAAAAATGTCTAGAGCAATCAACTGCACCAAATTGTCTTTCCTGTAAAAATGCCTTATAAATTACTTATTGCAAATAAAAAAACAGTGAGGTGGAGGATAAAACTTAGAATTCACTCTTTTGTAAATAGAGATAATTACTTTGTCCCAGTGAATCTCTGCAGTCTTGTTTTCATCAGTTTAGGAGGGTTAGGTTTAAAAGTCCTTCAAGTCAAGCCTATCTAAAAGTTTACCCTGTGGTCTCCTATAAAAGTTTGGAAAATATTAAGGAAATATTTGCTTTTAATTTTTTTCAATTAATGTCTCCAAGAGCACATATTGTATGCTTTCAGTGGGAATTTAATTATTTGACTGAATTACTGGGGTCTAACAGGTTTTACTGAAGTTCAGAAAAGTCGAGTGTGATGGTATTTAAGTGTGACATCATCTGTATCACCTGGTGCTCCCATTATCATAGCTTTCTTTATGCTTTACTCAACAATCTTGAGCATGCTGGATTCTCATACCTGATAGTAAAACTTTTAGGATAATTTCTTTCTTTCTTTCTTTCTTTTTTTAGACAGAGTCTCACTCTGTCACCCAAGCTGGAGTGCAGTGGCCACGATCTTGGCTCACTGCAACCTCCACCTCCTGCGTTCAAGCGATTCTCCTGCCTCAGCCTCCTATGTAGCTGGGATTACAGGCATGCACCACCATGCTCAGCTAACTTTTGTAATTGTTATACAGATGGGGTTTCCCCATGTTGGCCAGGCTGGTCTCAAACGCCTGGCCTCAAGCAATCCGCCCACCTTGGCCTCCCAAAGTGCTGGGATTACAAGCGTGAGCTACTATACCTGGCCGGATAATTTCTTGTATGTGGTTGTTTGTTTTCTCCAACAACAGTCATCTTTGGACCCCAAAATCAGGAAAATGCACTGGAGTCCAAAATGCTCCCTTAAGTGCCCTGTTTCTGTGTGTGTGTGCATACATACTTATGCATACATACATGTAATGCATATGACTGTGCATATCTAATTACATGTGAAAACATACTTGGTTTTCAGGATTTTCATTAGTACCCTTTTTGATCTGCATGCCATGATCTTGCCAGTAGGTCTCCCAAATGAGTGTTTGGGTCGCTGATGTTAGCCTGGGGGCACAGAAAAACACCTTGGTAACTTACAGTGCTGATGCCTCGGTCCCACCACTGCCCGGTTGAATCAGAACCTCTGGGAATGGGACCTGAGAACTGGCATTTTTAAAGCTCCCCAGACAATCCCAATGGGTGAGAACCACACTTGGTGGGCTAAGCTACTACATAATCTTATTTTTGGTCAGCATCGAAGCATGCATTGGTATAATCCATAGGTATGTTTTCCAGCTAATTTCTGTAATATGCACCGTTGTACTCCTGATCTAGACGTGCTAATTCTTCTCTAGGTCATGGCATTTCAAAGCCTCCCCTGACCACCCTGTCTCTCCTCTCACTGCCCCAAATCCACTTCTCCTTTCTCAATAGTGTGTCCCACTGCCTGACGCTATGCTCTGAACCTGTTGGTCTCTGGTTATTGTCTGTCTCCCTTCCCAGAATGTAAGTTCCATTGGAAAAAGACTTTTTGTTTTATCTGTTGTATCTCAAGTGTCAAGAACGTTCTAGAACGTGGCAGGTGGGTCCTCTCAGGCAGCAGACCGCGGACGGTGGTTAGCACTAGGGCATTCATTCCAGAGTGCGCTTGGGTTCCTCCACAGCAGAAGGGAGGGGCAGAGTCAGGATGGGATGCAGGGGGAAGTCGAGGCCATGCAGTCACCAGGAGCAAGGATTCCGCAAGTCCTGTGGCGGGCGGGGGGGTCTCTTCAGAGCCTCCCTGAGCTGGGATGAGGAGGCTGAACCTCTCTATCTCCACGGGCATCCCCAGAAGGAGATGGGACCTTGGGTGGGGTGGTTTTCTTCAGCTGAGGCCATCCCTAGCATGCTGCCTGCAGGGTGTCACCCTCCAGCAGAACTCCTGGAGGTTGAAGGAATCCATCCTCCCTTCCTAGAGAGGGGTTCCAGGGACACATCACAGTGAACACCCCAGTGGTCAATAAATACCTCAGCAAATGTCTTTCTAGTTTCCACTGCATAAATAAACACACACACACACACACACACACACACACACACACACAGAGCAGAGCTTTGATTTTTGAGCTTGCATGCAGGTACTTTATCGTGGAAAATAATCACAAAGAATAGGTTGGGCTAGGGAGAATAAATCAGGGAATGAGAGAAGCAAATATGAGGATGTGTTAATCAATAATGCTGTAGGGAACAGGGACCTGATCCTGCTGAGGACCTGAGGAGGCATAAAAAGCTCACTTTAGAGTTGCATTCATGAACAGGCACTTCTCAGCAGAAGACATACGAGCGGCCAACAAGAACATGAAAAGATGCCCCACATAGCTCATCATCAGAGAAATGCAAGTCAAAGCCACAATGAGATTTCATCTCTCACCAGTCAGAATATGGCTAGTATTAAAAAGTCAAGAAACAACAGAGCTGGCGAGGCTGTGCAAAAAGGGAACTCTTATACACTGTTGGTAGGAATGTTAATTAGTTCAGCCACTGTGGAAAACAGTATGGAGATTTCTCAAAGAACTTAACCCAGAACTACCATTCAACCCAACAATCCCATCACTGGGCATATATCTGAAGGAAAACAAATCATTCCACCAACATGACATATGCACTCTCATGTTTATTGCAGCACTATTCACAACAGCAGACATGGGATCAACCAACGTGCCCATCAACAGTGGATTGGATAAAGAAAACATGGTACATATACCATGGAATACTATGCAGCTATAAAAAAGAATGAAATCATCATGTCCTTTGCAGCAATGTGGATGCAGCTGGAAGCCATTATCCTAAGTGAACTATCAGTGAATCAGAAAGCCAAATATTTCATGTTCTCACTTATAAGGGGGAGCTAAACATTGGGTACTCATGGAATTAAAGATGTCAACAATAGACACAGGGGACTACTAGGGAGGAGAAGGAGGAAGGGAGGCAAAGGTTGAAAAACTAACTTTTGGGTACCATGCTCAGTACTTGAGTGATGGGATCATTTGTATCCCAAACCTCAGCATCATGCAATATACCCAAGTAGAAACCCCGTACATGTATCCCCTGCATCTGAAAGTAAAGTAGAAAAAAGAAAAGAAAATGTGGTGCGTATATGCCAGAGAATACTATGCAGCCATGAAAAACGATGAAATCATGTCCTTTGCAGCAACATGGATGCAGCTGGAAGCCATCATCCTAAGTGAACTAGGAAGCAGAAAATAAAATACTGCATGATCTCATGTATAAGTTGGAGCTAAACAATGGGCACACATGAACATAAAAATGGAGCTAATAAACACTGGAGACTCCCAAGGGTGGGGGCAGGATGGGAGGGGGTGAGGGTTGAAAAGTTACCTATTGGGTACAGCGTTCACCGTTTGAGTCATGGGTACACTAGAAGCCCTACCACATGCAATATACCCATGTAACAAACAAGCACATGTATCCCGTTGGTATGGTTTGCCTCTGTGTCCCCACCTAAATCTCATCTTGAATTGTAAGCCCCACATGTCAAGGGAGGGACCTGGTGGGAGGTAATTGGATCATGGGGGTGGTTTTCCCCAAGCTGTTTTCATGTTAATGAGTGAGTTCTCATGAGATCTTGTGGTTTAAAAGTGGGGCCCTTCCCCAGTCACTCTCTCGCTCCTGCCACCGTGTAAGATGCCACCTTGCTTCCTCTTCACCTTCCACCAGGATTGTAAGTTTCCTGAGGCCTCCCCAGCCATGTGGAACTGTGAGTCAATTAAACCTCTTTTCTTTATAAATTACCCAGTCTCAGGTTGTTCTTTATAGCAATGTAGAAATGGACTAATACAGCCCTGAATCTAAAATAAAAATATTTGGGAAAAAAGGAAAAGAATTGTCTGCCCAAGCCACGAAAATGGGCAGTGACCATTCACTAGCTCTTGTCTCCCCTACTCCAGGGTTGCCTAGAGTTGTGAACTCTCTACCTTCCAAGTTTGTACATGCAGCCCTCTAGCTGAGCAAGAGGGAGACCAACTGTCCCGGTTTGTCCAGAACTGACATGATTTTACCACTGAAAGCCTCACATCCCGGGAAACTCTTCATGCCTGGGTAACGTAGGACAGTTGGTCACGGTCTAGGCAGCTTCCCCCAGGCACCCATGTGACAGCTGCACAGAAGCCTCAGGG
Organism: Homo sapiens; assembly: GCF_000001405.40. NCBI lineage: Eukaryota > Metazoa > Chordata > Mammalia > Primates > Hominidae > Homo > Homo sapiens. The sequence goes on along the minus strand of NC_000012.12, from coordinate 129,127,924 downwards.
CGTAGCAAGAAATACTTGAGGCCGCAGAGGTGAGTGCCGGCCTCGTCTGCAGGCCGCTGGCCCTGGCAGTAACCAGTGCAGTTAGAAGGTGAATCCGGGAGTGTGAGACGGGAGACAAGAGGCATCGGGTGCAAAGTGTCAACCACTGTCCTCTGCTCCTCGGTCAGACAGGCATCTCACATTTGGAAACTTAGGTGCTGCAATCTAGGCAAATACTCGTCATGGTTTTGTTGAATGTGCTCCTTCTTTCTCGGTGTAGAAGTAGTGTTTATGTGGCCTACTCCATTCAACCTGTCCAAAAACCTGGGTGACAAATGGAGACGTGTTTTTTAAAGGCCCCTGTATTTAGCGAATGCCCAGAGAGTGGGCTGTTCACATTGACTTTTAAATGGCAGATTTTCTTGTGCATTGGGCTTGTTTGCTTTCGTTCATATATGAACAAAGAACAAAATTTGGCTCTTGGGAAACCTTCTGGACCTGCCGGAAGCGAGGGGCGGTTGCCAAGCCTACTCACATCTGACTGTTAATTGAGTCCCAGCCACTATAATGAAATTAGCCTCAGCTGCTCTGGAGTTGTGTGGATTTGGGGCCAAAGAGGCATTTGTCACAAAGAGGTATCAAATGTTTGTTTGCGCAATGTTCCACAATGTGCGTTAGTCTTTCTCTAAAAGATCACAACGTGAGGAGGAAGAGTGTCCTTTGGCTATGAGTGATTGAAAAAAACAAAAACTCAATCAAGAAAATGTGTGCTTTGGCACATGTAGTGTCAGTGTGATAGGACAGCCTTGAAGCCAGTGTGTTCAATCCGTTGATGAATCCCGCTCTCTCGCTCTCAGACTGCATGAGTGGTGGGCAGGTCTGTCATTCCTTGGCACAAAATGTTTTCCCTCTAAAGGTTTCTCTGAAGCAAACAAGGTAGTTCAGACTGCGTCCTTGTCTCTCAGCTGATTGTCCCCAACTGCAGGGCATCACATGCCCAACATCACTGAAGACGTGCTGCTCTTTACCCCTCTGGGCATCTCAGCGTGCCAGTGTCAGAGCTGTTAGCAATGATGACATGTCCCTTCATGGAGAACTGGGCCCTTGTTTGTAATTGCCTGATGCTAATAACAAGGAGGAAAGTTCCTAGTTAACTGATCAATTCTATGCTAGCAATATACAAGAAAGCCATCGCATTACTACCCCATTTTATCTGACTCCTGGAAAATGTATTAAAGCAGAACCCTGCATTAATTTAAGGAATGCTAATTCCATACGTAACATAAGCCCCTGCCAAACGCGTATGTATGTTACTGTTTATTCCCATACCATTCACCCCCCACCCTGATGGCACAGGCATATTTTTGCTCTTCAATTAGCCAGATCCCTCCAATGCAGATGGGATGTTCACAGCCATGAGTGGGTTAGTGTATATGAGATGTTATCTGAGCTAATTAAACTAAGATAGAAGACACCCACTGTAACACTGCTCTCGATGTTTCTCTCCCTTATATGTACTTCATGCTGGGAGAAAGGTTGAAGGGGCCAAAAAATGCAAACAGGATTATTGCTAAAAAAAAAAAAAAAGAGAGAGAAACTGAGGCAAGAGAATGAAAGTGATAGCTGCAAGGTGACAGAGCCACCAAAACATTTTTAATTGGCTGTGTAATGCTTCTGAGACAGAAGCCACAGATAAGATATGAATATGGATCCATAGATATAAATATAGAGGGATTTATAGATATTAACATAAGTGGATTTAAGTTCCCTGTACATTTTCCCTTGGCTAATTTTAAAGACATGTACCTTAAGCGACACATTGAACAAAAGGAAAGTGTGTTGGGAAAACTTACAGGCAGAGAAGCATCTGAGCACATGCAATCCCCAAGTGCCCCTTATCTCAAAAAGAGGGGTGCTCAGGTTGGGCATAGCTGGCCCCCCGGGAATGTTCTCCAGCCTGACCATGTGCTATATAAACTTGCAGGAAAATTAGGAAAAGAAAGGAACACCCTGTTTACTCTGTTTCAAGAGGAAATCTCTGACCAAGAAAGTGGCCACATCACAGTGCTCTTCAATGTATGCTCTGTGTATGAGCCCAGGTTTGCAGGCTCCGCATGACTGGTGCTCAATGCAGCAGGTACAGAGTCAAGAGTGAGTATTTAGAAATGTTCACAGTGCGCTTTGGGAGGCCAAGGCGAGCGGATCGCTTGAGTCCAGATGTTCAAGGCCAGCCTAGGCAACATAGCAAAACCCCGTTTATACCAAAAAAAAAAGAAAAAAGAAAAGAAAAATTGACCAAACATGTTTGTACACACCTGTAGTCCCAGCTACACAGGAAGCTTGAGCCCAGCAGGTTGAGGCTGCAGTGAGCTGTGATTGTGTCACTGCACTCTAGCCTGGGTGACAGAGCGAGACCCTGTCTCAAAAAAAAAAAAAAAAAAAAAACTCATAGTAATTCGACATCGTCACATCACCTAAACATATTTTTATTGTATTGTACAAAAGTGTTAGTCTACACAGGGTTGGAAATTTTTTCTTAATCACAGGACGATTAAGAAGATTCAAGCTAGGGGAATTGTGTCTTACATCAAAATAGCTTAGAACTGCTGAACCAATTCTGGTGAAATTCTGAAAGGGTGGAGGGAATCCAGAATGTCTCCTCAACTTCTCCTTTCTGATCACACACAATTTCTATTAGGAGATAGCATCTCAGAAGTGTGTTTAATAGATGGTCTCAATGTTTCAAATATTAAAGTACATAATTCCTCTGGAAATGAACACACTTCCAGGAACATGTCACATTATTTCTGAGTGTATTTGCATCATCACCTCCGCAGACTTGCAGAAGAGCATGAAACATCAATAATAAAAGCCAGACATCCCCCCTCCAGCCTTGCCAGAATGGGCTTTATCCCTAAGGTAAATATGCCATCTCTTCAGGTCTTCCTCTTAGGATTAGTTACAGAGGCAGTCGCTTAATTGTAATGAGGTGGGGAAATGTAATTACATTAATAGCTTGCACCAGAATTCCTCTTAGAGTGGAAACTGAGTTTGTTGGCTCAGAGGGAGGGGGAGCTCTTGAAAGTTCTGGGGATGATGCATAGGTCTTCCCAAAGACCAAGCAGTTTCCAAAAAATGAGGGCATATACTCACCAAAAGTTATGTACAAGGATGTTCACCGCAAATTCATTCATAATAGCCCAGAGCTGGAAATGACTCAAATTCTCCATCAATAGGTGAACAAACACATTCTGTGCCCATTCAATGAAATACTACCCAGCAACACAGAAGAGTGAACTACACTGAAGGCAAGAGCCTGGATACATCTCACAGGCCAGAAGTTGAGCAATGAAGCCAGAAACAAAAGCTAATAGGTGGCACAGTTTCTTCTATGTGAAGTTCTAGGATGAGCAAAACTGACCTATGGTGAGAGGAACCAAAATAATGGTTAACTTGGATGGGGGAAGGATGGAAGTAAGCAACTAGAGAGATTTTAGGAGAGCTCAAATGTTCCATGTTTTGATCTCATAGACGATACTGGGCTGCACAGATATAAAGATTCACTGAGTTGCACAATTAACATTTATGCACATAAATGTATTAAGGTACAGCTTCCTATTTTGGGAAATAGAAGTACCTCTACGTTCAAGGTGAGTCTTGGGGGTCCTGGATGTGGGTGAGATTAGTCTTCATTAGATGAAGAGAGCTCTGGGCTTGTCATTTTGAGGGAGGAGGCAGAAGTGGAGAAAGAGAGGTTGTGAGGCCACATGGGAGCCACGGAGCCCTCCCTGTAACCCTGTAAATCTGCAGAAAGTTTAACAATTTGTGGAAAACTCACCATGAGGCTACCTGTATTAGTTGGGGTTCTCCAGAGAAGCAGAACCAGTCGGCTGCACATAGATAGACAGATGGGGAGATTTATTATAGGAATTGGCTCACACAGTTATGGAGGCTGAGAAGTCCCATGATCCTCCTTCTGCAGCTGGAGACCTGGAAAGCCGGTGGTGGAGTTCCAGTCCAAACCCAAAGGCCCAAGAACAGGGAAGCTGAAGGTGTAACTCGCATTCTGAATCCAAAGGCCTGAGAATCAGGAGGGGCACTGTTCAAGGGGAGACAGTGATGGATTTCCCAGTAAAAGGAGAGAGAGAGAGAGAAGCTTTTCCTCCATCTTTGTGTTCTATCCAGTCTCCCAACAGACTGGATGAGGCCCATCCGCACTGGGGAGGATGAATCTGGTTTACTCAGTCCACTGCTTCAAATTAATTTGTGCCAGAAACACCCTCACAGACACACCCAGAAATAATGTTTTACCAGGAATCTGGCATCCCTTAACCCAGTCAAGTTGACACATAAAGTCAACCATCACAGTATCCTTTGCGAAAATCACTGAAGGATCATTTCCTGAGTTGGCTTGGGATGGACCCTGGAGACCCCACATAGACAGAACAGAGAGGAGGAGAGTAGCATCCCCAGAAACTGCAGGATGTGGTGGAGGCAGACCCAGGTTCTTTGGGAGTTGAAGCTTCTACAGTTGACCTGGGGGCACGTGTCTAAGAAAATAAACACAAAATTATGTACACGGAATTACCGAATATTTAGGTTGAAAAAAAAATCAACAACTAATTACAAACTGTCAAAAGCTGGAAAATTCTATAAGCATCATAAAATATATAAAATATAACACAATGTCTTTATTAAGTAACAGCTTGAACCACCTATGTAATACCTTTTTCTAAATTGGCTTTGAACAGTCATGGCCATGATTTTATAACTGCTTTATTCATGAAATAACTGAAAGATAGCTCATTTTTTATGTTAGCATAGTCAACAAAAATTTATTTTTTATTATTGATAGTTTAGAAAAGTTCCTTTCTGCTTTATAACTCCATATTTTTAATGTTACATATATTTTATGATTATCCTCAGATTTGAGAAAAATCTACCAAGTATCTTTCTTATATGTAAGCTGTAAGATTTCAGGGTCTTTCAAGTTTTTTATGCAAGGCGACCAATCTTAAATACTCCGTACTTTCCTGGAAATCATTCACCATAACCAGTTTGTCATCAATGTTTCTTTGGTGTGATGTGTTATGAGTTTTATGTTAACTTCAGTATTTCATGTCAAATAAGTAAGGCATTTAAACTCAGAAATTCTGATAAAACCTATTTTGCATAATTCTCACTACAAAAGAAAATGTAGGGTACATTTATTATTTCATATACTCCATTATCAAGTAAATTTTGATGAGAAGGAATTCATGTCTTACGAAGCACAGAGGAGAATAGAATCTTCCACTTCCAATTTCACAGGGAGCATGATTGGAACAATTTTCTGGAATCGAGCTTCTGATGCCTCAGTTTTTACCCTCTTGGGGTTTGACTTGATCATTCAATAGATATCTATTGATCCTCTATTGAATGCCATATACCAAGTCCTGGAGATACAGAGATAAATCAGGCGAGTCCCTCCTTTTGAGGAGCTCATGGTGTCTAGCAGCAAATTCACAGGTGCCAAAACTGATGGTAGTACCAGGTTGTAAGCGTTGAATGTTACTCTGAAGACATTTCCAGTGTGTCCTCTTTACCCAGCTAGAGCAGAAAAACTCTGTTAAGCCACTTTACTTTCCTTCTATGTCACCCACTTTGCTTTCCCCCACAGCATCTGGTATGTCTGGTGTGCACAATATGCCCAGAGATGAGCAGTACACATTCAGCTCTGGAAGGAAGGAAGGTGAGCTCTGCAAGGGCAGTAGGCCGTGTGGCCCACATGCTAAATTTACAGTGAGGACACAATTAAACTAAAGCCATCTAAACTTAGGGACAGCCACATGGAGTCACACTGGCGGGTCACCCAGCATCGCTCTGCAGCAGTGGTGGAAGCCATGGAGATGAGTGACTGCATTCTAGGGCTGCCTCGGAAGAACAGGGCCAGAATCGGCGGGCTTCCATGAGCCTGCCATCCATCTCGTCTCCCTCAACCTGCCCATTTTCATCCACCCACTTCCTAAAGCCAAAAGCCAAAGGCTCACTCTGGAGCCCTCCCTTTCTCTCACCCTCAATATCCAGTCTAGCTGCAGTTTTTGTTGACTCCACCTCTAAAAATATCAAACTATTTTATCTCTACACCTCGTCCAATGTCCAAACCACCAACATAAATGTGTCCTGGATGCTTACCATGGCTTTTGATCATCTTTATCCCTCCACATATTTTCTGTGTCTGTGTGCTGTGGTGGCCGGGGTGTAGTGTAGTACTGTATTGGTTTCCTTTGACTGCATTTTCCTTCTCTGGGTCTTGGAGAGAATGTGCTTCCTCACCGCTTTGAATTTCAAGAGTCCCTCTGCATTCCTGGGCTCGGGGGCCCCATTCTCCATCTTCAAATCCAGCAACAGTGGGTTGAGTCCTTCTCAAAATTATTCACTCCTACTCTGCATCCATCTTCGTATCTTCTTTCCCAAATGACTCTTTTGCCCCTTTCTAACTTTAAGGACCCTGGGTTCCACCTGGATAATTTAGGCTAATCTCCCTATTTTAAAATCAGCTGACTAGTGGGCCAGGTGCAGTGGCTCATGCCTGTAATCCCAGCACTTTGGGAGGCTAAATGGGGGTGGGTCACCTGAGGTCAGGAGTTTGAGACCAGCCTGGCCAACATGTTAAAACCCTGTCTCTACTAAAAATACAAAAATTAGCCAGGCATGGTGGTGCACACCTGTAATCCCAGCTACTTGGGAGGCTGAGGCAGGAGAATCGCTTGAACTCAGGAGGTGGAGGTTGCAGTGAGCCGAGATTGTGCCATTGCACTCCAGCCTGGGCCACAGACCAAGACTCTGCCTCAAAAAAAACAAATAAATAAAATAAAATAATAAAATAAAATCAGCTGATTAGTAAACTTTAATTCCCTCAGCAGCCTTACTTCTCCTTGGCCATGTAACCTACCTAGCATATTAACAGGTTCCAAGGATGAGGATGTGAGCATCTTTGGGGAGCCGTTATTCTGCCTACCACAGAAGCCTTATTGTTTTTTATCAGCATTTTTATTTTACTCTTTAGCATTTTACCGGGAAACAATTCTAAACTAATAGAAAGTTGTAAAACAAATACCGAAACAAAAAAAAATGAACTGCACTGTGTGTAAATTAAAAAATAATTTGAAAAAACTGTACAGACCGTTTATGTGTACCTTTCACCTCAATCTTCCTAATGTTGACAATTTATGTAACAATCATGCAATTGTTAAAGCCAGGAGAATTATATGAATATTGTACTTATCTATCTATACTATTAACTAAACCACAGGCTGGTTTTTCACTTAATATCCTTTTTTGTTTGAGGATCCAATCCAGGACCCCACAATGCATTTAGTAGTTGTGTCTTCTAAGTCTCCAATTTAGGACAGCCCCTCAACTTTTTCTAATTTTTCATAACCTTCGTGCTTTTGAAGAGTATGGCCAGGTAGATTTTGGAATGCCTCGCAGTTTGGGTCTATCTTGTGCTTTCTCATGATTAGACTGGACTTACACTTTCCCAGTAAGAACATCCCTGTGTGATGTTGAGATGTGGCACCAATATGACTAATTATTGGTGAGATTAGCTTGGATCACTTGATGATGGTATTAATCTGACACCATGCAAGCATCCTGTTCCTTCTCAGACTTTGACCCTCTAATGTTAGCATCTGCTGATGTCTTTCGCTCTTGCCCCCATAGACTGTACCTCACCATGTAGGTGTAGTGGCTTCTTAAAAATGTAAATCAAGCCATTTCACTCTCATGCACAAAACACCCTAATGGTCTTATGCAGTGCTTCTAATAATATACAACCTCCTCACCATAATGGTCCAGGATTCATGTGATCAAGCCCCTCCAACTTCCTCTCTCTTTCACTTTGGCTCCAGCCATAGTGTCTTTTTTTTATTATTTCTCTGCTCTTGCCCTTTATTTTTCCTCTTCCTACATACCCTTAGCCTAGGTTTTTCACAGTTGACACGTGACTTAAGATTCAGGTCTCAGTGAAAATATCACCTCTCTCCACTGTCTCCTTCCCCTCCTGCCAGCACCCCCTGCCTCATACCTTTGCAGTTTGTTGCCCTATTTTATTTTTCTTAGAGCCCACCACTAGTTGAATTTACATCTGTTTCCCTGACTAAGCTTTCTTCAGCTTCTTGAAATCAGAAACTTCATCCCTACCATTCATGGCTGTATCTCCAGAACCAAGGACAGCGCCTGACTCCCCTGAGGTGCTCATCAGACATTTGTTGGATGAAGAAACTACACTAACCCTGTGTAGTCTTGTTTGTAGCTCTAGTTAGTGCTGAATTTGGATTAATATTATTGATGCAAATTACCTTTTTCAGGCTTTCAGGTTGCTCCTAATTTTAGCACCTTCAGGTTTGGCAACTAAGTCTCTTTGTATAAAGCCTGGTCAAGAAACACCATTTCCTTAGTTAGGATAATGGCCTCTAGTTCCATCCGTGTTGCTGAAAAAGATACGATTTCATTCTTTTTTATGGTGGAGTAGTATTCTGTGGTCCATACGCACTAGATTTCTAATCCCGTTATTCACTGGTGGACACCCAGGTTGATTCTGTAACTTTGCTATTATGAATAGTGCCGTGGCTAACGTCTGAGTGTGGGTGTGTTTTTGATATGTACTCTATTTGGGTGATATGTGCACTAATAGCACCGACTTAGCACTACACAGTATATCTACGTGTACTCCTAAATCCAACTGCATGCATTCCCCTAAATCTATAAAAAGATTTTAAAAAGTCAAAACCATTTCCAAGTTTTGACTTTATAAGCTGAAGTTCTTTCTGTCATTTCTGTGGTCTCAGCAGCATTCTCTTAGTCATGGTATCCACCTCCTCTCATGAAACAGCCAATGGAAAATGCTTAAAAGGCAAGGGCAGCGTAGATGTCATTGCCCCTCTCTTGAGAAGGCTGTTCCGGGGGCAGGTAAGCCTTTCTAAGTGCACTCCATTTGTCAGAGCATCAAATCTGCCCTGTAGAAGGCCCTCTGTTGGAGAAAGAACACATGAGCTGCATGTGAGTAGCTGAGCAGCCGAAATAGATACGCTGTGCTTTCCTTGAAGTTCTTCCCTCCAGGGCCTGAGAGATGCCCTCTGATATGAGCTACAGCACCCTGCCACATCCAACACTCTTACAGCAAAGGCAACACACTCTGTTAGACTTGGACTCTTGCCTGGAATGGCCAGGACATTCAATGAATTCAATTCATTTCATGGCCATTAATCTAAGGGCATTTCACTAAAGATCTTTTTTTGATATCAAAACAGCAGTGCCAGGTACGTTTTGCTTTGATGTTAATTGGAAGTAGCATTGTTTCATTCAGTGCCCTCTAAAAGTCCCACGGGTTGATCACTAAATGTAGGCATTGTAGAAAATGTGCCATTTTAATGGAAACTGGAGCTGTCTTGGTGCCATCCCTGGAGTCTAGCACAGCAGAAGGCACACACAGTGAAAGATGGACACACTGTCCTGGCTCCAAGGGAGTGCTGGGGCTGACGAGGGATGCATCCTGGTCACCAGGTGCTGCCTGAGACCATGTACCGCAGAGCTGGGCAGAGGCTGCCCTGTGGCAGCTTCCTACCCCAGCTGTGAGGGATGTTTCATAATAACTCAAAGCACCACCTTTTCCATCTCCATCTCTTATGTCTAAAGAAAAATTGGTATCCATTTTCCATTTATCTAACTATCATTGTCAAAAGTATGGTTTTGAAGGTTCGACTTCAGAATGTTAGAATCCTGAAACTTATTGAGAAGAATTTTGCAATATTTCTGAGCTGTATTTTTAGGGGAAAAGCACAGAACATACCAAGGTGGCCATTATGTTTTAAAAGAAGAGGAAAATACATGGTTAAGTGCTGGTATATGCATAGACTCTCTCTGGGCAGATGCACAAAATACCAGTAGCAACAGTGACTTTCAGGGTGGGAGCTGGGGAGCTCTAGCCAGGAAAGGAGGGGCTGACGTGTCACCACACATGCTTCCTGCTGTTCAACTTCATTTTAGCCATGAGTTGATACCAACTCCCCATTTTTATGACAAATAGTAATTAACAATGGAAAACAAAGTCTCCAGTGAGGTATTCAGACTTTAAAAGCAAATATGAAACATTCGTAAAATATGACAAAGCTTTGTGAATTAAAGAAAAAAATCCTTAAAAGGAGACATGTAGTCTTTGTTATTAGTATACTTCCTTCCACTGCAATAGAGTCTGAGATCACACATCATCATTTCAGAGCCAAATGGTCTTTTTGAGTTAGAATACCCAGGGCAGGGTCATACGATGTCTAAAAGTGCAGCCCCAGGAGAAAGGCTGGGTCCCAGCTTTGACCTTGGGCCATTTCTTAAGGTCATGATAATAATGCTTTCCTTATTGGGCTGTCTTGAAAATTAAGTAAGCCGATATGTGGAAAACACTTAGATTAGTGTGTGGAAAATAGTAAATACTATATAAATGTCAGCTTTTGGGGCAGACCTGAACTGGTCCTTTTTTATTTACCAAAGCTCAAATTAGGGTTCACTTTGTGTTGTACAGTCTAGGGTCTTGATTGATACGTAATGACATGCATTTACCATTATAATATAATGCAGAATATTTTCACTGCCCTAGAAATCCCCTCTTCTCCATCTATTCATTCCTCCCCCCTCCTCCCCCTGAACCCCTAGCAACCAGCTATCAGTTTAATGTTTCTATAGTTTTACCTCTTCCAGAATGTCATACAGAATATATACAGAATCTAATATAGAATACAGAATATAGCCATTTCAGACTGGCTTCTTACACTTGGTAATATGTATTTAAGGTTCCTCTATGTCTTTTCTTGGTTTAACAATTCATTTCCTTTTATCAATTAATAATGTTCCATTATATAGCACACCACGGTTTATTTATCCATTCACCTACTAAAGGATATCTTGGTTGCTTCCAATTTTTGGCAATTATGAATGAAGCTGCTCTAAACATTCACGTACAGATTTTTTTTTTTTTTTTTTTTTTTTTTTTTGCGGAAATTTTCAGCTCATTTGGGTAAATGCCAAGGAGGACAGTTGCTTGGTTGAATGGCAAGATATGTTTAATTTCGTAAGAAACTACCAAACTGTCTTCCAAAGTGGCTGTACACTTTGCATTCCTACCAGCAGTGAATACGAGTTCCTGTTGCTCCATATCCTCAGCAGCATTTTGTGTTGTCAGTATTTTGGATTGTAGCTGTTCTACTAGGAATATAATCACATCTCATTGTTGTTTTAATTTGAAATTCCCTGGTGATATATACAACATTGAGCATCTTTCCATATGCTTATTTGCCATCTGTATATATTCTTTGGTAAGATGTCTGTTCAAATCTTTGCCTATTGTTTAATTGGGTTATCTTATTGTTGAGTTTTAAGAATTTTTGTATGTTTTCTATACTAGTTTTTTTTAATCAGATATGTGTTTGCAACTATTGTTTCCCAATCTGTGGCTTGTCTTTACATTTTCTTCCCAGGGTCTTTCTAAACGTTTGCTTTTATTACTATCATTCTCCACTGGGCATACAGATTTAGATTTGCAGTGTTAATGTGCCTTTCTCTCTAATAAATGACTAGGACTGGCCAGCTGTTGTCTTTCCCTGAGAAGAATAGTAGTGGATGTGACCACGTATCATTTCCCTCTATGTGCCATGCCATAAGGTCTCACCATGTTCCCTCAGGTCTTCCCACCTTAACCAGCCTCTCTTCCACTCACCTGCCAGTTGAGCACCTTGGACTCCCCAGGTGAAGCTTCTCAGCTCCATAGATGGAGACAAACCCTAGACTTCTCTGGGTAAGGTCTTCCTCTGGAGGAGGCCCTGGCTGGAGGCAGGAGTCTCACGGGGTGCCTGCAAAGAGGCAGTGGGGGAATTTCTCTGCAGATGGCCTGCGGAGGCATTTTTATCCTGAATTCAGCCAAACACAAAAGAGTGTGTCCCTTGGTTTCTGAATAATGCCTGTGTCCAGTACTGCTCCCTTTGTCCCCTTTGTGAGGGCCCCTCCATGTCCTCAAGAAGGCTGTATCCAGCCAAGGGGAGATGTGGCCACCACCACATGCCCCCTGAGAGCTCCCTGCGTTGACCTCTGCAGCCAGTCCAGCCAGAAAGTGGCAGACACTCATCCAGGTGAGATCCATGAGTCACCTCTGCCTGGAGTTTGTGACGTATGCTTTACAGGCCCTGGCTTCCACTGGCGTAGGAGCAGGGCTTACTTGTCGTGACTGCCCAGTGTGCCTGGGGGATCCCAGTGTCCACCTAGCCCTGACTCACAATCCCTGTCCTTTTTTATTCTGCATCTGAAAATATATCTTCATCATGGCAGGACACATACTTCCTGCTTCATATACTCCGAGTATCATTATTTAATAACACAGGAATATGCCCTGACGCCAGCCCTCTTTAGTAAGAGATTTATAGCCAATTCCACTGAGTCCCCGATGCCTGCACCTGAACAAGCAGTGCCTCTCTCATATCCACAGCCTTCTAGTTCCCCTAGACCCGACCTCCATCCCAAAGATTTCATCACATCCTGGGGTCTTGATAGAGACACTCTCCCATCCTTCCAAGTTCAGGGAACTAAGGAAGGTGAATTGCATCGTCCAGGAGGATAATCGTGTTGGCTGAGCTCAAAGATCCCAGCAGGAGCCAGATCATGCTTGTGGGTCCTGCTAAGAATTTGATGTCTTATCCTAAAGCAATGGAAAACAATTGGTGTGTTTTTAGACCATGTCTGGATAGCGACATGAGATGTCACTGGTAGTTATGTGATAAGTTCATGTTTTAAAAGAATGCTCTGGGCACTTTTGCAGAAATAAAGCAGCTTGAGTGAAAATAAAAGAGGATGTATACGAGCTCTGTGACCCTTTCCACGCCTAGGTATATACTCTACAGAAATACCTAAGTGTCTTCATCAAAAAATACGTACAGGATGGTTCATGGCAGCATTATCAGTCATAGCCAGAAGCTGGAAACACCCAGATGTCCAGAAATAGCAAAATGAACAAATAAATTGTGGTATATTCACGCAATGGAATGCTATCCAGCAACAAGAAGGAACAAAATACAACCACACACAACAATGCGACCAATCTCACAAACATTCCATTAAGTAAAAGGAACTAGGAAAACACGTACATCTGGTGTGATTCCATTTACTCCAAAGGTCAACAGCAGGGAAAACGAGGTGGCGACATTAGAAAGCAGGTTAGAGTTTACTTAGAGGATAAGAGCCAGAGTAGTGGCTGCAGGGGCATGCGAGGGGCTTCTGGCAGGATGACAGTGTTCTGGTTGTTGAAGTGGGTCTGCATGAAGTAAGTTTGTTTGCTTCATGAAATGTCATTGAGCTGCACGTTCATGATTTGTACACTTAGCTGTATGCGATAAAAAGTTAAATAAGGATAAATTAAAAGTTTTTTTACAGTAATAAAAGGAGGAAGGGAAGGAGAAGAGAAGAGATGAGAAAAGAAAAGGGAGGGAGGGAGGAAGGAGGGAAGGAGGGAAGGAGGGAAGGAGGGAAGGAAGGAAGGAGTTTCCAACTGTTTCTCAAACTTGACACCATGGAGGCTGGATAATTGTTTGTGGTGGGGGTGTCCTGTGCATTATAGAATGTTTAGCAGCATCACTGTCCTTACTAACCAGATGCTAATAACATCCCCCTCCCCACTGTAACAATGGAAATGTCCCCAGACATTGCCATATGTCCGCTGGGAACAGGGAACAAATAATTCCCATCCAAAGATCCCTGGCCAAGAGTGTATGCAATGCTGGGTGAAGCCCCAGGTATCAGGCAGGTGTACCTTCTATGCATGGACAACTGATGTTGGACTGTCTGTTGCTGAGGGATGTCTGTACCTGAGGCCAGAAAAGGACAGTTCCTTGGCCCTCACAGCAGGGAAAATGAATGGTCTCCAGGCACTTCCCAGAGCTTGCTTGGGTGGTGGTCAGAGGTCTCCTCCTGCTGAAGCCCTTACTGTCCATTCCATCCCCTACCCAGCTGGGAGAGTCTCAATCTCATCTACCTGCTGGAAACTCTTGCTGCAAGTGGGCCCCTGGTCTTCTGTCAAGATCAATGTCTTTGGAATGTCAGAGCCAAGAATGCCCCAGGCCATGTATTGCTCTCCTTCTACAGAGACCACCCAGCCCGGCCCTTTCCCACCGAGAAGGAGATGACTCTTATCTCTGCCCCTGATACTTACTTTGCTTTCTTCCTGTCTCCTTTCTGGTCTCAAAGGACACATTTTCAATGGGGTTTTCGCTGGCCGACGGGTCTACAGCTACAAACTCTCCACCCTAGAACACTTTAGCACCCTTCACTGCTTTATTTTTCTCCTTAGCACCTGTTGCTAATATGTCTTTTTAATGTATCTTATTACTGATTGTCATTTTTCCCCCAGTGTGTAAGCTCGATGAAGGCAGATATTTTTGTTTCCATTTTGTTTCCTCCTGTATCTCCAGAGCCCAGATGTAATCCTGGCTCATAGTTGGTTCTTGGGAGGTTTTTATTAAAAGAGTGAGTGAATCGCTAACTATTTGAAATGGGAGTGTTGTTGAACACCAGGGGTTCAGCCTAGGTCCATCTGCCCCCTGGACAGAAAGCCAATCACTGAGACATTGAGTATTGCCAGGGAAGAAGGCTTTATTGCTGGTGACATCACCTGAGAGACAGAAGGCAAATCTCAAATCCATCCCTCCAACTGACTGAAGTTAGCGGTTTATATGGGAATTGGTCAAAAAGCAGCAGGTGGCCAGATGAGGGTTCTGTTTTCTCGATGTCCAGATGCCATGATCTTGAAAGTTCAGTTCCATGATACTCTCTGGGAGAAAAGTTGGGCTGGTTTCAGAAAGAAGACCTTTAGAGTAGAAGTAAAAACATTTGGCTCAGAAGAAAAAAGAAAACTATGTCAATTAATACATCATTACAGCATCTGCCCTCAATAGCAATAGCACAAAGATTGCAAGACCTTGGGACTATGGGACACTTCACACAGTAGAATCAAAGTGGCTTCTCCCTTCACACTCACAGCAAGAAGAGGTTCAGGGCTTCCTTAGGTCACAAGGAAGAGAGGTTTTTCTTTTATTCTCTAAGCTAGCACTGTTCACCAAGACCTTCTGTGATGACAGGGATGTTCTGAACCTGTGCAGACCAATATGTCAGCCCCCAGCCACTGTGGCTTCTGAGCACTCCTAGTCTCCTAGTGTAGCTGGTGCAACAGAGGAAGTAAATCTTTAATCTTACTTAATTTTTTTCTTTGAGACGGAGTTTTGCTTTTGTTGGCCAGGCTGGAGTGCAACGGCATGATCTTGGCTCACCGCAACCTCTGCCTCCCAGGTTCAAGTGATTCTCCTGCCTCAGCCTCCTGAGTAGCTGGAATTACAGGCATGTGCCACCATACCCGGCTAATTTTTTATATTTTTAGTAGAGACGGGGTTTCTCCATGTTGGTCAGGATGGTCTCGAACTCCCGACCTCAGATGATCCGTCCGCCTTGGCCTCCCAAAGTGCTGGGATTACAGGCGTGAGCCACCGTGCCCGGCCACTTAATTTTAATTAATTTGAAATTATAGAGCCACATGTGACTAGCAGCTACTACCTTGGACAGCACGGGTGTAAACCCTGGTTCCTACATGGGCTCAAAGCCTGAGGATTCTGCCTGTCCTTCCCAACTTTTCATACATTCACCCCAGAATGCATCCAGGCAGGCCTCACTAATATACCCAATCTTTGTCACTGTTAGAATCCTCATTTGCAAGCAACAGAGAGCAACTCTGGCTGATTTACGCAGAAATTGAACTTATTCAATTTATTAAAAGGATATTGACTAGCATGAATCTCCAAGAGGGGTGGAAAACCAGGTAAAGAGGCTACGGAGCCAGGAATGATGTCAGAGATACAGCAGACTTTTCTAGCCCTGACACTGTCACGCCCCTCCACCAGCAGCAAAACACGGGCATCATGATGAAGAGTGCCAAGGGACCCCTGACTGCTGGTCAAGACCTCCGTGCCACCAGGGATGGTACCCTTACTGGATACACGCATTAAATATGTAATGCTGGACTGAAAATATGGCATGAGGTTGTGTTCGAAATGCACGTTTTGGACAGCATTCCTGTTAGCCTAGTAAAGATTACTGTCTAGCATTGCTAGATATTAAGCAAAGAACCCTCCAGCTCAAAGCAACCGGCAAAGCTAGGCTTTTGTTGAGAGACTGAGAGGGAGGAAGGTTTTCATAATCAGTTATCACCCACCTTGGGAGATGAAATCAAAACTGAGCCATTCAGAAATGATGGGTGGATTTCATCTTGGTAAGAAGCGCTTATTTCTACCTGTTCTTTATGGAGTGCCAGGATAATAGAGCAACTCCTTCTCTGGGCGCCGGATGCCCACCCATCAGACACTCACAGTGATCAGTGCAAATGAGAAGCAGTCCGTCAGAATGCACATTCTCTGGCCTGGCTGAGGAGTCTCACTTAGCAGCTGTTCCATTTTCTGGGGCTGCTGTAACGAATTCCCACAAACCTAGGTTACTTTCCACAGCAGACAGTTGTTCTCTCACAGTTTCAGAGGCCAGAAATCCAAATCAAGGTGTAGGCAGGGCCATACTCCTTCCAGAGGCTCTGGGAAAGGATCCTCCCTGCCTCCCCCCATCTCCTGGTGGCTGCAGGCATCCCCTGGCTTGCAGCCCCATCCCTCTTCCTCCCCTGTTCCCTGTAGGTTTTGTTGCTTCCCTATTTATCTTTCCGGAGGTTTTAAGTCAAATACAACTGCATAGTCTTACTTTCCTCTGCACTATGGCATTCTATGCACAGATTCCTGAAGGTCTCCCTCCGAGCACATAAACCCTTTCGCTACTGAGTCCAGGGGAGAGCCAGGGGTCCTGAAGGTGGCAGGGGGGCTGCATCTGGAGGCTGAGGGCAGCGACGACCTACAAAGCAATAGAGAAGAATCCCCATCAGCTGGGTTGGTTTTCACAGTGGGAGCTGGGCACACAGGCCCTCCTGTATTGCCTCTGACTTTTCCACTTTGGAATCTGCCTGGCAATCTCTCCATATGGGTAGGGAGAGCACCGGCTGGCTTCTTTTCATAGCTGTGTTGTAATCCAGAGCTCACTGAAGGTGCTTGTTCAGCCAGCGCCCGGTGACTCCGATGGAGGGTCATGGGCCTGTGGTGTGCGGCGCGGCCCTCAGGCTGATCTCTGCCAACAAGGAGAGGCAGAGCCAGGGGGCTGACCTATAGAGCACATCCTTGGTCCTTCCCCTGGCAGCTCCTCTGCCCCTCCTCTCCTTACTTATGCACCTCAGGGGGAGGGAGGTGCTTACTCGTGGATTGTGGGTGCTTCTGGGGCAGTGTGTTATGTTTTCGCTTGCTGGAATATAGTTTGCTTTCTAATTATTCATACAACGCATTTATATATCTCATGTTCATTGGTATATATGTTATATTTCACAAACAAAAACTCAGAAAATTTTTTAAAAGGCTTAAGCGTGACTCACTCAAGGTTAATAGGAATCAAAAGGCTTCATGGTCCAAAGGAATGAATCTCTAACAGGGAACTTTCTCAATGGTCGGGAGGGAGGGTAGACAGGTAGTGGAGCTGGCTGTTTTCCTCCCTCGCCCCTAACTCTCACATCACAGCACATGGGGAATCCTCAGAATCTATGAGCATCTTCAGGAAGCAGACAGAGTTAAGTGCACCAGAGATTAATTGAGGACTGCAGTTGTGAAGGATAAAGAAAAGATGGAGAAGGAGTAGGCAGGCTGAGCTTCAGGATGCGATGCAGGTCTGGTCCCTGGGAAAGGAGGATGGGAAGGAGGGAGAACCGGGCAGGAAGTGCCTGACTGCAGGAAGCACTGGGAATCCTTGGGCAGCCAAGCAGGAAATGCTGCCGCAGAGGTTGCCCATAGAGGAGCCTTGCATGGAGTCCCAGCAGCCACCCTGCACCTTGGCCATGCTCGGACACTGACCAGGTGGCTTCTGAAGGCCCCTGAGGACAGAAGGGACATTTCAACAGCATTCCTCCATGGCTGCCACCCAACGCTGCCGCATAGACCTCATCAGACTACACCCGCTGGTAGGGAGAGGGTGTATTAGTCCGTTTTCACGCTGCTGATAAAGACATACCCAAAACGGGGAACAAAAAGAGGTTTCATTGGACTTACAGGTCCCCATGGCTAGGGAGGCCTCAGAATCATGGCGGGAGGCGAAAGGCACTTCTCACGTGGTGGCAGCAAGAGAAAAATGAGGAGGAAGCAAAAGCAGAAACACCGGATAAACCCATCAGATCTCGTGAGATTTATTCACTATCACGAGACTAGCACAGGAAAGACCAGCCCCCGTGATTCCGTTACCTCCCACTGGGTCCCTCCCACAACATGCAGGAATCCTGGGAGATACAATTCAAGTTGAGATATGGTGTGGACACAGCCAAACCATATCAGAGGGTGACTGCATGAATTGGATGTTTGCTACATGCAGGCAAAAGTCTAAGGAGTTTATCTATATTAACTCATTTACTCTTCAGACCACCCAATGAAGTTGGTACCATGATCACCATCCCCATTTTGCAGAGGAGACAACCAAGGCACAGAGAGGTTAAGTGACTTGTCCAAGGTCACACAGCCAGAGAGTGAAGGAGCTGGAACAATGTTAACCCAGGACATCCAGATCCAGAGCCTAGCAATGCCTCACCTTTATCTAGAAGGAAAAACTCACACGGCCATTCGGGCCTGGGGTCTCTTCCTCCCGCAGAAGCTCTGAACACATCCTATTGGTGTCTTCTAACGCTATTGTGCTTTTTCCATCCCTATTTAAAAGGACTTAATTGTGTTCATGTTCGGTGATAGTAGTTTTCCATCTCTGGTAATAGTACAAAGTTGTGTTTTTT
Organism: Homo sapiens; assembly: GCF_000001405.40. NCBI lineage: Eukaryota > Metazoa > Chordata > Mammalia > Primates > Hominidae > Homo > Homo sapiens. The sequence goes on along the minus strand of NC_000012.12, from coordinate 129,109,032 downwards.
ACATAAAACAAGAAATTGATTATTGAAGTCTAGTTAATAGCATGCAGTCTAGAGCATCGAGGGGTAAACAGATGTTTGCAACTTCCTTGGAAATGAATCAGAAAAGAAGATGAATAGAGAGCTGGGAAGTGGACAGATATGCGATAGAGCAAACACAGCAGAATGTCACTTACGGAAGCGAGGCATTGGGTATATGAGTAGGCACTGTACAATTTATCTTTCTCTTTGGTTAACATTTTTCATAATAAAGTCTTCAAACAATTAATCAAAATATTGAGAACTCAAGACGATGTGTGGGTATGGCAGTAATTCTGCATGTAGATTGAGCACTGCTGAAGTTTGGGAAATACCGCATGCATCTGAGTGTGTCTATATAAGAGCCAGGGAGTGCTTCCCCAGAATTGGCAGAGGAGATAGAAGAGTCTGAATGAACCAAGTGGCTCATTACATTCCCTGGCACCTGAGCCAGCCACAGCCTTTGGGGAGGATTCACCTGAGCCGAGTCATCTCCCTCCTGCTGAACATTACAGCCCAGCCACAAGCTAAACAGGACCAGGGACATCGTCTGCAAGTATGTCGTCTACTACCCAGGACTTTGAGATCTGAGTCATCTTCCCAAACCCAGGAATGCAACCAAGAAACCAGGTCAGAAAATAAAGCAGGCAGCCTCTCTCGGCCCCACCTGCCAAAATCAGGAGGAAAATAAAACTTTCAGGAAGTTTTCTAGGTGCCACACGGTGAACATGGAGAAGCCAGTGGCCACGATGTGATGGCTCACTGCCCTCTGTGGACTAAGATGGGTGGAAGGTCTGTGTGTGATGTAAGGACGTTCAGGGATAGAATATTCTATTTAGAGCCACAGATCTCAGTAGGGACATAACTGTCCCCACACCATGTAAGTGTCTGGCACATTTTCAGGAGTGATTATTTTTTGCAAGGATCAAGGCATATTCTTGCATTTCATGGTCAGAAGTCAGAAGTACTAAATGCCCTGCAATGTCCAGGACAGGCTCTTGTGACAAAGAATTGTCCTGTGTTCTGGACGGGTATAGTGGCTCACACCTGTAATGCTAGCACTTTGGGAGGCTGAGGCAGGAGGATCACTTGAGTCCATGAGTTCCAGACCAGCCTGGGCAACATGGTGAAACTCCATCTCTACAAATAAAAAAAAAAAAAAAATTAGCCAGGTGTGGTGGTGCACACCTGTAGTCCCAGCTACTCAGGAGGATGAGGTGGGGGTATTGCTTGAGCCCAGGAGGTCAAGGCTTCAGTGAACTATGATTGTGCCACTGCACTTCAGCCTGGGTGACAGAGTGAGACTGTCTCAAAAAAACTGCTCTGTGTCATTCACAACTTGTAAATTTCCCATCAAACTAGAGGGGAAAGCTGTAGTTATCTGCACTGTAGTTTAATATGCAGAACCATGAATTTTTCACAAATGTAAACTCAGGGTTAATCAGGGAATATTTTGTCTTTGTTATAACTTTATAGAGAGTTCTTCCCCACACTGGAAAATGTCTTCAGCAGCTACTAAGTGTCAACCTGCATTCAATCTGCATCATTTACAATGACTGTGAAGAGATGTTTTCTCACGTGGTCATGCTCAAACGGCATGTTGAAATATATATCATTAAATTACAAGTGCATTTTACTTGATTTGATATCCAGTTAGAGCATTATATTAATCTTAATAAAATTACCTTGTATGTACGTGACATTATCTGTGAATTCCATTTCAGTGTTCTAAAAGGGGAGCTTTAAAACATTCATTTAGCATTGGAGATATCATATCTGATAGGACTGAGAACCACTGGTTTCAGAAACTTTCTGTTTGTTTTTCTCTTGTTATGGTTTCAGAAATTTGGTGCCATTTCATCTTTCCTATTAGAGCTCTTGCACATGAATTCTCACTTTTATCCATTCATTCATCACCTCTTTCTTGTGTGCCTACTATATGCCAAGCACTGTTCTAGATGATACAGTAGATAAACAAAACGGCTAAGGTCTTGCCTGCCATCTCAATTAGTCAGGATCAGTTAGGGGATGCTGAGGTAACAAACAGCACCAGAATCTCAGCATCCTTCCACAACATGCCTCTATTGTTCAGGCAAAGACAGCAGTGGTGACTGTCCAAGGCAGGCATTCCCCATGCAGTGACGGCTCAGCATCCCAGATGGCCTTCATATTGAGGCACCTACATCATGGGCCTCCTGGGCAGGAGAAGGAGACAAGAAGAGTGTGCACTGGCTCTTAAGTGTTTCCAATCAGAGGTGACACCCATCGCTTCTACTCCCACGTCATTGGCCAGAGCACGCCACACGACCATACCACACTTAAGGAGGCAGAGCCTGCCCTCCTCCAATCTGCCCAAGAAGGGGAGGAAAGTGGGAGGAGATCTGTGCCTGGTCATTCTCAACCTTCTCCCAAGCCCACAAACGTCTTTCAGGTATGGTGACTGCACCTGCTAATGGCAGTTTCCATTGTATTCATCAGAGTATAATCAAGAGACAGAATCTGCATCAGTCATTTGTACAGAGATATTCTATTTTTTTATTTTTTAACTTTTTTTTGATAGGGATTGCATTTATTTTTATTTTTATTTTTTATTTTATTATTATTATACTTTAAGTTTTAGGGTACATGTGCACAATGTGCAGGTTAGTTACATATGTATACATGTGCCATGCTGATGCGCTGCACCCACTAACTCGTCATCTAGCATTAGGTATATCTCCCAATGCTATCCCTCCCCCCTCCGCCCTCCCACAACAGGCCCCAGAGTGTGATGTTCCCCTTCCTTTGTCCATGTGTTCTCATTGTTCAATTCCCACCTGTGAGTGAGAATATGCGGTGTTTGGTTTTTTGTTCTTACGATAGTTTACTGAGAATGATGATTTCCAATTTCATCCATGTCCCTACAAAGGACATGAACTCATCATTTTTTATGGCTGCATAGTATTCCATGGTGTATATGTGCCACATTTTCTTAATCCAGTCTATCATTGTTGGACATTCGGGTTGGTTCCAAGTCTTTGCTATCGTGAATAGTGCCACAATAAACATACATGTGCATGTGTCTTTATAGCAGCATGATTTATAGTCCTTTGGGTATATACCCAGTAATGGGATGGCTGGGTCAAATGGTATTTCTAGTTCTAGATCCCTGAGGAATCGCCACACTGACTTCCACAATGGTTGAACTAGTTTACAGTCCCACCAACAGTGTAAAACTGTTCCTATTTCTCCACATCCTCTCCAGCACCTGTCGTTTCCTGACTTTTTAATGATTGCCATCCTAACTGGTGTGAGATGGTATCTCATTGTGGTTTTGATTTGCATTTCTCTGATGGCCAGTGATGGTGAGAATTTTTTCATGTGTTTTTTGGCTGCATAAATGTCTTCCTTTGAGGATTGTCTGTTCATGTCCTTCGGCCACTTTTTGATGGGGTTGTTTGTTTTTTTCTTTTTTTTTTCTTTTTTTTTATTATTATTATACTTTAAGTATTAGGGTACATGTGCACATTGTGCAGGTTAGTTACATATGTATACATGTGCCATGCTGGTGCGCTGCACCCACTAACTCGTCATCTAGCATTAGGTATATCTCCCAATGCTATCCCTCCCCCCTCCCCCCACCCCACAACGGTCCCCAGAGTGTGATGTTCCCCTTCCTTTGTCCATGTGTTCTCATTGTTCAATTCCCACCTGTGAGTGAGAATATGCGGTGTTTGGTTTTTTGTTCTTACGATAGTTTACTGAGAATGATGATTTCCAATTTCATCCATGTCCCTACAAAGGACATGAACTCATCCTTTTTTATGGCTGCATAGTATTCCATGGTGTATATGTGCCACATTTTCTTAATCCAGTCTATCATTGTTGGACATTTGGGTTGGTTCCAAGTCTTTGCTATCGTGAATAATGCTGCAATAAACATACGTGTGCATGTGTCTTTATAGCAGCATGATTTATAGTCCTTTGGGTATATACCCAGTAATGGGATGGCTGGGTCAAATAGTATTTCCAGTTCTAGATCCCTGAGGAATCGCCACACTGACTTCCACAATGGTTGAACTAGTTTACAGTCCCACCAACAGTGTAAAACTGTTCCTATTTCTCCACATCCTCTTCAGCACCTGTTGTTTCCTGACTTTTTAATGATTGCCATTCTAACTGGTGTAAGATGGTATCTCATTGTGGTTTTGATTTGCATTTCTCTGATGGCCAGTGATGATGAGCATTTTTTCATGTGTTTTTTGGCTGCATAAATGTCTTCTTTTGAGAAGTGTCTGTCCATGTCCTTCGCCCACTTTTTGATGGGGTTGTTTGTTTTTTTCTTGTAAATTTGTTTGAGTTCATTGTAGATTCTGGATATTAGCCCTTTGTCAGATGAGTAGGTTGTGAAAATTTTCTCCCATTTTGTAGGTTGCCTGTTTACTCTGATGGTAGTTTCTTTTGCTGTGCAGAAGCTCTTGAGTTTAATTAGATCCCATTTGTCAATTTTGGCTTTGGTTGCCATTGCTTTTGGTGTTTTAGACATGAAGTCCTTGCCCATGCCTATGTCCTGAATGGTAAAGCCTAGGCTTTCTTCTAGGGTTTTTATGGTTTTAGGTCTAACATTTAAGTCTTTAATCCATCTTGAATTGATTTTTGTATAAGGTGTAAAGAAGGGATCCAGTTTCAGCTTTCTACATATGGCTAGCCAGTTTTCCCAGCACCATTTATTAAATAGGGAATCCTTTCCCCATTGCTTGTTTTTGTCAGGTTTGTCAAAGATCAGATAGTTGTAGATATGCGGCGTTATTTCTGAGGGCTCTGTTCTGTTCCATTGGTCTATATCTCTGTTTTGGTACCAGTACCATGCTGTTTTGGTTACTGTAGCCTTGTAGTATAGTTTGAAGTCAGGTAGTGGGATGCCTCCAGCTTTGTTCTTTTGGCTTAGGATTGACTTGGCGATGCAGGCTCTTTTTTGGTTCCATATGAACTTTAAAGTAGTTTTTTCCAATTCTGTGAAGAAAGGCATTGGTAGCTTGATGGGGATGGCATTGAATCTGTAAATTACCTTGGGCAGTATGGCCATTTTCAAGATATTGATTATTCCTACCCACGAGCATGGAATGTTCTTCCATTTGTTTGTATCCTCTTTTATTTCCTTGAGCAGTGGTTTGTAGTTCTCCTTGAAGAGGTCCTTCACCTCCCTTGTAAGTTGGATTCCTGGGTATTTTATTCTCTTTGAAGCAATTGTGAATGGGAGTTCACTCATGATTTGGCTCTCTGTTTGTCTGTTGTTGGTGTATAGGAATGCTTGTGATTTTGTACGGAGATATTTTAGCATAAAGATGGTTACCTAGGCCAGGCGTGGTGGCTCACGCCTGTAATCCCAGCACTTTAGGAGGCTGAGGTGGGCAGATCACGAGGTCAGGAGGGAAAGCAGAGGCCTGGGTGACACTCTGGAACCTGATGCATAAAGCAGCCATCATCCCGGCTGCTGAAGGAACAAAGAGTAGGTTGGAATTATCCCAACTTGGAAGCTTATGGATGCCCTGTGTGTCTGGATGGGGCTCCCTCCAAGGAGAGCTTGCTGCTCAGCTGTTGCTGGCTCCTCCAAATCTGGGCGTGGAAGCCAGGCCTCCGAGGTGGGGGCATGGGCTGGCTGATGGTATTGTCCATGAGGGAGTGAAATGAGCCTGGTTCTGCAAGTGCTGGAGACACTGTGAACTGGATCCAGTTGCTGCTGTGGGAAGGAACTGATGCTGTGGGGTGAAGCATTACTGTCCTAATGCTCATGGGAACAGCAAGAAGACAAGGAGCCCAGGAAGAAGAGATGAAGGAGCAAATCCCTCCTCTTCCTCCAGCCTGGAGGCCTCCTTCTAATTTCCCTCACTGGAAGAGCCTACAAGAAAACAGCTGGTAAATCAAACATATGCTGATTTTGTAGGGTCACAAAACAGAGCATGGAAGGGTGGATTTGGAGCTCAGAGACAATAACTGCCTTCCACGATGTTTACTTTCGTAAATGTGCTGATATGTATGCCTCCTGTGTCTCATTTCTACAAAACAAAATTCAATAATTGTTGTTCCCCTGTGCTGCCACACTCTGCTTCTGGTTACCCTAAATGTGCTGGGCAATGCAGCCTCTATCTTCCCAAGAGCATAGCCTGGATTCTGCAAAAGCTTCAAGGGCTGTAAACAGGAAAGTGGACATTTGGGCCAAATATGAAGCATGTATTAACTTCATCTTCACTTTTGCAGCTGGTTCAGGGTCGAGAATATTTTATGATCCCAAAGAAAAGAAAAAGATCTTCAGCAGAGTGGATTGTGGGTTTTGTTTCCAAGGAGTATTAGGCTTAGAGAAAGTTTTAGCAAAAGGAGAAACAAAATTCAACACCTGGTAGCAGAAGAAACATCAGTCCATTTAGAGATTTTTTTGAGGTTTCCAGTTTTTCCTCTTTATCTATATTTTTATCCATACATGTGTGTATGTGTGTGCATGTGTGTGTGTGTTGTGTGTGTGCGTGTGTGCGTGCATATGCAAGTGTGTGTGTGTGCATTGTGTGAGTACATGTGTATGCATGTGCCTGCATGTGTGTATGTGCATATGCCAGTGTGCGAGTGTGCGTGCATGTGTGCATTGTGTGTGTATGCATGTGTCTGCATGTGCTTGTGTGCATGCGTACATATGTGAATGCATGTGTGTGCATGTGTAAGTGTGTACACGTGTGTGCATGTGTATGTGTGTGATTAAAGGTAAGGGTGTTTTTCCAGCAGGCTCAGAAAGAGAAGAGTGAGTCTCTGCGTACGCAAGACTCATTTGCCAGTTCACTGGCCTGATTCATGAATGCAGCCTCGTTTACTTTCCTTTGTGCTCCTTGGGGATTAGAAAGGTACCAACAGCACAGAGGGAAATGGACTAAAAAATACCCAGGCAAGGGTCATCTCTGCCACCTTCTCCATCTCACTCCCCAAGTGTCTAGGCTGTCACAGACCTGGCTTGTTTCCATTTTCATTCCATTCCATGAAGAGAGAGAGAGAGAAAAAAAAAAAAAAACAGCAGCTTTGAATCACAAATTTGATCATCTACACAGAGAAGCGGGGGATTATGAATCATGGAGTCCAAAAGACTGGTGGTTTCTCTATATTTTCAAAAATATTGTTTGCATCTAATTGTTTTTATTTATAGTCCGAAATACGTCAAAGGACCTCGGTTGCTGTCAGTGTTTTTCCTCCTATTTTCTACGATTCCACTATCAGTACAAATGCCATTGTCCCTGGAATATATGATAAATGAACTGTCACAGCCTAGGTAGAAAAAATAAAAAACAGCATCAGGTAATGAAACAAGCAACTACCTTGGAGTGAGAAAGCCTCCGCCAGAAAGCCTGCCTCCAAACCCGAGATCTGCAGCTTAGTAACTAAGCAACCTCGGGAAACGTAGAGTGTAGCTCTGACTGTGAGGAGTTTCAGTTTCCTCTTGTAGATAGTGTTTTAACCTGGAATGCTGGATTTGGAGCCAGCTGGGGTTGTTGATTCTTTTCTTGCTTGGTGCTCACATCTCCAGGGGCTGCAAATTCAAGTGCTGGTGGCAAGACAAGAGGGAATGGTGGGGACTCCAGTAACTGGAGACCACTGAGCTGGTCATACCAGCTACCAAAAGCCATGGTGGCACATCTCTTCCCAGCTCTGCATTCAGTGACTTTGGGTTGGCGGCATGAAATCACGAGCGTTTATACTACAGGAATTGGCAAATCGACAAATGCTCGAGGCAAAGAAGCTGCACGGGGCTGTTTGTTGGAGGCTCGGCCAGGATGAACCAATGGGCCATGGGCACTGCAGAGCTTAGATCCTGCCACCGACTGGCACCACAGAGCTTAGATCCCTGCCATTAACTGGCACTGCAAAGCTTAGACCCCTGCCATCAACTGGTGCCACAGAGCTTCAATCTCTGCCGCCGACTGCACTGCAGAGCTTAGATCCCTGCCACCGCCTAGCGCTGCAAAGCTTAGACCCTGCCATCAACTGGTGCCACAGAGCTTCGATCCCTGCCTTGACTGGCACTGCAGAGCTTCAATCCCTGCCACCGCCTGGTGCTGCTCAGCTTCAGTCCCTGCCACCGACCCCCAGACAGCTGTCCTTTCCTCAGTGCCTCCCCCCAGGATTTGACCCTGACCATTTGAATTCCATTTCATTTAGGTTTAGTTGTAAATTGACCTTTTCTCTTTGCATAAAAGAAAGTTACTGGCCAAGGGAGTCTTAGATGATAGTTTTCTTAACTAATGAGGCTTTTTACATCAGGAGACCTCTACGGAACCAGCAAGATGGCTTATCCAAGTCACTTAGCCTCAGCTGCCTCATCTGTAAGACATGGGCAATACTTTCATTCACTCCAGAAAAAAATTATTGAGGCCTTATTATATGTCAAGCATTGCTGGAAGATAGAATTGGGCTGGCTGATTTTTTACAGTAACTTTGTCCTCGGAAAGACAGAAAGATAAGTTCTGCACATTCACTGCCATCCTCAGCTGACTGCACTGCATCAGTCAGACATAAAAACCCACGGTGGAGATTCTCTGAACTGACCTCAGATCACCATGAGGCATGGCCTGGAGCCAACCCGTCAGCCTCTCAGACGCTCTCCAAGTCTTCTGCAACTTGCTGGGGTCACCTTGACCTTCAATGACCTAATTAAAGTGGGTTTGGCCATGCACGGTGGCTCACACCTGTAATCCCAGCACTTGGGAAGGCCAAGGCAGGTGGATCACCTGAGGTCAGGAGTTACCAGCCTGGCTAACATGGTGAAACCCTGTCTCTACTAAAAATACAAAAAATTAGCCAGGGGTGGTGGTAGGTGCCTGCAATTCCACATACTCAGGAGGCTGAGGCAGGAGAATTGCTTGAACCGGAGAGGTGGAGGTTGCAGTGAGCCAAGATCGTGCCACTGCACTCCAGCCTGGGTGACAGAGCGAGACTCTGTCCCAAAAAAAAAGATAATAAAATTAAATAAAAAATAAAGTGGCCCCGTCTCTACTAAAAATACAAAAAATTAGCCGGGCGTAGTGGCGGGCACCTGTAGTCCCAGCTACTTGGGAGGCTGAGGCAGGAGAATGGCGTGAACCCGGGAGGCGGAGCTTGCAGTGAGCCGAGATCCTGCCACTGCACTCCAGCCTGGGCGACAGAGCGAGACTCCGTCTCAAAAAATAAAAATAAAAATAAAAAAAATAAAAAAAAATAAAGTGGGTTTCGCTCCCACTTTTAATGGAATGCAACATCTGTCCTTTCCAGGATGTTGCAGATTTCTGCCAAGGTGGGACTGAACATGGAAGAAGGTGTTCTTGACCTGCATCTGCTGAGAATTCCTGTGTTCCTTCATTTTCCTGCAGACTGCATAGAGCCGTCTGGAGGTGGAACTGTGCTGATGTTCAACACGGCCACCCGTGTGAACAGCAGTTGCTGTTGGTGGGCTGAAGGGTCCACATGTGGCTCCTCAGTCTGGCCTGGGCTTCCCATGACACAGAGGCTGGCTTCTGTGAGGGGGCATCTGAAGGGCTAGTGTTCCAGGAGCATAGGTGGGAGGTTTTTTTGTGACCTGGCACCAGAAAGCTCAGACTTCTGTCAAATTCTGTTGGCTGAGTGCAGAGGGCCAAAGGAAAGCTTCTCCTTTGCCCTCTGAAGTTTTGCTAAAAAATCAACTCAAAAATGGCAGGTTAATAGGAGAAATGGCATAAAAATTAATCAGTGTGCATGGAGAGAAAATCACAGAGTTGTTACCCCAACCTGACGCAATAAGGTGTACAGACAGTTATATACCCCTCTTCTTAGGGGAAAGGAAGATGGGAGAATGTGGATGATTTTAGAGGGGTAGTAAATGATTTTTAGAGAAATTCAATGGGCTTGAGGAATGGGCAGTGGCCTGGGGCAAAGTCTGTAGGGCCTGCACAGCAGGAAATGCTTTGTGACAAAAGTCTATCCGGCTGTGTTGACAGATTTCCATCTTTCTTCCTGCAATATGAATTCAGTGGATAAAAACTCAGAGAAGGCACCAGAGGCCATTGTTTTCTTCCTGTGGGGTCCAGATTTTAGGCAGAAAAGGGAACCTCAGAGAACTTTATCCTGTGCTTTAAGGGAGACAGAGGATTAAGAGAGGGTAGGAGGGTGATGGTTGGAAGGTCAGAGAGACCTTGAGGCTGCTTATTCAGTTCAGCATGTCAAGGGAACATATTTTGAGATGTTGGTTTCTGAACCTCAACACAAGCAACTCACTAAGGCCAGCCCAGATTCAAGGCAAGGGCATTAGACTCCACCTCTCCAGTGGAGATGTAATAAGGTCACTTTGGCGAGGACGTGAGCAGGCAGGAGAGACTGTTGTGGCCATCTTTGGAAAATGCAGTCTACCACATACGTTCACCTCCCAGAGTCTCAAGGTTCTTTATCTAGAAGAAATGGAGATGTAATAACACCAACCTCACAGGGCTGTTGTGAAGGACAGTGGAGTTAGTGGAATTAAAATACTGCCTTATCTTACTGTAAGACTCATTTCTTGGTAGAGACCCTAGAAAAAAAGGCATCTGTGCCCGAGTAGGTAGGCACGAGGACATTTGTCACTGCATGGTTTGAAAAAGCAAAATACATGAGAATGCAAGCTCTGTGATCATCTCATCATCATCATCACTATCATTCTTACGAATTTTGGTGCCCAGTTGTTCCAGCACCACTTACTGAAAAGGCTGTCAAAGACTTTGGTTTCATTGAGTTGCCTTTACTCCTTTGTCAACGATCAGTTGGCCACATTTATGCAGGTCTGTTTCTGAGCTCTCTTTTCTGTCTTATTCATCAATTTACCTATTCCTTCAGCAATGCCACATTGTCTTGGCTATTACGGTTTTCCAGGCAGTCTTGAACTTGAGTCACGTCAGTCCTCTGATCTTATTCTTCTGGGTTGTGTCCTCACAAAAACTAACTTAAAGTGGGCCACAGAACTAAATGTAAAAATGCAAAATGATAAAATTCCTAGAAGATAACATAGGAGAAATTCTAGATATCATCGTGTTTGGTGATGACTTTCCAGATACAACACCAAAGGTGTAATCCATGAAAGAAAGAATTGATTCCCTGGACTTTATTAAAATTAAACACTTCTGCGTATGCAGTTTTTGTTTGTGAATACAAGCTTTCAGCTTGAAGGGAACCAGAATGTTACCCAAAAATATGTGTTTTTGACATAAGAATTATGTTGAGTTAAACGTGATTAATAAGAAACAAAGGGAGGAAAAGTTCTGTCTACCCTCTCCTTTTCTACGTAAATGGACAATATAAACTCTCCTTTACTGGAGATAACTCTAGACTATGATTAGCCCAGAGTTGACACAGAAAAAATCTGCAAACAAACATTTCTCCATGAGTTTCCCCCATATATTTACCTTTCTGTAGTTTCTCAACCATTGGAGGCCTAAGGCCATTTCCCTTCTCCTGTTATTTCTCTATAAAATTATTGTTCTTTGTGGAAGATGCTACATATACTCAAATTTTAGTCATCTCTTTGAGTTACTCATTCCTAAGTTTCTTCTATGGATATAGGCGATGTAAATGTTCATAAATATGTTTGTTTTTTTAAGAAAGAAAAAGAAACATACAGAGAATGTGCATTCATTTAGAGAGTCCCCTCATCTGTCTAACAGAGAGTCATAAAAGCTGTGTCATGGGGCTTAAACAAATACATTTACAAACAGGGCTGAGAATACTGGTTCTCAACCGGGGGTGCTCTTGCCGCCCAGGGGTTCTTTAGCAATGTCCGGAGACACTGTTGGTCGTCACCGCTGGAGAGAGGGATGCTACTGGCATCTGGAGGTGGAGGCCAGGGGTGCTGCTCAGCAGCCTACACTGCCCTGGATAGCCTCCTACAGCAAAGAACTCTCCAGCCCCAAATGTGGACAGGGCAGGGGCAGAGAAACCCTGGCCAGGACCAGCACCTGGCACGTGGCAAGAGCGGCTTGGGTGGCTTGTTATTAAAATGATTTCCTATCAGACTGCTCATCAGTGACTGTGAGAAGACAACTGAGATCTTATGACCCAGGCCACATGGACGGTTTTGAGGACAAAGAAAAGAGAACATTCACCGAATGCATTATTTCCTCTGACCCAGGAAAGGACTGAAAGTGGAAATTTGAGGTTGTGTAAAAATGTTCTGTTTTCATTTAAAAATAACAGAGCTTCCTGGGAATTTGAATTTCTGATTTTAGAAGAAAATAGGCTATAGAATATGGACTATATATGGAATCTTCTGGTATAGATGACTCCAAAAACTCCAGAATATCCCTGTTCCATGTCATAACTAAGAGGCCCACTGTGGCTGACGGGGAAAGAGACTCAGACTTTCTTCCAGAAAGCACTGTCACTCAGCCTCAAGGAGTGCTGGTAGCAGGCAGCCCCCAGCGCTTAACTCCTTGGGGTCCCTGTGTTTTGAGCTGAGTCCCGCTCTTTTTCAGATAGCCCCAGCTATTGACAAAGATGGTGGTTCAAGGGTCTGGCCACTTTCACCAAAGTGGGGCTCCTCCCTGAACACCCAGTCTTTGCTCCAGACCCCTCCGGTGAGTTGGCAGAAATGTTGTTGGGTCTTCCTCTTGATCCAAGAGCTCCCGCTGCCATCCTGGGTCCTTCCCTTCCTCCTTCACAGATATCACGGCCTAATGGACCTTCTGTCTCAGCCTCTGCTCCCCAGAGACCTCACGATCCCACTGTGGCATGTGAGGCATATGACGGCCGACTCGGGACCCAGACCGGCCTGGATTCCAATCCCAGATCCAAGGCATCCTAGCTGTGTGAACTTTAATAAGTCACCTAATCTCATCGCGCCTCAGTTTCTCATCTGCACAGTGGGGATTGTAATAATGCCTACCTTGCTGGGTTACTGTCACAATCAAACAACTCACTGCATGTGCATACCTGGGAAGGCTGCCAGGTAGACAGTTGTCCTCGATGGCAGCTTTAACACCTCTGATCTATGAAGCCCCCACCAGGAGCTGGCTCTCCCCTGGGTTCCCAGCTAGCCTCCTCTCCATGCAGGCTGGCAACTTCCTCCTGGAATAGGAAAGCAGGCTCTAGGGACTGAATGGCTGACTGTATTTATCTGCACAGTTGATTGCAGTTTCCTAGGGTTCCCATCAAAAAAAATACCAAGGAGCAGGTGGCTTACACAACAGAGCTTCATTTTCTCACAGTTGCAGATGCTGGAAGTCAGAGATTAGGTGTGTGCGGGTTTGGTTTCTCCCTGGCCTGGGGGCAGCTGCTTCTCACTGTGTTCTCCCATGACCGTTCCCCTGTGCATCCCTGGTGTCTCTCTACCCTGTGTGCCCTGATGCCCCGATCTCTTCTTCTTAAAAGGAAACCAGGCCAGGCACAGTGGCTCACACCTATAATCCCAGCACTTTGGGAGGCCTAGGCAGGCAGATCACCTGAGGTCAGGAGTTTGAGATCAGCCTGGCCAACATGGCAAAACCCCATCTCTACTAAAAATACAAAAATTAGCCGGTTGTGGTGATGCTCACCTGTAGTTCCTACTTGGGAGGCTGAGGCAGGAGAACTGCTTGAACCTGGGAGGCAGAGGTTGCAGTGAGCCAAGATCGCACCACTTCACTCCACTCCAGCCTGGGTGACAGAGTGAGACTCCGTCTCAAAAAAAAAAAAAAAAAAAAACCAGCAGGCATATTGTGGTGTTAGGGGCCTATGTTAGTGACCTCATTTTTACTTAAGCACCCCTATAAAGACCCTGCCTCCAAATACAGTCAGATTCATTTGAATTTTTTTTCCACGTGAAGACATTTTTATCTATTCATCCTTTTTTTTTAAATTTTATTATTATTATACTTTAAGTTTTAGGGTACATGTGCACAACATGCAGGTTAGTTACATATGTATACATGCGCCATGTTGGTGGGCTGCACCCATTAACTCTTCATTTAGCATTAGATATATCTCCTAATGCTATCCTTCCCCCCTCCCCCGACCCCACGACAGGCCCTGGTGTGTGATGTTCCCCTTCCTGTGTCCATGTGTTCTCATTGTTCAATTCCCACCTATGAGTGAGAACATGCGGTGTTTGGTTTTTTGTCCTTGCGATAGTTTGCTGAGAATGGTGGTTTCCAGTTTCATCCATGTCCCTACGAAGGACATGAACTCATCCTTTTTTATGGCTGCATAGTATTCCATGGTGTATATGTGCCACATTTTCTTAATCCAGTCTATCATTGTTGGACATTTGGCTTGGTTCCAAGTCTTTGCTATTGTGAATAGTGCCGCTATAAACATACGTATGCATGTGTCTTTATAGCAGCATGATTTATAATCCTTTGGGTATATACCCAGTAATAGGATGGCTGGGTCAAATGGTATTTCTAGCTCTAGATCCCTGAGGAATCACCACACTGACTTCCACAATGGTTGAACTAGTTTACAGTCCCACCAACAGTGTAAAAGTGTTCCTATTTCTCCACATCCTCTCCAGCACCTGTTGTTTCTTGACTTTTTAATGATCACCATTCTAACGGGTGTAAGATGGTATCGCATTGTGGTTTTGATTTGCATTTCTCTGATGGCCAGTGATGGTGAGCATTTTTTCATGTGTCTTTTGGCTGCATAAATGTTTTCTTCTGAGAAGTGTCTGTTCATATCCTTTGCCCACTTTTTCATGGGGTTGTTTGATTTTTTCTTGTAAATTTGTTTGAGTTCATTGTAGATTCTGGATATTAGCCCTTTGTCAGATGGGTAGATTGCAAAAACTTTCTCCCATTCTGTAGGTTGCCTGTTCACTCTGATGGTAGTTTCTTTTGCTGTGCAGAAGTTCTTGAGTTTAATTAGATTCCATTTGTCAATTTTGGCTTTTGCTGCCATTGCTTTTGGTGTTTTAGACATGAAGTCCTTGCCCATGCCTATGTCCTGAATGGTAAAGCCTAGGTTTTCTTCTAGGGTTTTTATGGTTTTAGGTCTAACATTTAAGTCTTTAATCCATCTTGAATTAATTTTTGTATAAGGTGTAAGGAAGGGATCCAGTTTCAGCTTTCTACATATGGCTAGCCAGTTTTCCCAGCACCATTTATTAAATAGGGAATCCTTTCCCCATTGCTTGTTTTTATCAGGTTTGTCAAAGATCAGATAGTTGTAGATATGCGGCATTTCTGAGGGCTCTGTTCTGTTCCATTGGTCTATATCTCTGTTTTGGTACCAGTACATGCTGTTTTGGTTACTGTAGCCTTGTAGTATAGTTTGAAGTCAGGTAGTGTGATGCCTCCAGCTTCATTCTTTTGGCTTAGGATTGACTTGGTGATGCGGGCTCTTTTTTGGTTCCATATGAACTTTAAAGTAGTTTTTTCCAATTCTGCGAAGAAAGTCATTGGTAGCTTGATGGAGATGACATTGAATCTATAAATGACCTTGGGCAGTATGGCCATTTTCACGATATTGATTCTTCCTACCCATGAGCATGGGATGTTCTTCCATTTGTTTGCATCCTCTTTTATTTCATTGAGCAGTGGTTTGTAGTTCTCCTTGAAGAGATCCTTCACATCCCTTGTAAGTTGGATTCCTAGGTATTTTATTCTCTTTGAAGCAATTGTGAATGGGAGTTCACTCATGATTTGGCTCTCTGTTTGTCTGTTATTGGTGTATAAGAATGCTTGTGATTTTTGTACATTGATTTTGTATCCTGAGACTTTGCTGAAGTTGCTTATCAGCTTAAGGAGATTTTGGGCTGAGACGATGGGGTTTTCTAGATATACAATCATGTCATCTGCAAACAGAATTTAGGGAGGGGACCAAATTCAGCCCACAATAGGCTCAAGTTGCCTGTTTTTCCCTCTGTACATGGAGCATCCCTGCTGACCCGAAGCCCATCTGTGGCATGTCCCTGCACATCCTCTTCCAGTCTAGTAAATCCATTTGAAACTGGTCCAGCATGTCCTGCATGGCATCCATTTGGAACTGTGTCCAGTGTGTCCTCCAGTGCGTCCATTTAAAACTTGCTTATCTCTTGACAGAAAAGGGTGTGTTGTTCATTAACAAATATACCTGAGTTAGGGAAAGTTGTTTTCCAATAAATAAGCCTAGTATAATGAGCTAAAGTTCTTCTCTGATTAGCCCAGTGTGGCAGGCCCCTCATGGCTATAGGACACTGAGCTTCAATGTTCTTATCTGGCAAATGGGGGTAAGGGTACCAATCTAATAGATATGTTGTGAGGATTAAGTGGAAGAAGTTATTGACATTCAGTACAGTACCTTGCATGTAGCAAACAATGAATATTAGCCACTACTATTATTGTTACCACTATTATTAATGTTATCTTTCTTTTTTGAGACATAGTTTCGCTCTTGTTGCCCAGGCTGGAGTAAAATGGCGCGAGTCTCAGCTCACTGCAACCTCCGCCTCCTGAGTTCAAGCGATTCTCCTTCCTCAGCCTCCCAAGTAGCTGGGATTACAGGCGCCGCCACCAAGCCTGGCTAATTTTTTTGTATTTTTAATAGAGACAGGTTTCACCATGTTGGCCGGGCTGGTCGCGAACTCCTGACCTCAGGTGATCCACATTTTTAATCCAAGACAGAGACTAAGCACAAAAAGGTGCTACCTAACTTGAGAATTGGATGCAAGCATTCCTGTAGGATGTCTACTTCTGCAAAGTTTGAGGGGAAAAAAAGACAGAATTTCAACAACTGTAGCTGTAGCTCTTGAACAAAAAAAAAAAAAAAAGGAAAGAGAGAAATATTAGAACATAAATTTAACCAAGAATGTTGGTGATATTTAAATAAGATTTAAATTCATACAGCATTTAAACAGAAAAGAAGGAAATGGCATTAAATTCACATAAGTGCCGGATTATGCACACCAGAGTCAGAAATATTAACTATATCCCTATAACGGAACAGTGTGACTGGCTGGAAATGGATTATGAAAGGGGTTCAAGAGTTTTAATAGATCATCCCTTCAAACCATCAGCATTGTAATGTGGTAGTTAATAAATTATATGACATGTACAGTTAGTCATATTTTAACGAGAAGTAATGACAGATCTTGCCGGCTCACCTAGACCATTACATTTCTCCAGTTCATCTCCCAGAGGGGGAGTTTGGAATGTCTAACAATCTAATGCAATGAACAGAGCTATGAAGGCAAGGATGAATGTCAGAATGCTGGAAGAAGTTCTGCTCCATCCAGCTGTTGGAGGAACACATCTCAGATTGTCTCTCCAGACCAGGATGGAGTTGGGGCCAGGTCCACTCATGGGGGACTAGGCTTGTGTCTTCTTAAGCTCACCTAGGCTCAGGAACCTGGGTCCCAAGAGCCTATTTGAGTTTAGGTAAGATCTCCAGAGTCCAGGTGAGATAGGTAAGGTCCTCAGAGCCCAGGTGAGGGTAGGTAAGGACCCCAGAGCCCAAGTGAGGATAGGTAGGGTCTCCAGAGCCCAGGTGAGGATAGGTAAGCTCTCCAGAGCTGAGATGAGCTTAGGTAAAGTCCCCAGAGCCCAGGTGAGCATAGGTAAGGTCTCCAGAGCCCAGGTGAGCATAGGTAAGGTCTCCAGAGCCCAGCTGAGCATAGGTAAGGTCCCCAGAGCCCAGGAGAGGATAGGTAAGGTCCTCAGAGCCCATGTGAGCTTATATAAGGTCCCCAGAGACCATGTGAGCTTAGGAAGGGTCCCCAGAGCCCAGGTGAGGATAGGTAAGGTCCTCAGAGCCCTTGTGAGCCTATATAAGGTCCCCAGAGACCATGTGAGTTTAGGAAGGGTCCCCAGAGCCCAGGGGAACTTAGGTAGGGTCTCCAGAGCCCAAGTGAACGGAAGTAAGGTCCCCAGAGCCCAGGTAAACTGAGGTAAGATTCCCAGAGCCCAGGTGAGCATAAGTAAGGTCTTCAGAGACCAGCCTGACGGAATATCATAATGGCATCTTCAGTTGTGTTCATTAGACAATGACATTCTATATTTGCCTAGGAGACGCACAGGAATTTTCTTCCCTTTCATAAAGCAATGTACCCTTTCCGAATTGTCTTGGAAACACACGGCTCCCTCCCCTTCTGTTTTCTCCACTTTTGGGTGGAGACATGACCCGAGAGAAACATTTCTCTATTAGAAGAGTGATGAGGTAGACCATAAATAAAGCTGGTCAACTCTGGGGCCAAAAAGACACTGTGGGGTGGGAAGGACTGGAAACCTCAGTGCCACTCTGCCCCATCAGGGCCAAGTCAGATTGGAGGCCCCATTTTGCCAGTGTCTGAATTCTCAAGCGATGCTAGAAATCTAAATTTCTAAGTTGAAATCATCAAAGTTTTGAATGTTGGCTCAATTTTCTCTATTCTGCAACCCGTTTTCTTTTCTTTTCTTTTCTTTTTTTTTCAGACAGGGTCTCACTCTGTCACCTAGGCTGGAGTGCAGTGGCACAATCTTGGCTCACTGCAACTTCCACCTCCCGGGTTCAAGCAATTCTCCTGCCTCAGCCTTCTGAATAGCTAGGACTACAGGTGCATGCCACCATGCCTGGCTAATTTTTTTTATATTTTTAGTAGAGATGGGGTTTTGCCATGTTGGCCAGGCTGGTCTCGAACTCCTGACCTCAGGTGATCCTCCTCCTTGGCCTCCCCAAGTGCTGGGATTAAAGGTGTGAGCCTGCGCCCAGCCCCTTTCTTTCTTTTGAGAAGTCAGCTCACCTATGAGGATTCAGCCTGAGTTAGAAATGGAACACTTGAGAGAGGAAAAGCCTCATATTAAAGACACCCTGGCCCCTGAAGCAAGGAGAACTGTGGCCAGGCCACAGATGATAATAAAGCCACTGGAGCATGTGCCATTCAGCTTTTCAATCAGATTTAAGGACTTTTGTTGGTGGCAGATACTGAAGACACAAGCACCACCCACTCTTAACCGGACCTGGGCCCACGTTTCTCCTCAGCGCCATCGATCACCCTGGAGACGGAAGCTCATAGCGGCTGCTCTCATACATTGACTGCCTCATCGTGAAGGTGAAAGGGGCCTGCATAGGAAATGCTCTTTACAATGTTTGAACAGCCAAGTCATTTCTGCTGTGCTTTTCCTCACACCCCTTTAAGTGCTAAAAGGAGGTTTTTATCCTCTAAAAAGGCAGACTGCAAGAGAGCCCTCAGGCAGGAGAGACAGCTGTCCTGGAGCAGGAGGCCACAGGCGCCCACTTGGGCTGAATCTGGTCTACGCCCCTTCCCTGCCCCCTGTGTCCTGGTGAAAAGTTCTATCTCCGGGCTCTGGTTCCTCACCCATGAAATGAGGACAATAACAGTGCCTGCTGGGGTGGCTGTGAACACTAGGTGAGATGAGCAGGAAGCGCGTTCAGCCTCCAACCCTGACACGTGTTAGGGGCTCAACAAGCAGGGGTCCTAGCCCCTTACATCCCCCTCTAAGCTTAACCAGCAAGGCCCCCGTCAGGGAGGACACCCCGGTCAGGGAGGACACCCCGGTCAGGGAAGACACCTCAGTCAGGGAGGACACCCGGTCATGGAGGACACCCGGTCATGGAGGACACCCGGTCATAGAGGACACCCGGTCATGGAGGACACCCGGTCATGGAGGACACCCGGTCATAGAGGACACCCCGGTCATGGAGGACACCCCGGTCATGGAGGACATCCCGGTCAGGGAGGACACCCGGTCATGGAGGACATCCCGGTCATAGAGGACACCCCGGTCATGGAGGACATCCCGGTCAGGGAGGACACCCGGTCATGGAGGACACCCGGTCATAGAGGACACCCGGTCATGGAGGACATCCCGGTCATGGAGGACACCCGGTCAGGGAGGACACCCGGTCATAGAGGACACCCGGTCATAGAGGACACCCGGTCATGGAGGACATCCCGGTCATGGAGGACACCCGGTCAGGGAGGACACCCGGTCATAGAGGACACCCGGTCATAGAGGACACCCCGGTCATGGAGGACACCCCGGTCATGGAGGACATCCCGGTCATAGAGGACACCCCGGTCATGGAGGACATCCCGGTCAGGGAGGACACCCGGTCATGGAGGACATCCCGGTCATAGAGGACACCCCGGTCATGGAGGACATCCCGGTCAGGGAGGACACCCGGTCATGGAGGACACCCGGTCATGGAGGACATCCCGGTCATGGAGGACACCCGGTCAGGGAGGACACCCGGTCATAGAGGACACCCGGTCATGGAGGACACCCGGTCATGGAGGACATCCCGGTCATGGAGGACACCCGGTCAGGGAGGACACCCGGTCATGGAGGACACCCCGGTCATGGAGGACACCCGGTCATGGAGGACACCCCGGTCATGGAGGACACCCGGTCAGGGAGGACACCCGGTCAGGGAGGACACCCGGTCATAGAGGACACCCCGGTCAGGGAGGACACCCGGTCATGGAGGACATCCCGGTCATGGAGGACACCCCGGTCATGGAGGACACCCGGTCATGGAGGACACCCCGGTCATGGAGGACACCCGGTCAGGGAGGACACCCGGTCAGGGAGGACACCCGGTCATAGAGGACACCCGGTCATGGAGGACATCCCGGTCATGGAGGACACCCGGTCATGGAGGACACCCCGGTCATGGAGGACACCCGGTCATGGAGGACACCCGGTCATAGAGGACACCCCAGTCAGGGAGGACACCCGGTCATAGAGGACACCCCGGTCATGGAGGACACCCCGGTCATGGAGGACACCCGGTCATAGAGGACACCCCGGTCAGGGAGGACACCCGGTCATGGAGGACACCCGGTCATAGAGGACACCCCGGTCAGGGAGGACACCCAGTCATAGAGGACACCCCGGTCATGGAGGACACCCGGTCATGGAGGACACCCGGTCATGGAGGACACCCCGGTCAGGGAGGACACCCGGTCAGGGAGGACACCCGGTCAGGGAGGACACCCCGGTCATGGAGGACACCCGGTCAGGGAGGACACCCCGGTCAGGGAGGACACCCGGTCAGGGAGGACACCCCGGTCATGGAGGACACCCGGTCATAGAGGACACCCCGGTCATGGAGGACACCCGGTCATGGAGGACACCCCGGTCATGGAGGACACCCGGTCATGGAGGACACCCCGGTCAGGGAGGACACCCCGGTCATGGAGGACACCCGGTCAGGGAGGACACCCCGGTCAGGGAGGACACCCCGGTCAGGGAGGACACCCGGTCATGGAGGACACCCCGGGGCTCTGCGGTGTGTCATTCTCCCCCTCCTGGAATTTGTTTTCTGCAGCTGCAATAACAAACCATCACACCACAAACCCAGCAGCTTTGTGAGATGGTGGACACCCATGTATTCTCTTCCAGTTCTGAAGGCCGAAAGTCTGAAATCAGCTCCACTGGGCCGACATCAAGGTGTCGGTAGGCCTGTCCTCCCTCCAGAGGCTCTAGTGGGGAATCTGCTTCCTCGCGTTTTCCAGCACCCAGAGTTGCCTCCTTCCTTCCTGGGCCTCTGCCTCCATCTTCCAGCGTCTTGTTTCTGTGGTCACAGGACCTTCTTCTCCCGCTGCAGTCAAATCTCTCCCTGCCTCCCTCTTATAAGGACAGTCAACTCCACTTAGGGCCCACCCAAG
This sequence comes from Homo sapiens, assembly GCF_000001405.40. Lineage (NCBI taxonomy): Eukaryota > Metazoa > Chordata > Mammalia > Primates > Hominidae > Homo > Homo sapiens. The sequence continues at coordinate 129,087,464 of NC_000012.12, read as the reverse complement.
TAATCTAGGATGCTCTCCCTATCTATCTCAAGACCCTTAATTTAATGACTGATAACAGCCAAGATTTGGAAACAACCTAAGTGTCTCTCAGTGGATGAATGGATAAAGAAAATGTGGTGTATATATACGGTGGAATACTATTCAGCCTTAACAAAGAAAAAAATCTTAGCATTTCCAACAACATGGATGAACCTGGAGGACATGACGCTAAGTGCACTAGACCAGACGCGAAACGGCAGATCCTACATGACGTTGCTTATACGTCGGGAAAAGTCCAACTCACAGAAACAAAGTTGAATGGGGGTTTCCAGGAGCTGGGAAGTGGGTGACATGGAGAGAGGATGGTCAAAGATAGAAAGTTTCAGTTATGCTGCTGAATACATGATGGGGCCCTAATGTATAGCATGGCTACTCTAGTTAATAATACTGTATGGTAGACTTAGGATTTGCAAAGACAGGGGGTCTTCAATGTTATCACACTTATACACTATTGATGGGAATATAACATAGTATGGAAAATTAATTATGGAAAACAGTATGGAGAATTCTCAAAGAACTAAAATTCTATCCAGCACTCTCACTACCAGGTATCTACCCAAAGAAAAGAAAAATCATTACATTGAAAAAATACCTGCACTCATGTTATACACACGTTACCTTTTCATAACATTTATATACAATATACATAAATATATATTTCAAATTTATATACAATGTATATAATGCTATATATAAATATACAATATACATTGTATATATAAGTTTGTATATATGATACAAATTTGTATTATATATTATATGTTGTATATAGTATGTATATATAATACAATAAATATACAATATATAAATATACAATGAAATATTTTTCAGCCATAAGGAAGAATGAAATCACCTCTTTTGTAGCAACATGAGTAGAACCTAGAGGTCATTATCTGAAGTGAATCAACTCAAAGCCAGAAAGTCAAACACCACTTATTCTTACTTATAAGTGGGAGCTAAATACAGTGGACACATGGACAAAGAGTGTGGAATAATAGACACTGGATGTTCAGAAGGGTTGGAGGTTAGGGGGAGGTTGAGGGATGAGAAATTACTTAAGAGGTACAATGTACATTATTTGGGTGATGTTTACACTAAAAGCCCAGGCTTCACCACTGTGCACTATATCCATGTGACAAAACTCCATGTGGACGCCCTAAATATATACGAATTTTAAGAAATGTCCTCACCACAACACACACACACACACACACACACACACACGCGCGCGCGTGACTATGTGAGGTGATGGATATGTGAGCTAACTTGTAATTATTTCACAGTACACATGTAGATCAAAACATCATGTTGTAGATGTACAGCCTAGAGTGATGCAGTTGTACCTGCCAAGTACTTATTTGCCAGTAAAGCTGGGAGGGGAAAAGATCCTTAATTTGGTCACATACCTTTTGACAAGTAAGGTAACGTTTATAGATACCAAGGATGAGGATGTGGATACCTTTCGGAGCTATTATTTAGTCTCCCACACTCTCCCGAAGACATGTCCCAATTCTTGTTTAGGATGAAAACTAAAGGACTCATTGCCTTCCCCCAGGAAAGCTAGGAGACAAGACAAGAGAACAAAATCCTTACATTGAACTTGCTTCTTCCCATCAGCGCTGGCATGGAGGAGCCCTCTTGCACCAGGTAGAAGTTGGCAGCCTGAGCTCTGGAGCCAGACTTCTGGGGCTAAATCCTGGCTCTGCCCTTCCTGGTAGAGGAACATAGGCAGGCTCCCCCACTCCTGCCGGCTTCCTCATCTGGAATGTGGGAATGGCAGTGGTGCCTAGCGTTGTGGTTGTTCTGAGGATGAAAGGAATCCGCATGTTTGGATTCCCTGAAAAGCGGAGCCTGTGACGTGCACTTGAGAACAGGTGCTTTATTTGGGGAATGATCTCTGGAGGCAGAATGAGGGAGTGAGCAGCAAGACAGGACACATTTTGGAAAACCAGCAGGAGGTGCATCATTGAGCTAGCTCGCATGGTGGGCAACTTCTGTGAAGTCCCATCGAGCCCCTCTAGGGAATTCTGCAGGACAGGCCTCAGAATCCACCCCTGTGCCTCGTCGAGCCCCTCTAGGGAACTCTGCAGGACGGGCCTCAGAATCCACCCCGTGCCTGCAGGGGAAAGTGGTCTGCACATGCCCTGTTGAGGACGTTCTCAGGATACACCCGCATGGGAGTGAAGACAGTAGAAGGGGAAGAAGAGGGGCTAAGCAAGGTCAGGTCCAGGTGCAGCACAGCCAGCTCCTTGAGGAGCTCTTAAGAATGAGCTGTGCTGTGCATGGGTCCCTCCTTGAGGCAAACAGCCTGGGCTTCTCACCCCACCAGGTAGTCACTGGGCAGAGAAGCGGGGTGAGCAGGACATAACTCCCGGGTAACTCTGAGGGACACAGCTCCACTCACCTAAGGGCAGTCTTCTACGGAAGATGTGGCAGGAGCTGTCGGCAACACACGCAGCCCCTGGGGAGGAGTCCACCAACCTAGCCACAGGGACCCCAGGAAGCCTGGGTACTCAGAGAGCACCTTTCATAACAGCGTCTGCTATTATTACTCAAAAGCAACACCCAATGTCTGCTCCATACCAGGACCTCCTCCCCCATAGTAAGGGGAGGAAAGGGAAGCACCTCCACCAGCCAGGGCACTTCCCTTTCCTCCTCCTTGGGCCATGCAACGGGATGAAAGCTCACCTTTCCCTCCCCTTTTCTCTCTCACCTCTTCACAGGTTTCTGACAGATGTGACTACGTCTTTGTCAATGGGAAAGAAATGAAAGGCAAGGTCAACGTGGTGGTGAACTTCACCTACCAGCACCTGAGCAGCCCCCTGGAGATGACGGTGTGGGTGCCCCGGCTTCCGCTGCAGATCGAGGTCTCCGACACCGAGCTCAATCAGATCAAGGGTTGGAGAGTGCCCATCGTCTCCAGCAGGAGGTGGGTATGTCCCTGAAACTCCATGGCAGGCTAAGGAGGAAGTGTACGGGGTGGTAAATTTGGGCATGACTGGGTCTGAGGATGCATGTGGTACCCTAAGGACCAAGCCTCCCTCCACCGCTCAGCTTGGATTTGCTCTGTGTTGGCTTCATTCTTTATCAGCGTTTTTCGGGAGGTTCCAGGCTTTCATCCTCTCTTCTCTGCAACTCCAGCAGAAAGTGCCTCCTCTCCTTCCCACTAGTTCCAGCAAAGTCCTGAATTTAAGTCTTATCCTCACTGGGATTTTGTGGCCTCCCTTATCTAGTTACTGTAGCCAAGGCCCTCAAACACACTGAGTGGCTGGCTGGACTCCCCACCTAGAGCCAGAGGAGCTAGAGGAAGAGGTGCACCAAGGCTGAACGAATGAACAAATTCTAGGAGAAGGGAAAATTGATGCTGGAAAGGAGGAGGCAGCAGATGTTCCCTGGAAGGACATCTGACAGGGTCAACCTGACCTGAACTGCCTCTCTGCGCTCCAGTCCAGAAGCTCTGAGCTCTCTGCCTTGGTGAAATGAGGTCTGAGGCTTGTCCACTGAGTGTCTGGTACATTACCCCGATGGTGCTTGGTAGAGTCCCAGGAGTCTCCACCATCTACCGTCAGGCAACCACATGAGTACCATGTAAAGAGAGTGGTAGGAGCTCAGGCTCTTCATTCACAGACTTTGTCATCTCAGAGAAACCGTGTATAAGAATTCATGTATTAGGGACATGTTGATTGCTAAAAGTATATGCATTATGAGACAAGGAAATATTCCTGGAATCTGTGTACTCAGCAGGGGGTGGAGAATTGGGGCTTATCTGAGGGAGAACTTATATTCCCTTCCTTGCAAGCTCATTCCTTTGGTCCCATGGCCCCTGGGAGAGGGGATGCTTCAAGGACGAAGGCTGTGGGTCTCAGGGACAGTTGGGAGCTGGCTTCAGCAATGATTCTTTCTCAGTCTCTGGGGTTTCTGGTATTGAGTTGAGGGTGTGGATTAGAGAATGACCGTTGGCGCTGCGGAGGGAAAAAACTGTAGGGGAAGATTCCCCAAAGACCTGGCTGAGTCTCACTGCAGTGCATCCCACACGCTGTCACAGCTGCCTGGTTCAGACATGGCAGTGGAGTGAGTGTGAGAGGGAACAGCTGCTGTTCTGATGGAGACCGAGAAGGTGCCATCAAAGGGCAAACTGCACAGAAGGGACCAGATGTTGAGGGAGCAGCTGACATCTGTCTCCTTCCAAGCATCCTGGCCCTCTCTGCCTTTCTTATCACATTTGGCCTCACCTTGGGTTACATATTCACCTGCTTTGTGTGCTGGGTTACAGAGCCACACCACTCATCCCTAGCCTTGTCATGTTAGCTATCCATTCTGTCTAACGTAGTGGCTTATCCCAAACCTTAGTGGTTTAAAACTTATCCCCAAAGTTAATGTGGTTTAAAAGAACAACATGCTGGCCAGGCATGGTGGCTCATGCCTGTAGTCCCAGCACTTTGGGAGGCCGAGGCAGGCAGATGGCTTAAGCTCAGGAGTTTGAGCCTGGGCAACACAGCAAGACCACATCTCTACATAAAATTTTAAAAATTAGCCAGGCATGGTGGCTTGCACAGTAGTCCAAGCTATTCAGGAGGCTGGAGTGGAAGGATTGCTTGAGTCCAGCAGTTCGAGGCTGCAGTGAGCTGAAATTGCACCACTGCACTCCAGCCTGGGTGACAGAGCAAGACCCTGTCACAAAAAGAGAAAGAACAACACGTATTATCAAACAGTTTCTGTGGATCTGGAATCCAGGCATGGCTGAGCTGGGTCTTCTGAGCAGGGTCTCTTACAGGCTGCAGTCCAAGTGTCAGTGGGGCTGGGGTCCCATCTCAAGGCTCATGTGGGGAAGGATCTACATGCAGGCTCACTCGTGCGGTTGCTGGCTAGTCTCAGTTCCTCACTGGTGCTGGCCAGAGGTCACTCTCAGCTTCTAGCTGGGTGGAAATCTCTACAGCTTGGCTCACAGCATGCACCTCACTTCATCAGAGTGAGCAACTGCAAAGAACCAAGGAAAGAAAACACAAGCAAGACAGAAGTCACAGGCTTTTCAAGTCTAGCCAGGAAAGTGACCATCCAATCACTTTTGCCATAACTTTTTCATTGGATGAAAGAAACTAGGTCCAGCCCACACTCAAAGGGAGAGGTTTACACAAAGTAGTAAACCCCTCACCAGGAGGTGAGGGGCCACTGTGAACACTTTAAACTCTGCTGGCTGCACCGGCCATGCTGATGGGTCAGTGCTCATGCCAGAGCAGTGGTTAGTATCTGAAGTTCACCTCTGCATGTCTGGCTATAAACTCCTTGAAGTCTCATGGCCTACCTACCTCTGCAGCCCCCACCAGGCTCCACACACGGCCCCTTACAGAGGACCAACAAGTAACTGTCTGCAAACTGCACTGCTTCTTTCACAGGCCTGCCGGGGACAGTGAAGAGGAGGAGGATGATGAGCGGAGGGGCCGCGGCTGCACCCTGCAGTACCAGCACGCCATGGTGCGGGTCCTGACGCAGTTTGTGGCTGAGGCGGCCGGCCCTGGGGGACACCTGGCCCACCTGCTGGGCTCAGACTGGCAAGTGGACATCACGGAGCTGATAAATGACTTCATGCAGGTGGAGGAGCCCAGGATCGCCAAGCTGCAAGGCGGACAGATCCTGATGGGGCAGGAGCTTGGGATGACCACCATTCAGGTAAAAAAAAAAAAAAAAATCCCCAAATCAAGATCTCTCTGTCTTCCCACCTCTGCTCTACCTAGAGGAGAAACCAGCTGTTTGTCATTGCTGGGAATGGTATCTATTTTTAGGATGGGTAAATTCAAAGAAATTGTGGAGTAAGCAATACAAGCGATTTTGGCTGGGTGTGGTGGTTCACGCTTATAATCCCAGCACTTTGGGAGGCCGAGGCGGGCAGGTCATGAGCTCAGTAGTTTGCGATTAGCCTGGGTAACATGGCGAAACCCCATCTCTACCAAAAATACAAAAAATTACCCGAGTGTGGTGGTGCATGCCTGTGGTCCCAGCTACTCGGGAGGCTGAGGTGCAAGGATCGCTCGGGCCTGGGAAGCAGAGGTTGCAGCGATCTGAGATCGTGCCACTACACTCCAACCTGGATGATGGAGCTAGACCCCATCTCAGACAAAACCACAATGCAAGCCATGTAATGATGTGATGAGAATCTCAAAATTCCTCACATATTACTTATAGGGGAGAAACTCTGGGCTGGCTCCCATGGTGGCTCACGCTTGAAACACATGATTTTGCCCAAGCCATGGTAGGCGTTACCATCTTGGTAAACAAGCTTTTGAGGTGAGCTTACCTGATCTGAATCACAGGCACGGCCAGCAACTTCCTGCTGAGCCACTTTCCGCCACTGAGCATGGTCACCTAAACCTTCCCACGGCTTCAGGATATTGTGGCCGCCCCTACCGAGTCACAGCCGCGGGCCTGATGAGAACCTGAACAACTCAGAAATGTGCTAAAGGACGAAGTGAAGTGATTGTGCCTCCATATGTCTCGTGGGCCCCTTCTGCTGGGGAGCGGGTGACGGAGAGGACCAGTGGCAACACTTGGGTTTTGAAACACTTTAACAAAACAGTGTTCTGGGAGGCTTGTAAGGGTTTGGTCATTTACCTCCCAGCTGAGAACAAAGCAAGAGATTGTTTTCTTTCTGTGTACATGTAAGGGGTGCAAGTGCAGCTTTGTTACCTGGACATATTGCGTGTCTGCCTTGTTAGTGTAGCCATCACCCAAATAGTGTACATTGTAGCCAAAGGAAGAGTGTATTACTCAGCAGCTGCCCCATCTGCAGGCAATGCGATTGTCTTATCAGGCAATCTGTGAGGTTTCTAAAACAGCTGTGCATGAGGAATCATTATAACTGAGACTAGATTGGATCGTGGAAGATTTAAAACATATCCATTCTGGAAAATTGGCTGGTATATCTAACACTTCATTTTATCCAAGGAGGAAAATAAATGGGTTTGGGCCGTAGACCAGGAGTCGCATGCTCTAATGATCTCTAAAGGCTGAGAAGCTACCATCAGTGAGGAGAGTAGGCTGGGTGTGTGCTGAAAGACAGACAGCAGCTGATTTTCCTCTGAGTGTTAGAGAGACAACAGGGAGTGGTGGTGCCTGTGGAAAAGGGGCAAGCTCTTACTCAGAGCCAAAAGCTGCCAAGAAGAAACGCAAGTCTACTGCAGCCATATGTTGCAATTTTCCAGAAAAGCTGGAAGTCTGTTTTTATATGCAATCTTCTGGCTCTCTAAATGATGGTCATTAATTCTACCTTAAAATATGATTTATGTCAGACAAAACATATCTGTCTCATAGATGAGAGCTTGCAACCTCCACAATTGACTAAGAAGTTGAAAGACCTGAATCCCTACCATAAATCTATAGGCTAAACTGATACTGATGCCCAGAAACTCACAGCGAGATGAGAATTTGGTATTAACATCTTCCCTTAAGTGATAATTTAAGTGCAAAGGGGAAAAGCCATACCGTTCTGAAACCAGGTGTCAGGGAAGAGGAAGTGGGCCAGCTTCCCACACATTAAACATGAACATTATTTTGGTGAGGCCTCTACTCCTGCGAGCCTTGGTTCTTTTCTCTTTTTTCTCACTGTGTCCTCCTGAGTCATAAATTCACTTGTCCACTTTCTTCTGGGGACACACCTCTCATGCTCGCCACCATTTAAATTGTCCCAATCGGACCAGAAAGTGAAGGTGGCATTCGGGTAGAAGTATGGAGCTTTGATTCCTGGTCTCAAAGGGTCCTGGGAAAACTGCTGTCTTGACCTACATCATAAATATCACCAAAAACTTGAAAAGAGAAAGAGGTCGAGAAAGCAGGAGAATGGAGGATGAAGCCCATCTCTTCTAGAAGGAAGGTTGTTATACGGGGCTGTGAGGAGTCTAAGACAGCTGTTTATCATTTGGGCGAAGGGTGAGAGGAGGAAGAAGTGATTCCACAGACGTTCCTCAAAAGCAGGATTTCCTGTTCAGGGTCTAAATTGCACATAAGCCTCATTTTCCAGGTCATTCCAGGTGTCCAGAGGAGAAATGAGGCTTTGGGTTGTGGGCATCAGGCGTAGACATTCAGAACCTACGTTTATCAGAATATGCCCAACGATATTCCTCATCAACAGGCATCATGCGCTGCGTTTCCCAAAGTGTACAGTGTGGCCTCCAGTGACACGCGTGATTGAGATGGACCAGCAGGATCCGCCTTCTAGTTGCACATTGGTTTTTATGTGCAAGAGCGAAAGCTATCAATATGTAACCAGTACACCCAACCCGTCATTCACTGGTGATAGGAAGGCTTTTGAAAAAAACAAATCATTTAAGTAAAATAAATAATTTTAAACAAAATACACACTGTGCTGTAGAAGAATCATAAAGCTAATAGTCGAATGAAAACGTCAGTTCCTCCTGTCCAGGATGGAGCATGGTGGGAAACGGAGCTGATGTGTGGGGTGTGGGGAGAGGGCCAAGCCCTACCTGCCCACTCCTTGACACCACCTTGCTTTATGCAAAAAATGCATTACATTTTCTCAAGCAATACATATGATTCAGAAGGTGGTGTGAGTGGGAAAGGCCTGTTCTCATTCATTCTGGCTCACATGTTGCCCTGCCGCTGCCTGCACACTGGCACTTCCTCCTGTGACTGGAGGCATTGCCTGGACCACAGAAAGCCTTTCCTTGTCATGTCGCTTCTGCCCTCCAGATCCTGTCTCCTCTGTCAGACACCATCCTCGCTGAAAAGACCATCACTGTGCTGGACGAGAAGGTGACCATCACAGACCTCGGGGTGCAGCTGGTGACAGGGCTGTCACTCTCCTTGCAGCTCAGCCCAGGAAGCAACAGGGCCATCTTTGCCACTGCAGTGGCTCAGGAACTTCTGCAGAGGCCAAAACAGGTATGGAGGAGGGCTTGAGACACACTTCAGCAGGGTCCCTCACCAAGTGGATCACACACCAGGCAGGCACCACGCCAGGCGGGTCGCACAATAGAGTGGGATCATATATCGGGCGTTTGTTTCTCCATCTGCAAAGGGCTCTTCTGAAGCAGGTGACTCCTCTGCCTCATGTTTCCCAGCTCCCCCATGCAGAGATGAAAAAAATAAATACATATATACATAAGGATTGCAACATGTGAAAAATGAGAAGCCATTAAGGGGCAGGAGCCCTGGAGGAAAGGCCCACCCCTCATCCACCATAGTGCAAGTGCATGCAGGTGGTCACCTGTGCTCTCCACACGCTTCCTGCTTCCATGAGGGCATGAGGGCACGTGCAGGCTCAGAGCAGGTGCACAGCCTGATGCCAAGGTCCTGCTGGAGCGGAGGGTGACAGACCTGCTGAGTGGGGAGCCTGTGGCGGGAGATCGCTTCCAGACCATTCATTGTTCAGCTCAAGGCAGAAACAGAGAATTCATGGAGATGTCAGTCACAATTTTCTTTTACTTTATTTGGAACCAGTGTGAGCTAATAGAGTGTGTTTTGTGTGTTGTGTGCATATGTATATGTGTGTTGTGTGTCTATGTGTTGTGTACATATATGTTGTTTTTGTGTGTCTGTGTATGCATGTGTGTGTCTTGTGTCAGTATTTTGTGTTGCTTGTTTTGTGTTGTGTGTTGCATGTGTGCTTGTGTTGTATAGGCACCTGTATGCATGTATATATGTGTGTTGTGAATGTATCGTGTGTTGTATGTATGCATTGCATGTGTCTATTTGTTGTTTGTATGTGTGCATATGTGTGTGTGTTGTGGGTCTGTGTCATATATGTTTTTGCTTTATGTGTGTCCGTATGCATGTGTGTCTTGTGTATTTTCTGTTGTGTGTATGCTTGTGTTGTATAGGTGCCTGTGTGCATGTATATGTGTATGTGTGTTGTGTGTATGTGTGTGATGCATGTGTTTGTATGTGGATACAATGGCTTACAAAGGGGACTGTTATAGGGGACCTTTGAATGTAGTAAGTTCTCCCTCATTAGAGGTGGATAAACATTATTTCTTAGAACATAGGAATTTGGGTGAAGCTTGCTTAATAACAAAACATGGTGGTTGCAGGTCATTAGTTCTTTTGCCCCATGAAAAGGGATCATCCTCATGTGGGGCAGCTGGAATCCCTCCGGCCCATATGGGACATTGTTCTGACTGCTTCCCTTCTGGATCAGGAGCCTTTTCTGCGCACTCTTCCTCGGCAGGGTGAGGTACCAGGCCTTCCCTGCCTTCATGCACCAGCTGCGGCTGTGGCCATGTTCAGAGGAGGCAGGAGTGCCACACTGGACTTGCTAAGGGGCACAAAGAGCCTTCCCATTTTCCCAGCCTGCACCTGTCACATAATGCTCCCCTCTCAGGCATGAGCTAATCTCCTAGTCCTTATACTACAGTCTTTGTTTGCAGAGTTTTGGGTTAGAAAACACTTGAAAGTGGTTGATCCCAATAACAGAATCGAATTCTTGGCCAAAGCAAACCTCCTTTTCTCAAGGAAGGATGCCAGCCGAGAGGCAAGTTACAGATAGCAATGAAGAAATAACCTGAGGCTTTTCTCTGTCTTTGTGGGTGATAACATCAGCGGACCACCAGCTAGGCGTTAAGGAAGGGATAAGATGCAGCTAGAAGAAGGCCAGAAGGCTAATCCGTTCCTGACATGCAGAGCTAAACACGCTACCCTGAGATTTGCTCCATGGTTGGTTTGCAGGGCTCTTACTCCCTGCCTGCAACTTGGCTCTGACAGTGGTAGTTTCAAGAACTCCGTTGTGCGTTTGAATGCTCTGCTCAGATTTCATGGCCGATTGAGAGAACCTGGTAAGTCAGTGTCATGTCCAGTAGCTTTTGCACTGTGCCTTGGCAAGGTTATCCGCTTAGCAGGTAGTCCAAGCCAGTGTCTAACAGAATAAGTATTTCTTGGCTGAGCTGAAGGAAAGAGCAGAGGCCACCAGCCACATTTGAGGAGACTTTCTTCTTACTTCCAAAGACTAAACAACAACTGTGTAAAATTACTTCTGTCATGGTCAGGGGCCAGTAGGTCATAAGAGAAAAAAAAATCCACTCAAGCAAAAGCTTAAATAACAAAGGATGTGTTATGAGGATTATAGGGATCTCACAGAACCCAGCTGCAAGACCTTGGAGGAAAGGGAAGGTCAGCACTTTCATGCCCACTCTCTCTCTCACCTGTGTTTTTATTTTGGTCTAATTCATTATTGTCTTCCTATGGATAAATGCCATGCCCAAACATTTGCTTATACATAGTCCATCAGAGGGCTTCATTCCCCAATTTTATATGTGCCCCCACTACACATCTTCCCAAGCATAACTTTGTCAGTCTTGTCTTTCTGGTTTCAAGTTCGAGAGAGAGAGAGTAATGCTGGCTGGCTCAGCATTGCTGAGATTGATGGCTCTAATGGCAGCAGCTGTCTCATTTCAATCAGCTGTTGCTGTGGCCCAGCGGGCAGGGTCATGGGCCACCTAGTGCTGTTCATCATCTCGGGCTTGGGGCGGAGCAGGTTCTCTGAGAGGGAGGGAGGGAGGGAGGAAGCAATGGATCTGCCACTGCTGTCAAGCATAATGTCATCTTCACTAAAATTAAAGGCTGGCATGAAATTGGAGGTTATCTCCAATGATCTGCCTGGTCAAACTATTTGCAAAGAAAGTTGGTCTAAATCAACAAAGTGAAAACAAGCTCTGGCTGCTTTTTGGTCTTCCAGTTTCCTCCAGTTGGGTTGGGTGGAGGAAGAGATGAAGACTCTCCAATCAAGATGCTTCTCCCTCTCCTGCTGTCAGGCTTAACTCCTCCCTCCAAGCCAAGACTATGGCCTGAGGCCAGGACAGATCCACTCCTGCAGACCCAGAAAAGGCAGGGCTGGCAAAACCACAGCCTGCAGCCCTGCAGTGGGACCTCATCTAGATCAGAGGCTTTTATCTGTATTGCCAGTAATCAGTGGAGACTCAGTATTACAACTTAAAAATAATGTAATAAATATTTTTCATTTGAATGTGTAACACTTGTAAATGATTCCACTAACCAGTAATTTCCTTTGTCGTGCAATTTATTATTGTTCAGAAGTTGATTCTGAACAGCCCAAGGGCCCATCTTCCTTTTATAACAACACCTACAGGAGAAAAAAAAAAAAAGCAAATCTTCTTACGGATTGTTTAATACTGGCCCTGTTTTGTCATTTTGTTGTTGTTTTATTTTGCTTTTTTGCATCTTTGTGAGAATTCATTTTCTTTTATACTCTTGGTACTTCTTATCGCTTATTTCTACACTGTTTGAAAGGTTTGTCTTTGTTCTTGTAGCAATAGTTTTGCCGTTGTGTGTCTACTGTACTAAGACTTGGGGCTCAATGAGCTTTTTGGCCCATTTGATTAACTTACATATTTTTCTCCATAGGAAGCAGCCATCAGTTGCTGGGTCCAGTTCAGTGATGGCTCAGTCACGCCCTTGGATATTTACGATGGGAAAGACTTCTCCTTGATGGCCACATCTTTGGATGAGAAGGTAGTCTCCATCCACCAAGACCCCAAATTCAAGTGGCCTATCATTGCTGCGGAAACAGAAGGACAAGGCACCCTGGTCAAGGTGGAAATGGTTATTAGTGAATCCTGCCAGAAATCCAAGCGGAAGAGTGTGTTAGCTGTTGGAACGGCAAACATCAAAGTTAAATTTGGCCAAAACGATGCTAACCCCAACACCAGTGACAGCAGACACACAGGGGCAGGGGTTCACATGGAAAACAATGTCAGTGACAGAAGGCCCAAAAAACCCTCGCAGGAATGGGGGAGTCAGGAAGGACAGTACTATGGCAGTTCTTCTATGGGACTCATGGAGGGACGGGGCACCACGACAGACAGGTCCATCCTGCAGAAGAAGAAAGGCCAGGAAAGCCTTTTAGATGACAACAGCCACTTGCAGACCATCCCCAGCGACCTCACCAGCTTCCCAGCCCAGGTGGACCTCCCCAGAAGCAATGGGGAAATGGATGGGAATGACCTTATGCAGGCATCCAAAGGGCTGAGCGACTTAGAAATTGGGATGTATGCTTTGTTGGGAGTCTTCTGTTTGGCCATTTTGGTCTTCTTGATAAACTGTGTGACCTTTGCATTAAAATACAGACACAAACAGGTTCCCTTCGAGGAGCAGGAAGGGATGAGTCACTCTCATGACTGGGTTGGGTTAAGCAACCGGACAGAGCTGTTGGAGAATCACATCAACTTTGCCTCCTCGCAAGATGAGCAAATCACTGCCATTGACAGGGGCATGGATTTCGAGGAAAGTAAATATCTCCTCAGCACAAACTCCCAAAAAAGCATCAATGGGCAGCTGTTCAAACCTTTGGGACCCATCATCATTGATGGGAAAGATCAGAAAAGTGAGCCCCCAACATCCCCTACCTCAAAAAGGAAAAGGGTAAAATTTACCACCTTCACCGCCGTCTCCTCAGACGACGAGTACCCCACCAGGAACTCCATCGTGATGAGTAGCGAGGATGACATTAAGTGGGTCTGCCAGGATCTGGACCCTGGGGACTGCAAAGAGCTGCACAACTACATGGAGAGGTTACATGAAAATGTGTAAGCCAGACACACACAGACATTGGTTCTCACTCACCTTTCAGCCTTTAATTCCAGGATGTGTAGCAACGGTGCCCCCGGAAGAGAAACAAAGCAGCAGGACAAAATAAGGATGACACTATCCATACAGCCTCAGCCAATGACCCCGGCTCGGCGGCGAGGCCTGGAGTCCGCATCGACGCACACATTCCAGAGTACAGTGTCTTGCTTAAGAGGTTTATCATGCATGGCAAGATTTTTAAGACTTGAAACAAAAACGAGTTCTGAATCACTGAGCGTCTGAGAGCGTCCAGGAAAGAACAGCCTCTCTCTCTCGAATCAAAGCAATTTGGATATTGTAAAATCCACATGGCTCCAATATTCAATATTGCAGACTATGGAAGAAAAGTACAACTCAGGTGGAGCATCCATGGATCGCATCCATGGATCAATGGGAGGAAGCGTGTCATCGAAACTGGAGCAGCACATCTTGCTGTGAGCGCGATCACAGGCAGTCCAGTGCCGCCGTCAGCTGTGGGAGGCATGATTGTGAGTCATTGTCTCTCAAAGGCTGGGCCAGAGCTGTCTCAGATCATGGACAGGCCAAGGAAGTGGCTGACAAGGACTGAAAGGGAACATGTGGGCTAACAGGCCACAAATACCTTTGTAACTACATGCCAAGGACAAACACATGGACGCAAATCCTCTGAGCCCTTCAGGGTACTTCTTTATTTGTAAACTAAGGATACTGGGCATAGAATTTGAATCAGGTTCAAAGAACCACGCTCTTTTGATTCATATCAAGTTCACAATGTATCCATTTCTATTCCTCCACTGCATTGCCATCCTCCCCAAAGCCGTTGGTCACCTGTGGGTGGGGGAGGGAGAGGGCAGTTTGTAGTATTTGCTGGGTCTTTTTTCTCCCCCTGGGTTTTGTGTCAACTCCCAAGTGACATTCTGTAGAGAAGCTCCCCCCGCAACCTGGGCATATGTCCCACGCCGTCCGTCTTTGAAGAGGCTGGTCTCTAGGCATGGGCGGTAGTCACGGTGAATTCCATACCAGGGGATATACATTCCCTTGCTTTACTAGAAAGAAAACAGGGCCACTTGGGATGGGTCTTTCACTGTTCATGGCAGATCTCCTGTCCAAAGATGTGGCCTCGAGGCTGTTGAGACAAATCGGGGTGCCTGTGTGGAACGTGCAGGGCGTGTGGAGTTGGGGGGGTTCTGGGTGTGAAAGTGGTGGATCCAGCAGGAAGCCCAGCCTCACACACACCGGACAGCACAGAAACCTTCTTCATCTTGGAGGTGCGAAGGGATAAGGGGCATCAGTGCATGTGGTGAAGATGCAGGTTTGCAAGCACTTGGTCCTGCAGTCAGCCCCGAAAGGTTCAGCATTGCTTAAGACCAGCCATGACTCTGGATATCCCTGAATCCCTTCACTTATGAAGCCTATGAAGATGGGGGCAAGGATACATCAGAGAATTCCTGCCTCATCTCACGCTCACTCCAAGGTAGAGAATGGTGTGTTGGGTGATTGCCAGCCAGATAGGATCCTGCAAAAGATGGTCGGGGGCAGCGGGTGGTGGGCAGAAGAGGCCGTGCTGTTGAATTGATCTTCTATTTTTCCCTCTGGTCATTTTCTCTCTCTCTCTGCTCTTCAGTTGTCTGTTTTCCAGTCTCTCTGTGTGTCTGTCTCTGTATCTCTCTCCTCCTTTGAACCTATCTTCTCCCTGCTTCCTCTCCATCTCATCTCTGTAATTTTGAGTGTGTGTCTTTACTCCTTCTTCCTCTCCATAGAATTGAATTCTCTTTAGATCATGTGTGTGTAAATTTCACCAGTTTACCCTCCCAACCTTAGCCCTCTCCCCTGCAACTGTGGTGCTCTTGAGACTGAGGTTTCTGCAGCCAGTAAGTCACCTGCTCCTGTCCGCAAGCTTACCTACCTTGTTTGGTTGGGTGATTAAGCTGTCACCCCTTTTCAATGAGAATCCTTTGCTTTCAGTAACGTCCTCATATTTCTTTCCATTCTTACCTGTGTCATGTTCTGTTGAATACTGCAGCCGCTGCCCGCTTCCAAATCCATCTGCGTGTAGAATGTACTGTAGATTGTAAGAATGTAATATATATTTATAAACTTACTGACTGTAAATATAAAGTTTGCATTCAGTGGCTTTATGGCTGTCCTTTGTCTTCTACACGCTGACCCCCTCCAAGGGGCTGGCATCAATTGCAAATGGCTCTGCAAATGCTGCAGCTCTAAATGAAATGCTGATTGAAGGATCCCAGCACAATCCAGTTCCACCTTTACATCGTGTAGTGCTGCTCCCTGCATTGAGGGGATGTTGACACGTGATGACAAAGTGCATTGTGTACCAAGTATCTCTCCTCCAGGACCTGAAAGGATTTGCAAATAAATCACACGTGCAATTCTCTCCTAAAAGCCTGCTGACTGATGGTGGTAAGTAAGTGGAAACTGTGGCAGGCAAGCATGCATTCCAGCCTCCTTTTGGGCTGAGGTGAGGAAAATTCTCTGTCCTTCCTTTGGGTCTCGAGTGTACATACAACAACTCTGGACTGGGTTAAAAAGTTGATTGTAGATTCCTTTATCAACTGCAGCCCCAAGACAATTCTACGAAACAAGAAGATGCATGGAATCCTTATATTCATGCAAACAATAGCAAGTGATTGATAGGTCAATCATTTATTCAGCCAGTATTTACTGAGCAGCTACTCTACTCTGTAGCAGGAATAGCTGTGAGCACTAGAGACAGAGTCACACATACAGCAAATGCACATGCACTCTCCAAAACCTTACTTATATCTATTTGGGTAGGGGGAATAAACAGCAAACAAAATAATTTCAGATAGTCATGGGTTTTTTTGTTTGTTTGTTTTTGCTTTGAGACAGGGTCTTGCTCTGTCTTGTTGCCCAGGCTGGAGCGCAGTGGCACAATCTCAGCTCACTAAAACCTCTGCCTCCTGAGTGCTCAAGTGATCCTCCCAACCTCAGCCTCCCGAGTAGCTGGGACTACAGGAACATGCCACCACACTCAGTGAATTTTTGTACTTTTTGTAGATATGGGGGTCTTGCTATGTTGCCCAGGCTGATCTTGAACTCCTGGGCTCAAGCAATCCTCCCACCTCGGCCTCCCAAAGTGCTGGGATTACAGGTGTGAGCCACGGAACCCAGCCAGTCATAAGTTTTGTAAAAGACAATGAAACTGGTTGCAGAATGGAGAAAATTGAGCCAACATTCAAAACTTTGATGATTTCACCTTAGAAATCTAGATTTCTAGCATCGCTTAAGAATTCAGACACTGGCAAAATGGGGCTTCCAATCTGACTTGGCCTCGATGGGGCAGAGTGGCACTGAGGTTTCGAGTCCTCTCCACCCACGATGTCTTCTGGACCCAGAGTTGACCAACTCCATTTATGCTCCCTCTCACCACTCTTCTAATACAGAAGTGTTTCTCCCAAGTCACAGCTCTACCCAAAAGTGGGGGAAACAGAGAGGGAAGGAGCCGTGTGTTTTCAAGATCATTCAGAAAGAGCTCATTGCTTTACAAAAGGGAAGAAAAATCCTGTGTGTCTCCTAGGCAAATATAGAATGTCATGTCTAAAGAACACAACTGAAGACGCCATTATGATGCAAACCGTCATGCGATCTATGTGCCCAGAATCTGAGAAAGAACTGATAGGAAAGTCTTAACTGAAATGTCCACGAGGTGTCTTTTCGAGTGTGAATAAATAAGTGATGCGGCTTGGTTTCTCTTGCACCTGGCTGGTTCGCTCTTTGACGCCACCTGCGGGGCCCCTGGAGGCACTGAGTTTCCCAAACTCCCAAGGAAGATGGCGCTGGAAGCTGGAAGGCTGCCGGCCTCATCAGCATCTCCGTTGGGGGCCTGTCCCTCGCGGCTTCTCAGTTCCCTCCCTGGACTCCGGCTACAGGTACTTTACCATAACTAACTAAATACCACAAACTGGGCAGCTTTAATAACAGAAATGTATTGCTTCACTTTTCTGGAAGCCTGAAGTCTGAGCTCAGCGTGTCGGCAGAGCTGGTTCCCTCGGAGGGTTTGTGGGGGAACTCCTCCAGGCCTCTCCCAGCTCCTGCGGTTGCTGGCATCTTGGTAGTCCTTGGCTTGTAGAAGCATCACTCTGATCTCTGCCTTCGTCTTCATGTGACAGACTCCCTGTGTGTGTGTCTGTGTCCGAATTTCTTCTTTTTTGTGAGACAGGGATCTCACTTTGCTACCCAGGCTGGAATACAGTTGTGTGATCAACGCTCACTGCTGCCTCGACCTCCTGGGCTCAAGCAATCCTCCCACCCTAGCCTCTCAAGTAGCTGGGACTACAGCCACACACCACCACACCTAGCTAATTTTTAAAATTTTTTGTAAATATGGGGTCTCACTATGTTGCCCAGGCTGGTCTCGAACTCCTGCCCTCAAGCAATCATCCCGCCTTGGCCTCCCAAAGTGCTGGGATTACAGGATAAGCCACCATGCCCGGCTCCAAATTTCCCCAAGGAAGCCAGGGCCCACTCTACTCCAGTATGACCTCATCTCAACTAATTACATCTGCAATGACCCTATTTCCATACAAGATTGTCCTCTGATACTGGGCATTAGGATTTCCACTATGAATTTGGGGTCGGGGGAGACACAGTTCAATCCGTAACACCAGCCTCTGGTCCTAAGGTCCTGGGCAGCTAAGCCTGTGCACAAGCCGAGGGCAGCCAGTTGTGACTGCCCTGGCACTGGGCTGGTGGGGCCCACTGGCCTTCCAGGAATGCATCTCATCCCTCAGAGCCTCGCCCTACCCTCGGTTTCACACCCGTTTTACAAATGAGTCTCTGCTAGGACACCCTGGGAGTGCAAGTGAACAATTTATCTTTTTCCTTCTGGGAAAGCTCAGAACTGTGAATTAATTACCCAACTGGCGCTTCCCAAGGTGCAGTCATTAGCTCCTTGCCCCCCTTTGTTTTGCCCTTGCAGCAGCAAATGATGCTCTGGCAGGAAGACGGATGGGTCCGGGGTGTCCCCCAGTGGAGACTGGCATCCTCTGAGCCAGTGATTACTGTGGATGACTGATCCAGGGGGTGGAGAGGGGAGGCAGAGGCGAGAAGGGCGACAGGCCAGAGGCCCGATGCAGTAGTGACTTGGATCGGAGGAATCTCTGCCTGGCCAACAGGTCCTTCTTCTCAAGCACACTGTGACACGCCTTCCCCACATCTGACCCCAAACGATATGAGTATATGGGAAAACATGCTGATCTGTTCATCAGAAAGTCAGAGAGAGGAGAATGCAGGGTCTGTCCTGGGTACAAAGGCTGCATGTGTTTTGGGAGATGTATTGGTTTCCTGGGGCCGTCATAACAAATCACTGCAAACAGGGCTGCTCACAGCAACCGAAATTTATTCTCTCACCATTCTGAAGGCAGAAAGTCCAAAGTCGAGGTGTCGGCAGAGGTGGTTCCTTCCAGGTGTTATGAGGCCAAATCAGCCCCATGCCTCCTCTTCCAGCTTCCGGTGGCTCGCGACAATCTGGGGTCTCCTGGCTGGTGGATACATCACTCTACCCCCTGCCTCTGTCATCGCACGGTCCTCTCCCTGCGAGTCTTTGTGTCCAAGTTTTCTTAAGACATTCAGTCGCTGGATTTTGGATATACCCTAATTCATATGACCTCATCTTACCTTGATTACATCTGCAAAGACCCTATTTCCAGATAAGGTCACATTCACAGGGATTAAGGGGTAAGACTTCAACATATCTTCCTGGGGGGCACATTCCCATCCACTCCAGGGAAAAAGAAGTCCCCATGGCAGAGAAGAAGTTCTGTCTTCCTGTTTGCTTTAAAGAGAATCCTTTTATTGCAAGTGATTGAAAAAATAAAGTGGGCTTAAGGGAAAAATAGCAGGAGTGAGGAAGAGGATGTGTTACTTTCTAGGATGGAACAAGCAGCAGTGCATCCAACATCCATCCCGGATGGTTGGCCCAGGGGCTCCCTGTCTCTTCTCCTCTCTCTGTTTTCCTCTATATTTGCCTATTTGTCTTCATTCTCGGACAGCCCATTCTACGTAGCAGCCTCCGGAAGCTCTAGACTTGTTATTAAAGTTGTGCGGGTAACAGTTGCAGAGCAAAGACAGTTAACTCCCAGCATGTTCAGAAAAAGTCCTCCGTTGCCTCCTATTGGCCGGCGTGAGTCACTGGCTAAACATAGATCTGTTGACGGAATGGCCCAGGCCTGGTCACAAGTACCTCG
Organism: Homo sapiens; assembly: GCF_000001405.40. NCBI lineage: Eukaryota > Metazoa > Chordata > Mammalia > Primates > Hominidae > Homo > Homo sapiens. The sequence continues at coordinate 129,067,632 of NC_000012.12, read as the reverse complement.
CCCCAGCCCTGGCACCTGGAGAATGAGGAGCAAGTCCTCATCTAAACCACAGCATAGAGACTCAGAGGAGAGGTTCCAAAGGCAGCATGGAGACATTTTGCCATTAACTGGGGAGATGTATGCTGTTCTTGCAAAGCAATGCACCCCAGGACGCCCTTTCATTGCCTCCTCCTGGCTTCTGTGCTCCCAGATTCCATTCCCACGAGTTTTGCTTTCTAGACATTCAAGAAGACTCCTGAGCCAGTATTAACGGACCCCAGAGAATGCTGGGCCGTGGTGAAGAGTGGGAGTCAGCCCCTTCACAGAAAACCTCTGTGGGGCCACTGCAGAGACCCCGTCCTGTCTGGCCGAGTCCCCGTGAGCGCCCCCTCAGGGCCAGCACTCTGTGTAGCTGTTCTTTTTTGGACAGCCAGACCTTGAATTTTTCAAAGCTGTTTTTCCTGATGTTGAATCGAGCCTGACTCACCAATTATGCTAATGGACTCGGAGTCCGGTGGCCGATGATTGTCTTATGACTTTAAAAGCTTCCGCCAGGCTCTTCTTTGTTCCCCCTGCAGGCAGAGCATTGCGAGGCTCCTGGGTGTATCTTCTAAGTAGGCAGTCAATGTTTTCTAAATGAAAATTAACAGAGTGACCTTTAAAAAACATGATTTAAATCATGTCACTCCTGGCTTAAAACCCTCCAGTAGAGGCCCATAATTCCTGGAATAAAGTCTGGACTCCATCATATGACCAAAAGGTCTTATGTGATGCAGAGGTGCCTGCCACCCACCCTCACGCCCACCACCCGCCCACTCGCTCACTGCGCTCCAACCCCACCGGTTTCCTTCTGTCTATTCCTCTGTCAAAAGAAGTGCACTCGCGGCTGGGCGCAGTGGCTCACGCCTGTAATCCCAGCACTTTGGGAGGCCGAGGTGGGCGGCTCATCTGAGGTCAGGAGTTCGAGACCAGCCTAGCCAACGTGGCGAAACCCCGTCTCTACTAAAAATACAAAAATTAGCCTGGCGTGGTGGTGGGCACCTATAATCCCAGCTACCTGGGAGGCTGAGGCAGGAGAGTCGATTGAACCTGGGAGGCGGAGGTTTCAGTGAGCCAAAATCGAGCCACTGCAGTCTAGCCTGGGCAACAGAGTGATACTCCATCTCAAGAAAAAGAAAAAAAAAAAAGAAAATAAAAAGAAAGAAGCGTACTCCCACCTCAAGGCCTTTGCCCATACTGCTTCTTTATGGAACTCTATTCCCCCAGATTCTCAAGGTCTCACCCCTCCCCATCATGCATGTCTCGGCTCATACTTCTATTCCTAAGAGAACACATCAGAGCAGCCTCACCCCTCCCATGCCACTTTCTTCCACTCTGATCATCTTATATAGTTCATAGCGTTTAAAGCGCCCTAAAATTGTTCTGTTTGCTTTTAGCTTATTGTGTGTCTTCCCTAGTAGAATGTGAGTTCCAGAGGAGTAAGGAGATAGTTGAATCTGTTCCCTGCTATATACCCTATGACTAGAGTCATGCCTACAAAGAGTCAGCAATCAATAAACATTTTTTGGATGAATGGTTGCATGGCTAGATGATGGTGGATTGGTGGATGGGTAGATGGATGGATGAATGGATGAAGGCTCATTAGATAAATGGATGGTAGATGGCTGGATGGTTGGATGGTGGATGGATAAATGGATGGATGAAAGTTCACTAGATGAATAGATGAATGGTGGGTGGTTGGATGGATGGATGGATGCACGGATGGATGAAGTTTGATTAGATGGACAGATAGATGTGGATGATGGTGGACGGATGGATGGATGGACAGATAGATAATAAATGGTTTACAGAGCATGAGTGATGAAAGCACAATCTGATAAATTTAAGTTAGCCACCTAGTGAGAACCAGGAGACTGAATGCTGCCTGAGGATTGATTTTATATAATCCAATTGCTCTGCTATATGGACGTGACACTAGCGTCTTTCACTGGGCCAAAGACAAGCCTTCATCATCTCTGTACTGGTCATTTCAGGGGAGACAAAAATAAATTAGATGCAATTTCTTCCCTCAAGAGACACATAGAAAATAAAACCTCTTGTCATCTCTTTCTATAGCAACCTTGCTGGCTTTCTTTCTAGGCCTAGCCCTGTGTGAATGAAGCACGGTTTAAAAGAAACAGCCCTTCCTCCTCAGATTAAGCTTACTTAATGGAAGCCTTCCCCTTAACCAGGTTTCTGCCAGTCATATTCCATACAGTTGATAACTCCAGTCTACTGGTAAGTAGACATTTTCCTGGCTGGTTCATGTTTCCAAGAAAAGGGAGGGGTCTCTTCTTCCTCTATAGCCCCTCCAATACTTGATACATGTTTGGGCTTGGGAGTTGAGGCACAGACAGTATTGCCCAGTGCATTTCCCAGCTGCCTTGCAGTTCAGGTGGGGGCACGCAGCCAATTCTTGGGAACGGCCATGAACAGTAATGAGAGCTGTCACTTCCAATGACAACAGGTAAGAGCCAGTGTGAGCTCTCCATGTGCACGTTGACACGTGGCATCACATGAGGGAATCTGGAGAGCACCTCGTCCACATCAGACTCTTTTCAGCAAGAAACAGACCCTTGTTCTGCAATACCACTGGTATGTTGGGTTGTTTATTACTGTAGCAGCCCGCCCCCTGACCTGATGAATACAAGACTTATTAATTTATCAGATGCTGCTCGGCTTAGTGAGTAGCTGCATTCCAACAAGCACATCTTCATGTGGAAGCGGGAACTTGGTGGGAAAGGCGAGGGTTGGATTCAGGCCAAACTTGGTTACTTTTCCCTTTTAAGGTTCTGCCTGACCTGGGCGCCCAAGAAATCTTGGCCTGAAGGAGCAGAACAGATGCATCATCCTGAGCGTGAAGAGGCCTCCCGAGGCCTCATTGTGATTTTTATTAGCAGCTGCAGGAAAGCGACAGTTGCCTGCCTTGCTCCTTGTGCTCGTGGCGGGTGTGAGCTCATTAGTCCGCTGACTGTCTGCTTTGCTCTGTCTGCAGTGATGCTGCCCAGAAGCCTGGCTTTCCCTAGAAGGCCCCTGTGCTGGTCAGTCCTCCAGCTGCCCTGCCTGCCCTCCTTCTCTGCTCCATGCAGATGTGCATTAGTGTGGGAGGTACTGACCCAGCTCCAAAGAGTCAGGCTCTTCTGGGTTGCACGTCCTTGTGCCTCCCCACAGCTTCCTTGGACACTGCAAGCAGCTTAATGTCAGGAAACAGCAGGCCTGAGCTCCGTGCCAGCTGCCTCTCCTTCTGAGAGTGGCAGATGTGAGCTGCCTTCCAAGCTCAAACCTCAGCGTGGCCTCTGCTGCTCAAAGAAAAGTGGAGGCTGCCCAACGGCTCCTGTGCTCCCCGTTCGTTTTTGAAGTGTTTTATGATGTTAAGAGTTGATTCCGTAATACAGCCAGGAAACAAACACAAGCCACTCTTGTCCCTGAGCCTCCAGTTCATCACTATAGCGTGCAGAGAATGTCACTTGGACTGTGCACCCCTTGAAAAGGCCTTGCAGCTGGTAAAGGTCTGCGTGGACCCCCCAGCTTTTCACAACATACCGGTGGCTCTGCCTGAGCATGCCTCTGTGGACCCCAATTCCTGTGCTTTTGTTGGCGGTTACTGCTGCTACTTAAGACACACCCTTTCTCATCTGTATGTCCAAAGCTTTTTTTACTCCCCAACTTCCACTTCCATGACCCCAGTTCAGCCCCATGGCTTCAGTCTGTGCCCGCTGCTTCCCTGTGCCAAGCCTTTGCTAGAGCAGGTGAGCCCCATCCCACCAGAAGTCCGGGCCACCTCAGTAAGGTGGCTGGAGTGACCTTACAGGGGCAGCCACAAGACCTCCACCAAGCAGCAGCCTCTTCTTGGCATGCATGCAGGAAGAGCTGTTCAAACAAACACTCAGCAGAGGTGACCATCTTGAATTGGACACAAGGGTCCCTGAGACTGTGTTATGTGGCATCGTCTGGCTAGGAGCCAACTCTACCTTGGCCAGCCGTTGGCCTCCCCCTAGCCTGGTGGGTCTGCAGAGAAGCTGGAGTTACTTAAGCCCAAGGCCTCAAGCCAGCCTTCTCTTGAACTCCAGGCCTTGTAACAAAACAGATCGTGGTCTTCCAACCTCAAGAAGGGTAGTGAAGGCTACACCCCAGAAAAGAGATGAACGCCAATGAAAATAGAGATTTTTGTCCTTCCTAGCAGGTCCCTAGAAGACAAAATCACCAGCGCCTTCTTCTATCCCTATCATTTCAGGAAGATGTAAACCAAGAATATCTCTCAAGTCACCAGATTAAGCTAAATATCTCAGTGCATAATTTCCCTTTTCAAAATTTCCATTGTTCCATGAAAAAGAACCATCCCTGTCCACCTTCAGGGTGGGTTTTCTGGGCCCCCCCGTCCTTAAGGGGCAGGAGATTCCTTCCTATCATCCTCCTGCCCTGGCACCTGCAGTGTCTTCAGACACCACATGAGGTAGACTTTGCTGCTCTCTTGGGGTGGTTCTGTCCATTCCCAAGGGGCATTCTCCCAGCCATGACTGTCACCTATGATTTACCATGGGGAAGATAGTCACTGAGCCTGGAGGGACCCTGGCGCAGAGCTCAGGCACCAGTAAGTGAGATGACTTCCCAAATTATATTTTTCTCCTTTGATAAATAAACAAAATCTAAGTTCTCCCAGTTTCAAAGAGCCTCAAGGAATATGCAAAACTCACTGTTGTCCCTTAGGTATTTGAAAATAACTATGGTTAACAACAACAACAAAAAATCATCTGGGTCCATGGCCTAGCAAATCCCTGCTTCTTCCCTACTTTTGAGATGCTTTAAAGTATACGAAGGTTTTGAAAATAATTCCCCATCTGTCTTGCTGCTCCTCAAATAACTGATACATAATCAATATGTGCAATTAAAATTTTCCATTTGTTGATATATAATTGGACAGACAAATAGCCTGAGCTCTAAGTGTCAATATATAGATCTTGGCAAGGAGGATAATCTTCTACGAGCAGCTATTAGTCATATCATACACCTGCTTGGGAAGATTTCAGTAACTTTGTGTTGGAGAATATGAATCACTGGAGATTCTAGTCCATTAAAGATTCTAGTCTTGATCTTCAGGCTCCAAATGTCAAAGGAATTTTGTCAGAGTCACATGGCTAGGAAGTGGCAAAGCTACATGTTTTGGATAACCAGCAATTATTGGGTACAGCACAATAGCTTCCAAACCCCTTTTCTTTTTTTTCTAGTTTATTCCTTCATTTTTTTTAATTTTATCATTATTATATTTTAAGTTTAAGGGTACATGTGCACAACGTGCAGGCCAAACCCCTTTTCTATTACCTTCACAAATTCCCTGGGGCATCACCTGCCCTTCTTGAGCACATTCTTGATAGAACAGTAAAGGCCAGGGGCTGAGTTTTGCCACCAAAGTTAAAGGGTTGGGGCCTTCCTGCCAGCACTGGGTGTCCAGCCAGCAGGTGAGTGCAGCCTGATCCAGGGGAACCAGGCAGATGCTCTTTTGTGGGCTAGGGACTCCCAAACAAATGACCCAGAGACAAAGCAGCAGATAGAATGCACCCATCCCGGGTGGAGCCAAGATGGCTGAATAGGAACAGCTCCAGTCTACAGCTCCCAGCGTGAGCGACACAGAAGACGGGTGATTTCTGCATTTCCAACTGAGGTACCGGGTTCATCTCACTGGGGAGTGCCAGACAGTGGGTGCAGGAGAGTGGGTGCAGGGCACCGTGCATGAGCCGAAGCAGGGCAAGGCATTGCCTCACCTGGGAAGCACAAGGGGTCAGGGAATTCCCTTTCCTAGTCAAAGAAAGGGGTGACAGACGGCACCTGGAAAATTGGGTCACTCCCACCCTACTACTGCGCTTTTCCAATGGGCTTAACAAATGGCACACCAGGAGATTATATCCTGCACATGGCTCAGAGAGTCCTATGCCCACAGAGCCTCGCTCATTGCTAGCACAGCAGTCTGAGATCAAACTGCAAACCGGCAGCTAGGCTGGGGGAGGGGCGCCTGCCATTGCTCAGGCTTGAGTAGGTAAACAAAGCAGCCGGGAAGCTAGACCTGGGTGGAGCCCACCACAGCTCAAGGAGGCCTGCCTGCCTCTGTAGGCTCCACCTCTGGGAGCAGGGCACAGACAAACAAAAGACAGCAATAACCTCTGCAGACTTAAATGTCCCTGTCTGATAGCTTTGAAGAGAGTAGTGCTTCTCCCAGCACGCAGCTTGAGATCTGAGAACGGGCAGACTGCCTCCTCAAGTGGGTCCCTGACCCCCGAGTAGCCTAACTGGGAGGCACCCCCCAGTAGAGGCGGAATGACACCTCACACAGCTGGGTACTCCTCTGAGACAAAACGTCCAGAGGAACGATCAGGCAGCAGCATTTACGGTTCACCAATATCCGCTGTTCTGCAGCCACCGCTGCTGATATGCAGGTAAACAGGGTCTGGAGTGGACCTCCAGTAAACTCCAACAGACCTGCAGCTGAGGGTCTTGACTGTTAGAAGGAAAACTAACAAACAGAAACGACATCCACACCAAAAACCCACCTGTACGTAACCATCATAAAAGACCAAAGGTAGATAAAACCACAAAGATGGGGAAAAAACAGAGCAGAAAAACTAGAAAATCTAAAAATCAGAGCTCCTCTCCTCCTCCAAAGGAATGCAGCTCCTCACCAGCAACAGAACAAAGCTGGATGGAGAATGACTTTGACGAGTTGAGAGAGGAAGTCTTCAGAAGATCAAACTACTCTGAGCTAAAGGAAGAAGTTCGAACCAATGGCAAAGAAGTTAAACACTTTGAAAAAAAATTAGATGAATGGATAACTAGAATAACCAATGCAAAGAAGTCCTTAAAGGACCTGATGGAGCTGAAAACCACGGCACGAGAACCACGTGACGAATGCACAAGCCTCAGTAACCGATGCGATCACCTGGAAGAAAGGGTATCAGTGATGGAAGACGAAATGAATGAAATGAAGTGAGAAGAGAAGTTTAGAGAAAAAAGAATAAAAAGAAACGAACAAAGCCTCCAATAAATATGGGACTATGTGAAAAGACCAAATCTATGTCTAATTGGTGTACCTGAAAGTGACGGGGAGAATGGAACCAAGTTGGAAAACACTCTGCAAGATATTATCCAGGAGAACTTCCCCAATCTAGCAAGGCAGGCCAACATTCAAATTCAGGAAATACAGAGAACACCACAGAGATAATCCTCAAGAAGAGCAACTCCAAGACACATAATTGCCAGATTCACCAAAGTTGAAATGAAGGAAAAAATGTTAAGGGCAGCCAGAGAGAAAGGTCGGGTTACCCACAAAGGGAAGCACCTCAGACTAACAGCTGATCTCTTGGCAGAAACTCTACAAGCCAGAAGAGAGTGGGGGGCAATATTCAACATTCTTAAAGAAAAGAATTTTCAACCCAGAATTTCATATCCAGCCAAACTAAGCTTCCTAAGTGAAGGAGAAATAAAATACTTTACAGACAAACAAATGCTGAGAGATTTTGTCACCACCAGGCCTGTCCTAAAAGAGCTCCTGAAGGAAGAAGCACTAAACATGGAAAGGAACAACCGGTACCAGCCACTGCAAAAACATGCCAAATTGTAAAGACCATCGAGGCTAGGAAGAAACTGCATCAACTAATGAGCAAAATAACCAACTGACATAATAATGACAGGATCAAATTCACATATAACAATACTAACTTTGAATGTAAATAGGCTAAATGCTCCAATTAAAAGACACAGACTGGCAAATTGGATAAAGAGTCAAGACCCATCAGTGTGCTGTATTCAGGAAACCCATCTCACGTGCAGACACACACATAGGCTCAAAATAAAGGGATGGAGGAAGATCTACCAAGCAAATGGAAAACAAAAAAAAGGCAGGGGTTGCAATCCTAGTCTCTGATAAAACAGACTTTAAACCAACAAAGATCAAAAGAGACAAAGAAGGCCATTACATAATGGTAAAGGGATCAATTCAACAAGAAGAGCAAACTATCCTAAATATATATGCACCCAATACAGGAGCACCCAGATTCATAAAGCAAGTCCTTAGCAACCTACAAAGAGACTTAGACTCCCACACAATAATAATGGGAGACTTTAACACCCCACTGTCAACATTAGACAGATCAACAAGACAGAAAGTTAACAAGGATACCCAGGAATTGAACTCAGTTCTGCACCAAGCAGACCTAATAGACATCTACAGAACTCTCCACCCCAAATCAACAGAATATACATTCTGTTCAGCACTACACCACACCTGTTCCAAAATTGACCACATAGTTGGAAGTAAAGCACTCCTCAGCAAATGTCAAAGAACAGAAATTATAACAAACTGTCTCTCAGACCACAGTGCAATCAAGCTAGAACTTAGGATTAAGAAACTCACTCAAAACCACTCAACTACATGGAAACTGAACAACCTGCTCCTGAATGACTACTGGATGCATGACGAAATGAAGGCAGAAATAAAGATGTTTTTTTAAACCAACGGGAACAAAGACACAACAACAAAGATTCAACAACATGCCAGAATCTCTGGGACACATTCAAAGCAGTGTGTAGAGGGAAATTTATAGCACTAAATGCCCACAAGAGAAAGCAGGGAAGATCTAAAATTGACACCCTAACATCACAATTAAAAGAACTAGAGAAGCAAGAGCAAACACATTCAAAAACTAGCAGAAGGCAAGAAATAACTAAGATCAGAGCAGAACTAAAGGAAATAGAGACACAAAAAACCCTTCAAAAAATCAATGAATCCAGGAGCTGGTTTTTTGAAAAGATCAACAAAATTGATAGACCGCTAGCAAGACTAATAAGAAAAGAGAGAAGAATCAAATAGACGCAATAAAAAATGACAAAGGGGATATCACCACCAATCCCACAGAAATACAAACTACCATCAGAGAATACTAGAAACACCTCTATGCAAATAAACTAGAAAATTTAGAAGAAATGGATAAATTCCGCGACACATACACTCTCCCAAGACTAAACCAGGAAGAAGTTGAATCTCTGAAGAGACCAATAACAGGCTCTGAAATTGAGGCAATAATTAATAGCTTACCAACCAAAAAAAGTCCAGGAACAGATGGATTCACAGCCGAATTCTACCAGAGGTACAAGGAGGAGCTGATACCATTCCTTCTGAAACTATTCCAATCAATAGAAAAAGAGGGAATCCTCCCTAACTCATTTTACGAGGCCAGCATCATCCTGATACCAAAGCCTGACAGAGACACAATAAAAAAAGAGAATTTTAGACCAATATCCCTGATAAACATTGATGCAAAAATCCTCAATAAAATACTGGCAAACCGAATCCAGCAACACATCAAAAAGCTTATCCACCATGATCAAGTGGGCTTCGTCCCTGGGATGCAAGGCTGGTTCAACATACGAAAATCAATAAACATAATCCAGCATATAAACAGAACCAAAGACAAAAACCACATGATTATCTCAACAGATGGAAAAAAGGCCTTTGACAAAATTCAACAACCCTTCATGCTTAAAACTCTCAATAAATTAGGTATTGATGGGACGTATCTCAAAATAATAAGGGCTATCTATGACAAACCCACAGCCAATATCATACTGAATGGACAAAAACTGGAAGCATTCCCTTTGAAAACTGGCACAAGACAGGGATGCCCTCTCTCACCACTCCTATTCAACATAGTGTTGGAAGTTCTGGCCAGGGCAATCAGGCAGGAGAAGGAAATAAAGGGCATTCAATTACGAAAAGAGGAAGTCAAATTTTCCCTGTTTGCAGATAACATGATTGTATATCTAGAAAACCCCATCATCTCAGCCCAAAATCTCCTTAAGCTGATAAGCAACTTCAGCAAAGTCTCAGGATACAAAATCAATGTGCAAAAATCACAAGCATTCTTCTACGCCAATAACAGACAAACAGAGAGCCAAATCATGAGTGAACTCCCATTCACAATTGCTTCAAAGAGAATAAAATACCTAGGAATCCAACCTACAAGGGATGTGAAGGACCTCTTCAAGGAGAACTACAAACCACTGCTCAATGAAATAAAAGAGGATACAAACAAATGGAAGAACATCCCATGCTCACGGGTAGGAAGAATCAATATCGTGAAAATGGCCATACTGCCCAAGGTCATTTACATATTCAATGCCATCCCCATCAAGCTACCAATGACTTTCTTCATAGAATTGGAAAAAACTACTTTAAAGATTATATGGAACCAAAAAAGAGCCCGCATCGCCAAGTCAATCCTAAGCCAAAAGAACAAAGCTGGAGGCATCACACTATCTGACTTCAAACTATACTACAAGGCTACAGTAACCAAAACAGCATGTACTGGTACCAAAACAGAGATATAGACCAATGGAACAGAACAGAGCCTTCAGAAATAAGGCTATCTACGCATATCTACAACTATCTGATCTTTGACAAACCTGACAAAAACAAGCAATGGGGAAAGGATTCCCTATTTAATAAATGGTGCTGGGAAAACTGGCTAGCCATATGTAGAAAGCTGAAACTGGATCCCTTCCTTACACCTTATACAAAAATTAATTCAAGATGGATTAAAGACTTACATGTTAGACCTAAAACCATAAAAACCCTAGAAGAAAACCTAGGCAATACCATTCAGGACATAGGCATGGGCAAGGACTTCATGTCTAAAACACCAAAAGCGATGGCAGCAAAAGCCAAAATTGACAAATGGGATCTAATTAAACTGAAGAGCTTCTGCACAGCAAAAGAAACCACCATCAGAGTGAACAGGCAACCTACAGAATGGGAGAAAATTTTTGCAACCTACTCATCTGACAAAGGGCTAATATCCAGAATCTACAACGAACTTAAACAAATTTACAAGAAAAAAACAAACAACCCCATCAAAAAGTGGGCAAAGGATATGAACAGACACTTCTCGGAAGAAGACATTTATGCAGCTAAAAAACTCATGAAAAAATGCTCATCACTGGCCATCAGAGAAATGCAAATCAAAACCACAACGAGATACCATCTCACACCAGTTAGAATGGCGATCATTAAAAAGTCAGGAAACAACAGGTGCTGAAGAGGATGTGGAGAAATAGGAACACTTTTACACTGTTGGTGGGACTGTAAACTAGTTCAACCATTGTGGAAGTCAGTGTGGTGATTCATCAGGGATCTAGAACTAGAAATACCATTTGACCCAGCCATCCCATTACTGGGTATATACCCAAAGGATTATAAATCATGCTGCTATAAAGACACATGCACACGTATGTTTATTGCGGCACTATTCACAATAGCAAAGACTTGGAAACAACCCAAATGTCCAACAATGATAGACTGGATTAAGAAAATGTGGCACATATACACCATGGAATACTATGCAGCCATAAAAAAGGATGAGTTCATGTCCTTTGTAGGGACATGGATGAAGCTGGAAACCATCATTCTCAGCAAACTATCGCAAGGACAAAAAACCAAACAGTGCATGTTCTCACTCATAGGTGGGAATTGAACAATGAGAACACATGGACACAGGAAGGGGAACATCACACACCGGGGCCTGTCGTGGGGTTGGGGGAGTGGGGAGGGATAGCATTAGGAGATATACCTAATGCTAAATGACAAGTTAATGGGTGCAGCACACCAACATGGCATATGTATACATATGTAACAAACCTGCACGTTGTGCACATGTACCCTAAAACTTAAAGTATAATAATTAAAAAAAAGAATTAATGATACTATTAAAAAAAAAAAAAGAATGCACCCATGCCACCAGGAGCCACTTGCCCAGTTGTTTATGCTTGGGATCATTCCACAGTGTCTGTCTTCCAGCCTCCAAAGCCACCCTGTTCCCTGTCTATTTCTCAACTCCCTGTTGATTCTGCGAGTTCCCAGTGGCCTTCCAGTAAATCGTATTTTACTTTAGTAATGAGGTCCATTTCTTGCTTACAACTAAACATCCTATCTGATAAAACTGGTCTTCCTCTCAGATGCTGCCTGATAAGAAAAGGACGTCTGTTGTCCCAGTGTGACATCCAGGCCACAGTCAGCTGGGGAATCTCTGATGCCCTACATTTTGATAAGGCCCCATATCAGATAGGGTACAAGGCAGGCTTCTAGGGAAAAGAAAATTGAGACATTTATTTCAAGTGCTAGTTTAGAAAGGAATGGTCCATGGCCAGGGGAGGCTCTGCCTCTGACTCAACGAGCTCACCTAGGGATGCACTTCCTTCTACCGAGATGCTCCTCCAAGAATTGCCCTCATCTACAGCCTTGCTCCACCCCAGCACTGCTGGCATTTTGGGGTGGATGATCCTCTGTGGGGGGACTGTCCCGTGCATCATACGGTGTGTAGCAGCACCCCTGGCCTCCACCCATCAGAGCTGGTCACCCCCTCCACCCACCAGAGCCAGTCACCCCTGCCGTTGGGACAAAACTGTGTCACAACCTCAGTGCCCTCATTCCAACCCGCAGGGAGAAAGGAGGAAATAAAAGGCAGTGGTGGCTGAGCAAGCTCCTTTAGGACCTGGCCTACGCCAGGCAACTCCCTCTGCTTCATTAGCACGAACTTGTCCCCAGGTCACTCCAGCTGGAGGGGAGGCAGGGAGGTGCCTCCAGCTGAGCAGCATGGGCCTGGCTAAAGCACAGGGGGTCTTTTTACTAAATGGCGGGGAGAAGTCATAGGCTCTGGAAACAAACAGCAGTCTGTCACAGGTCCTGACAGACCACTGTAAATGCCCCTCTCACGGGATCAACAAGAGGCAGGGCAGAGAGGCCTGGATTCAGGTTATCTCAGCTGGATATATGTGGCGATAATTATATATGCACATGTGTTTAACACACATACACACAGCACACATATAAAGCATACATGTGCATAATACAGGCACACATACATGTACTTATGTTTATGTAACATACCACACATATACATTATACATGCATGTACATTGTTATATGTGTATCTACACTCATGTATATATACATAGAAAACTCACATGTACATAATGCATACACGTACACCTATACTTATATGCATAAATAACACACATATTTAACATATATATATATATATACTCTGTTTCTTGGGTTCTCTAGGGACGGGGGACCTAGAACATAGAGAAGTTGTAAGAAAAGTCAGTGGGCATCATCTCTGATGGGCAAAAGTATATTCCCCATTGCTGCAGCAAAGCCAGTGGGTTCAGAGCAGGAGCTTTGGGGTCATAGGGACACGGATTTGAGCTTGCTGCTGGTGCTAACCCCATGGTACAGAAGATGCAATGAAGGTTTAAATGGTGGAGGTTTTGAGGGTGGACAGTCGCTGGTTGGAATCTATGCTCCGCTAATTCCTAGCTGAGGAAGTTTACTGACTCTCTATTCCTTAATGACTATTCCCTTGTTTACTTCACTCTAATCCTCAATTATTTCATATGTGAAATGGGATGATAGTTGTTCAAACATCATAGAGTTGTGAGGGGGGGTGAGGAAATGGTGCACATTGGCTGGCTATAGGAAGCGCTCAGTAACCAGGAATTATCGCAGCTGTAAATATCACCAGGTTAGTCCTTCACGGATGCTGAGGGGTGGATTACAGCGCTGGGCTAGGTCAGTGGTTCCTGAAACCTACTTGGAGAGCTTTTACAAAATCTAGATAGAAAAGCACCCCCCCCCCTCTGAGGAATTTGCGGTTGATTGATCAGGGGCAGGGCCTAGGAGTTTGTATTTGTAAAGGCTTCCCCCAGTTGATTCTGATGTACAGCCAGGTTTGGGAACTGGCCTTCCAATGCTAAAATTTTATATTCCAATTCTTTAACTTCACTCTCTGTCCTTTTATCTTCAAGCTGGAAATCCCAGCCTTGGTCCCTTCCCAAGCCATTAATAAGCATTTACGACTCTCTGTCATCCTTCCTCCTTCCAGTCCCGATCAATGGTTCTCCTCTTAGTATTTGGCACTCCTCTTCATGCACTGGGCAGGCTCTCAAGGTCAGTGATGGGCAAAGAATCTTCTCTTTAAATAATAATGCTGACCTGCAGGATTCTGTGTTCCTGAACCATTCAGCGGCGATTGGATTTAAAGCAGCCCTCTGCTGTGTGTGTGCGTGGCAGAGTGAGATGAGAGTCACACTCAGTAGAATGCTGTTGGGAAGACCAGTGCTGAATACTGCAGAGGTGTGGCGAGCGAATGAATTCAGTGCAGAAGGTGGCTGCCGGCCACAGACACTGCTGCCACCGATGACGAATGAGCCTCCAGAAGCCAGCTGCAAGGAGCTCCGCTCCTGTACGGAGCCTGCATGCAGATACTTAGATAGCTCGCCAGAAAAAAAGGCAAGACTTGACTCTTCAAAGTACATGAGGTAATTTATCCTACAGTTGGACCCGTGCATTTGCACAACAGATAAAGGCATAAGGGTATTTCTTGCAGAGCTTACTGTCGTGATGAAACACTGGGAACAACCTAAATGGCCTTCAGTAGAAAGCTAGCTAAGGAGTTCATGGGGCCCTCTGCTTCTGTGGGGTTATGACAGCACCTCAGTCCCCATGGACATAGTACTGGCTTCCAAGGCTGTAAAGGGCTGATATGGGCTCTTCCAGCCCTGTGTGGACCCCATAAGTGTCTCCAAGCTTCGATGCCAGTGTGGACTCTATTGTCTAGTGGTGTGGACTGGTATAATGGGTTGATTATACCAATTCTTCTCCCCATGTGCACATCATTTCCCTTTTTTCAGTTTGTAATATTTAATTGATATTCTATGTACTCAAAGCATACAACATGATAATTTGATATTATATATACATTGTGTAGTTATTTTCAATATATCTCTGTACTGTGTCGGTTGGGGGGAGTATATTTCTCCACTTTTTGAATCTCAGCTGACCTTTCCACTTGCCTTAAGTTCACAAAATACAGTAGATGGAACATTGTGCCAGCTCCAAACCTAAGTGTCAAGAACCCTTGAATGCTCCTGCTCATTCTTTAGAACTTTCTGGCTCCATAGTAACAAGCCCAGGCTAGCTTGCTGAGGAATGAGTCATGTAGAACAGTTGCCCTTGTCAAGGCTGCAAACATAAGACAGCCCAGCCAGCTGACCATAGAAACATCAGTAAACTCAGCCAAGATTTAAGAACTGTCCAGCCAATGCAGAGATGCATGCATTGGATAAATGTTTATTAACACTGGGTTTAGTACTTGTGGGTTTAGTGCTTGTATATTATGCAGCAGGAGCTAACTGATACATCTGGGTGGGGCTATGGTGGTTCCCTAATCTTTATTATAGAGTCAATGTGGCTTCTTGTTATCACATAGCATTCTGTAGGCCCCATAGTATAAAGGATCTGCGGAGTCTCTTCTCTGGACACATAAAGTCACCCCAGGCTTCCAGGACCCCCATATATGCCTCAGAAGCAGAAGAGTCAGAGCTCACCATCATCGAAATAAGTGTCTCTGGCACTATGATGATCTCTGGGGAAGAAGGCATGGGCAGCTGTGATCCAGAGGCAGCAGAACAGTGGCTATCATTGTGGTTGGCTTTTTCAGTGGGGATATTAAGGTTTACAAGGGAAGTCAGTGTCATCAGTTTACACCAGTGGTGATACATGGCAAAGACAAGGTTGGAATCTGGATGGCAACGTTGTCTCCATACTGTCCCCCTGGGGCAGGAAACTCAAGTACCTGCCAGGGCCAGCCAGGTAATGAAATGTGTGAGTCGTCATACCCGACTGCATTTTCTTCAGCACAGAAGCACGTTGCTTGCATATTAAACAGGTGCACAGAATCTTTACGTGCACAGAGAATGAGCCTCTCTATCATTGTTCTTGGAACACAAGCATGACTGGCTTCCCTCTTGACTCTCCCATAAGAAGCACATGAGCGCACACATCATGATATACAGCAACTGACAATTGGGTTTAGTGTCAGGAGGACAATTAAAAGGGGTAGGGACTGAGGAGATGTTTTTCCAAAAGGGGTGACCACCCCTTCACATCAGGCATGTGGAAATGCAAGCCCAGTGTCTTCAAGCTTTTGAAATTTTCAGAAGAATCAGGAAGTTTCAATCTGTATGTGAAACCTTCAGATAGGCAATTCTTAGCAGCTATCTAACAAATAAATCATGTTGGGATTGTAGGAAATAATAAATGAAGGAGGTTATACTCTTTGACAGTGTGGTTAAAATAAAAATAACAGATAAAATGAATTGAGTGCTCACAAACACAATGTTAAGCAAAAGAAGACACAAAAGAGCAATATACTATATGATTGCATTTGTAGGAAGGTCAACAACAGGCAAAATAATATATAATGATATGAGTCCAAATAGTGGTTACTGTTAAGGTTATATTGCCTAGAAGGGGTATGAGAAAGCCTTCAAGGAGTACTGCTAATGTCCTATATCTTAATCTGGGTGGTGGTTTCAGGAGTGGTTACATATTTAAACATTTGTAGGCTGGGTGCAGTGGCTCATGCCTGTTATCCCAGCACTTTGGGAGGCTGAGACAGGCAGATTTCTTAAGCTCAGGAGTTCAAGAACAGCCTGGGCAACATGGCAAACCCTGTCTCTTCAAAAAATACAAAAGTTAGCCAGCTGTGGTGGTGCATGCCTATAGTCCCAACTACTTGGGAAGCTAAGGTGGGAGGATCACTTGAGCCCAGGAGGTCGAGATTGCAGTGAGCCAAGATCATGCCACTGCACTTCAGCCTGGGCAACAGAGTAAGATCCTATCTCAAAAATAAAAATAAATACAAATTTTAACAAAAATAAAAATATGCAGTTCTGTGCATTTTCCTAAACCTAAATTATAGTTCTATCAATATAACAATAGTGATAATAATATAAACTATAAACAACTGTATGTTATAAATATGAAAAAAAAGAAAAATAGGCAAAATGTATTGAGCACTATGTGCCAAACACTGATCAAGGATAGTTCACATATTTCATTCTCACAACTACCCTATGGTGGCAAATGTTACCATTCCTAATCTATAAATGAGAAAATTGAGGTTCATAAAAGCCATGGAAGTTCCCCAAGTTCATACAGCTCATACACAGCAGATATGGGCTATGAAATTAGTGCACCTGGCCCCAGAGCCTGCATTCGTAACCCCCACCCTATGCACAGACGTGGTGTGCCTGCACACTCTCGCACACACGGTAACAAACTCAACTTATATCTCTATATGCCCACTACAGAGAGGACCCAATTTAATTTCCTCTTTTTACATTTTTGTTTACAAAGCATTCAGCTGTTCAAGTGAGGCTACAACTTCTAAGTGATTCAGAGTTTTCCACAGCTGAAAACAATACATATTTCCTGTCATTTATATCCATAGATTAAATGTCCTGTGTGAAAAGTTATCATATTAATTGCAGCTTCTCAATCTGTTAACTGTGCTGGGTGAGTAGTGACCATGCATTTATGATACCAAGGCTGAGCCCAGAAGTCACCCAACTTGGTCATTACCACAGCAAGGCAGGGGCTGATGGGTAGATCTGTCCATGGTGCTGATTAACTCACTAGAGAATAAACAAGGCTATTCCCGCCCATTTAGATGCAAGCTCTGGTATTTTCCCTTGCTCTGAAAAGGAGGAGTTTAGGATCAAGACCACTTGAGATGAATTGGATTCTATTTTCAAGCCAGCCAGATCAGGGTGAAGTTGGCTAAGCTTTTCCAAAAGCTGTATTTGAGGAGAAGGTAGCAAGGCAAGGCTTAAGTGGACCCATGAAGAACAGAGGTTAAGGCTTTATTAAAAAAAAAAAGAAAAAAAAAAGAATTAAGAAAAAGTTCTTTGGCTGGGTGCAGTGTGCAGTGCTCATGCCTGTAATTCCAGGGTGTCTGGAGGCTCATGCCTGTAATTTAGGTGTCTGAAGTGGAGGATTGCTTGAGCCCAGGGGTTCAAAACCAGCCTGGGCAACAAAGCGAATTAAAAAATTAGCCAGCCATGATGGTACATGCCTGTAGTCCCAGCTACATGGGAGGCTGAGGTGGTAGGATTGCATAAGCCTGGGAGGTTGAGGCGGAAGTGAGACATGATTACGCCACTGCACTCCAGCCTGGGAGACAGAGCAAGACCCTGCCTCCAAAGAAGAAAAGAAAAGAAAGAAAAAGGAAAGAAAATCAAAAGAAAAAAAAGCAATTTGATGCATAAATCTTATGCTAGTTACAAATTCTGAAGCACAAATGATATACTGTCAGCAAAGGATTATATAGGTCTGGTCAGGAGGACATTAATTACAGTCTCTTAATTCCCCGTGGGAAATGGTGTTCTGTCTGTCCAGGATTACAGGTAGTCTCAAATGGGGTTTACCAAGGCTCTTGCAGCCCCAGCTATGTTACTCTGAAGTAGCTGTGAGGTAGCAACCTCATAAATCCCTTTCCTGGTTTCAAAAATGACTTTAGTAAACCACAGCTCCTAAATCTCACATGCCATTTTGAGTATGATTATAGGTATTTCCCTATATTGTCCACAGATTATATGAAAATGACAAAGCATCACCTATGCAAAGTTATGCTTCAACTATTTAAGAAAGAACTATTTAAGACAGAAAGAATTCAAATCCTACAGGGCTTGAGAGGGACTGGGCATGGCATGCTTAGCCAGGACCTACACAGAACTGCCATGGCCACCAGATTATTGCTAAAAGCAGCAAATACTTTCTCCACTATTCCCAAAATAAATAATATATCTAGTCTACTTTGCTATATTAATGTTATAGTATGGAGTATAAATACAATTGGCAATAGGGAAGTAGAATTACTCTCAGGTATTTTATTTTGGGGGATGTCTAGGGAACCGCAGTAGCACCAAAATCAGCTGTATCCACCAAATCAACCACTATTCTTGTGGCCACACGGTAAGAGACTCTTCCCACTGACAGATATGTGGTTTGCAATCATCTTGAGTTTGGGTAGTTTTATTGTTTTGTAGAGGTAATAGAATGTGGCACTTAAAAGGTCAAACTTGAACCAGACTACCAGGGTTCAATTCTTGGCCCTTTCCTTCCAGTCCTATATACCAAAGTAATTTATTTATCATCCCTCTGCTTTAGCTTTCTAACTTGTAAAATGGGAATAATAATGAACGATCTCAAAATATAGTTGTGAGGATTGAGTAGATATAAACTATTTAGAACAGTTCAATAAAGTAAGAGTTAAATGAAGTCGTTGAACATTGTCTTCTTATTTTCAAGCCCCTTCAGGATGTTTATAAGCTACCTTGCTTTTTTTTTTTTTGTCTGAGCCAAAATAAACAGCATTTGCCACTACAAAGCTTGTTGGAGATGGCCAGATTTCTTGGTTGCAGGCAACAGAAATTGACTCATTATTGAAAAGAGATGAGAGGCTCAGAGAACAAATGACTGGGGATAAATGCTTGGGAAATGAACAGAACCAAGGGAACAGCAAAGAGTGAGATATTGGATACCACAGCAGAGGAAACAAAAGCCACTTCTGTTCCTGCCATGGGTGTGACCTCCTATAGCCCCCAGCCTCCCCGCACTTCTGGTTCAAGAATCAGAATTCCTGAAGAAGACTCAGGTTGACAAAGCCCTAGCCTTGTACTGACCCAGCTGTGAGAAGAATCTCACACCTTCAGCTTCCAACTCTCTTAAAGGGATCACTGGTGTTCAACAGTCAAAAAATGACAAAATCCCACTGGAATGAGAGGCACTAGCTTCTGAGCAATGTTCTTCCCTAGAGCAAAAACATTTCCCATGGGTAGTCCACCAAGAGATCTAGAAGAGTTAAAATGCAAAAACAGGTCTGCTGCTATCTCATTAAATTTAAAGCAAAAACTTAAACATGAAAGGGTTGTAACTTTTCTTCACTACTCTCCCATTTCTTCTCAGTTCCTGGACTCAAATAATTACTGAAATTAAATATAGCAATTGAGGCTGCCTATTGTTTCTTGCTATGTAATATGTTACAGTGGCACCTTCAAACTCAGCCATCCGTCTGAATTGCCTCTGGTGTGTGACTCACACAATGGTTACTGTTGTAGAGAGACCCAACAATGAGCTCTTGCATTATTCACTTCATTTATTTTGATACAATATTTGGAGCTACTTCATTAAATTAGCTTAGAATGTCCTGTCATTTTTCCCTCTGCCAGCGTCTGTTTCACACAGATAATATAACACACAGAGAGTGTGAAAAAGTTGCCTGCAGAAGGGAATAGAAATTATTTAACTTGATTTATAGATTGGGGTTAGCTTTTTTTCTTCTCCTCTCAAAGAATCCAAATAGCATAAAACATTTCATTAATGAACATATCAATGTATTTGGTTACTAAATGGTTACTAAATGGGGAAGGCAATTAAGCTGTTGTTCCCTAAGATGAAAAGAGACAGTGTTTGGCTTTGTTTTGGGGAGGGGTTTCATCTAACTAAAGCTGGCTCTGACAGCAGAAATGCTAAACAGGAAGCCCATGTGTGTACTTTTAACTTTTATCAATGTGAGAGACTGAAATCTTCAAGTTCTGGGCGATCTTGCTTCTCAGTCTAACAAAACAACCAAAAGACAAGCAGCTGTCTTATTCAGAGACTGTTGCTTTTTTACAGTTAATAAATTTGTCACTTGTGGCTGAGATATGCTAGGCAAACAGGAATTGAATTTCATTGAATTTAAAGGTCCCCAGCCTCACATTTATGGTAGGAAAACAGATCAAGATAAGACAGCAGGACCCAGCTGAAGACGAAGAGTTGAAATGACAGAATGTCAGAATTCCTAGCCCAAGGCTCTCCTCGTTAGACACACTGGTTCCAAAATTATCCAGAAATGAATGTATAGGAAGGAAAGACAATGTAAATAAGAAACCAGTGTTTTTTATTTTTACTTATCCAGCTTTCAGAAAAAGAAAACTAAATTCTTTACGAGTGAAAACTATGTCTACCTGCAGTTGTGACTGATGTTCAGCTCGCGTACACCAACAGGGGCATCCCAGATGTTTACGGCCAGTTCCATTCTGATTTGTCAGTGCTCATACTAGTTATTAAAAATTCTGAATGCAATCCCTCTGTCAACCAAGAGGTCAAAGAGGATGGAGTAGTCAGCTCCTGTTTTGCTGTCAGCAACTTTTCCACCTTTTTCTGGCAACAATATTCCAAATTTCCTTTGGGGCAGCCACTTTTCCCCTGTCAGACGCAGTCTGGTGAAGCTCTCAACCAGGATGCTTTAGTTTCCTCCACTAAAGGATATCTCCTTGGTGCCCTCAAGAGCCCAGCCATTGGTTTCTATTTCCTATTCCTGCTCTGCTACCTTGGTTTTCTCCTGCCCATTTTAAGTCTCGTTTTCATTCTACTTTCCCATTTTGTAAGATACCCTCTAATAAAGCCCATTTCTCTCCAAGTTAGTCAAAGTCCATTTCTGTCACTGGCAACCCAAAGAACCTTGGATGAACCCCAAAATATAAGCCCCTTAGTCTTCTAGAAATGATAGGTCAATCCATGAGATAATAGTAAGTTACATCCCACAGATGGAATTAACTGGCTGCAGGAATGCTTCCAAAAGCAAACCTTCCTGAAAATACAGCTTGGAGACAAGTTATTGATGAGATTAAAATGCCTCTCTATGTCATCAGGAAGCATCAACTAGGAAGAAAAGTCTGTAACAATGAGACTCTTAACATGTTATTAAATGTCTGTTGAAAATACAATACTGAATCACAAGTGTGGGCCTCAGACCAA
Organism: Homo sapiens; assembly: GCF_000001405.40. NCBI lineage: Eukaryota > Metazoa > Chordata > Mammalia > Primates > Hominidae > Homo > Homo sapiens. The sequence goes on along the minus strand of NC_000012.12, from coordinate 129,045,926 downwards.
ATAAGGCCTGGGAAGAATTTAATCAATATTTATGCAGAACTGTGGAGAAAAAACTGTTGCTTGTTTTATTAAGAAATTATTTTTCAAAGGCTTGCGTGATCATACTTGGAGGCATCTATCTATCTACATTTGTTCTGTTTCCTGATGAAAACAACCCTCAACTTCCTATTAATGATACTCATGATGCCTACGTTTATTAGGATACACCTAGGCAGTTGTAAATGACAGAATCTTGGGTCAAATGGTTTTAAGTAGAAAAGGAAATTCATAGTCACATGTAAAATAAAACGGTGTCTGGAGGGCATCAAGACTTAGATTCTTTTTGCCGTCTGGCTTAGCTTTCCTCTGAAATGGCATGACTCTCAGGAAGCCTCTTCCAACATGGTAATTGCCCCAGAAGCCTCAACACACGTTCTCCTGGTTTCATTCTCTAAAGAAAGCTTCTCTCCTCTTGGCATTTCCATGAAATGTCCAAGAATTGAGCCTCATTGGCTAACAAGAGTCATGTGCCCATCCCTGAACCAATCTCCATGGCCATTTAGATTCTATCTTCTGACTGGTTAGGTAGGAGCCACACCTCCCCTCCTGGGGGTGGCCTAGAGGCCCCATGCAAGAAGAGAGCTTTCCCAAAAGAAGGCCAGGATGCTATTACCAAGAAAAAGGGCAAATTTAAATGTCCACTGGCCTCTCTTCACACTAGAACGAGAGGTCTATGGTTCATTTCTGAAATGGCTTATTAGCAATTGCCTTTTTGGATTTATAAAGAATTATTTTTCTTTTCTCCTTTTTTTTTTGAGACAGGGTCTTGCTCTGTTGCCCAGGTTGGAGTGCAGTAGTGCAATCATGGTTCACTGCAGCCTTGACCTCCCAGGATCAAGTGATTTTCCCACCTTGGCCTCCAGAGTAGCTGGGTCTACAGACACACGTCACACCCAATTACTTCTTTATTTTATATTTTGTAGAGTCTGGGTCTTACTATGTTGCCCAGGCTGGTCTCAAACTCCTGGCCTCAAGTGATACTCCTGCCTCAGCCTCCCAAAGTGCTGGGATGACAGGCATGAGCCACCGCACCTGACCAATAATTCTTGTAAGCAGAAGAAACAAATATTATTTTGCCTGGTCCTGAAATCTCCCTATTTCTCTACCACCTACAAACTGGGTAAAATGAAGCAAGTGTGATTTGAAATCCTCACAGCAGAAGGGGTCTTTCTCCTTAGCCTTTCCTGCTGAGTGCCTTTCCTTCAAACAGCAAATGCCATCCATGGTGTGAGACTCTTCACCGGCCACACCTTCCCACCTGCCTGTTAGTCCCCTTTGCCTCCTTGGACCACACTCCCCAAAGACTCAACTCCTCCCTTCATCCTCTCCCTTTCAAAACTTGTTCTCATCTAAGTAATCATGAGCTAAAAAATGTCCAAAGAGGTAAACAGCAGTAGATAATAGATGTTTCATTATCTACTAATAGAGAATAATGAAGCATCAACTATATATTGTGATTTTGTCCCCAGTCCCCCCTAAACATGCCTGAAGTATCTGGTGTTTACTAAATAACCAAAAGGAGTGCTTGTGGCCATGGAAATTTTAGAATTGAATGGGGTTGGGGCAGTCACATACCCATAGAGATTCTGCAATGGTGATAGAATGGGGTGCTTTGAAGTCTGAGCAGTTTTTGCCAATGGGAGATATACTTACTCCTGGGTTGCTTTTCATGATTTCAGCAGGCAACATTACTTCATTCATAGAATGACCTCAAGGGGCTTCCCTGGGCATCTGTGCCCAAGAATGAGTCTTACTAATCTGACACTTTGTGATAGAGAAAGGGGTCTGCTGCAACTAGCTTTATCTTCAGGTCTATATCTTTCTCCCATACTGGATGCTTCCTGCCTTCGAAGGTAGACTCCAGGTTCTTCAGATTTGGGACTCAGACTGGCTTCCTTGCTCCTCAGCTTGCAAATGGCCTATTGTGAGACCTCACCTAGTGATCGTGCTAGAACATCCAAGACTGAGGGACAAGAATCTGAGGAGGGCCTTCTTGCTGCATCACCCCATGGCAAAGAGTGAGAAGGACAGAGAGAGAGAAGATACCATAAATTGATCTCCTATAAACAAAAATGAGCATTATTCACAATAGCCAAGATATGGAAACACCCTAAGTGTTTGCCAATGGACAAGTAGATTAAGAAACTGTGGTACATGCCTGTTTTGATTGCTCATTCTTATAAACAATAGCAGGAGGAGCGAAGATGGCCAAATAGGAACAGCTCCGGTCTACAGCTCCCAGCGTGAGCTACCCAGAAGATGGGTGATTTCTGCATTTCCAACTGAGGTACTGGGTTCATCTCACTGGGGAGTGCCAGACAGTGGGTGCAGGACAGTGGGTGCAGTGCACCGTGCGCGAGCCGAAGCAGGTCGAGGCATCACCTCACCCGGGAAGCGCAAGGGGTCAGGGAATTCCCTTTCCTAGTCTAAGAAAGGGATGACAGATGGCACCTGGAAAATCAGGTCACTCCCACCCTACTACTGCACTTTCCCAATGGGCTTAACAAATGGCACACCAGGAGATTATATCCTGCACCTGCCTCGGAGGGTCCTATGCCCACGGAGTCTTGCTCATTGCTAGCACAGAAGTCTGAGATCAAACTGCAAGGAGGCAACAAGGCTGGGGGAGGGGCGCCTGCCATTGCTGAGACTAGATTAGGTAAACAAAGCAGCCAAGAAGCTCGAACTGGGTGGAGCCCACCACAGCTCAAGGAGGCCTGCCTGCCTGCCTCTGTAGGCTCCACCTCTGGGAGCAGGGCACAGACAAACAAAAGGACAACAGTAACCTCTGCAGACTTAAATGTCCCTGTCTGATAGCTTTGAAGAGAGTAGTGCTTCTCCCAGCATGCAGCTTGAGATCTGAGAATGGGCAGACTGCCTCCTCAAGTGGGTCCCTGACCCCCGAGTAGCCTAACTGGGAGGCACACCCCAGTAGGGGCAGACTGACACCTCACACAGCCAGGTACTCCTCTGAGACAAAACTTCCAGAGGAACGATCAGGCAGCAGCCTTTGCGGTTCACCAATATCCACTGTTCTGCAGCCACCACTGCTGATATCCAGGCAAACAGGGTCTGGAGTGGACCTCTAGCAAACTCCAAGAGACCTGCAGCTGAGGGTCCTGTTAGAAGGAAAACTAACAAACAAGAAGAACATCAACACCAAAAACCCATCTGTACGTCACCATCATCAAAGACCAAAGGTAGATAAAACCACAAAGATGGGGAAAAAACAGAGCAGAAAAACTGGAAACTCTAAAAATCAGAGCTCCTCTCCTCCTCCAAAGGAACGCAGCTCCTCACCAGCAACAGAACAAAGCTGGACAGAGAATGACTTTGACAAGTTGAGAGAAGAAGGCTTCAGACGATCAAACTACTCCTAGCTACAGGAGGAAGTTTGAACCAATGGCAAAGAAGTTAAACACTTTGAAAAAAAATTAGATGAATGGATAACTAGAATAACCAATGCAGAGAAGTCCTTAAAGGACCTGATGGAGCTGAAAACCAAGGCACGAGAACTACGTGACGAATGCACAAGCCTCAGTAGCCGCTGCGATCAACTGGAAGAAAGGGTATCAGTGATGGAAGACGAAATGAATGAAATGAAGTGAGAAGAGAAGTTTAGAGAAAAAAGAATAAAAAGAAACAAAGCCTCCAAGAAATATGGGACTATGTGAAAAGACCAAACCTACGTCTGTTTGGTGTACCTGAAAGTGACGGGGAGAATGGAACCAAGTTGGAAAACACTCTGCAGGATATTATCCAGGAGAACTTCCCCAATCTAGCAAGGCAGGCCAACATTCAAATTCAGGAAATACAGAGAACACCACAGAGATAATCCTCGAGAAGAGCAACTCCAAGACACATAATTGCCAGATTCACCAAAGTTGAAATGAAGGAAAAAATGTTAAGGGCAGCCAGAGAGAAAGGTCGGGTTACCCACAAAGGGAAGCACATCAGACTAACAGCTGATCTCTTGGCAGAAACTCTACAAGCCAGAAGAGAGTGGGGGGCAATATTCAACATTCTTAAAGAAAAGAATTTTCAACCCAGAATTTCATATCCAGCCAAACTAAGCTTCATAAGTGAAGGAGAAATAAAATACTTTACAGACAAGCAAATGCTGAGAGATTTTGTCACCACCAGGCCTGTCCTAAAAGAGCTCCTGAAGGAAGAAGCACTAAACATGGAAAGGAACAACCAGTACCAGCCACTGCAAAAACATGCCAAATTGTAAAGACCATCGAGGCTAGGAAGAAACTGCATCAACTAATGAGCAAAATAACCAACTGACATAATAATGACAGGATCAAATTCACATATAACAATACTAACTTTGAATGTAAATAGGCTAAATGCTCCAATTAAAAGACACAGACTGGCAAATTGGATAAAGAGTCAAGACCCATCAGTGTGCTGTATTCAGGAAACCCATCTCACGTGCAGACACACACATAGGCTCAAAATAAAGGGATGGAGGAAGATCTACCAAGCAAATGGAAAACAGAAAAAGGCAGGGATTGCAATCCTAGTCTCTGATAAAACAGACTTTAAACCAACAAAGATCAAAAGAGACAAAGAAGGCCATTACATAATGGTAAAGGGATCAATTCAACAAGAAAAGCAAACTGTCCTAAATATATATGCACCCAATACAGGAGCACCCAGATTCATAAAGCAAGTCCTTAGTGAACTACAAAGAGACTTAGACTCCTACACAATAATAATCAGAGACTTTAACACCCCACTGTCAACATTAGACAGATCAACAAGACAGAAAGTTAACAAGGATACCCAGGAATTGAACTCAGCTCTAAACCAAGCGGAACTAATAGACATCTACAGAACTCTCCACCCCAAATCAACAGAATATACATTCTTTTCAGCACCACACCACACCTATTCCAAAATTGACATAGTTGGAAGTAAAGCACTCCTCAGCAAATGTCAAAGAACAGAAATTATAACAAACTGTCTCTCAGACCACAGTGCAATCAAACTAGAACTCAGGATTAAGAAACTCACTCAAAACCACTCAACTACATGGAAACTGAACAACCTGCTCCTGAATGACTGCTGGGTACATAACGAAATGAAGGCAGAAATAAAGGTGTTCTTTGAAACCAATGAGAACAAAGACAACATACCAGAATCTCTGGGACACATTCAAAGCAGTGTGTAGAGGGAAATTTATAGCACTAAATGCCCAAAAGAGAAAGCAGGAAAGATCTAAAATTGACACCCTAACATCACAATTAAAAGAACTAGAGAAGCAAGAGCAAACACATTCAAAAGCTAGCAGAAGGCAAGAAATAACTAAGATCAGAGAAGAACTGAAGGAAATAGAGACACAAAAAACCCTTCAAAAAATTAATGAATTCAGGAGCTGGTTTTTTGAAAAGATCAACAAAATTGATAGACAGCAAGACTAATAAAGAAGAAAAGAGAGAAGAATCAAATAGACGCAATAAAAAATGATAAAGGGGATATCACCACCGATCCCACAGAAATACAAACTACCATCAGAGAATACTATAAACACCTCTATGCAAATAAACTACAAAATCTAGAAGAAATGGATAAATTCCTTGACACATACATCCTCCCAAGACTAAACCAGGAAGAAGTTGAATCTCTGAATATACCAATAACAGGCACTGAAATTGAGGAAATAATCAATAGCTTACCAACCAAAAAAAGTCCAGGAACAGATGGATTCACAGCCGAATTCTACCAGAGGTACAAGGAGGAGCTGGTACCATTCCTTCTGAAACTATTCCAATCAATAGAAAAAGAGGGAATCCTCCCTAACTCATTTTATGTGGCCAGAATCATCCTGATACCAAAGCCTGGCAGAGACACAACCAAAAAAGAGAATTTTAGACCAATATCCTTGATGAACATTGATGCAAAAATCCTCAATAAAATACTGGCAAACCAAATACAGCAGCACATCAAAAAGTTTATCCACCATGATCTAGTGGGCTTCCTCCCTGGGATGCAAGGCTGGTTCAACATACGAAAATCAATAAACGTAATCCAGCATATAAACAGAACCAAAGACAAAAACCACATGATTATCTCAATGGATGCAGAAAAAGCCTTTGACAAAATTCAACAATGCTTCATGCTAAAAACTCTCAATAAATTAGGTATTGATGTGATGTATCTCAAAATAATAAGAGCTAGCTATGACAAACCCACAGCCAATATCATACTGAATGGGCAAAAACTGGAAGCATTCCCTTTGAAAACTGGCACAAGACAGGGATGCCCTCTCTCACCACTCCTATTCAACATAGTGTGGAAGTTCTGGCCAGGGCAATCAAGCAGGAGAAGGAAATAAAGGGCATTCAATTACGAAAAGAAGAAGTCAAATTGTCCCTGTTTGCAGATGACATGATTGTATATCTAGAAAACCCCATCATCTCAGCCCAAAATCTCCTTAAGCTGATAAGCAACTTCAGCAAAGTCTCAGGATACAAAATCAATGTGCAAAAATCACAAGCATTCTTATACACCAATAACAGACAAACAGAGAGCCAAATCATGAGTGAACTCCCATTCACAATTGCTTCAAAGAGAATAAAATACCTAGGAATCCAACTTACAAGGGATGTGAAGGACCTCTTCAAGGAGAACTACAAACCACTGCTCAATGAAATAAAAGGGGATACAAACAAATGGAAGAACATTCCATGCTCATGGGTAGGAAGAATCAATATCGTGAAAATGGCCATACTGCCCAAGGTCATTTAAAGATTCAGTGCCATTCCCATCAAGCTACCAATGACTTTCTTCACAGAATTGGAAAAAACTACTTTAAAGTTCATATGGAACCAAAAAAGAGCCCACATTGCCAAGTCAATCCTAAGCCAAAAGAACAAAGCTGGAGGCATCACACTACCTGACTTCAAACTATACTACAAGGCTATGGTAACCAAAACAGCATGGTACTGGTACCAAAACAGAGATATAGACCAATGGAACAGAACAGAGCCCTCAGAAATAATGTCACATATCTACAACTATCTGATCTTTGACAAACCTGACAAAAACAAGCAATGGGGAAAGGATTCCCTATTTAATAAATGGTGCTGGGAAAACCTGCTAGCCATATGTAGAAAGCTGAAACTGGATCCCTTCCTTACACCTTATACAAAAATTAATTCAAGATGGATTAAAGACTTACATGTTAGACCTAAAACCATAAAAACCCTAGAAGAAAACCTAGGCAATACCATTCAGGACATAGGCATGGGTAAGAACTTCATGTCTAAAACACCAAAAGCAATGGCAACAAAAGCCAAAATTGACAAATGGGATCTAATTAAACTGAAGAGCTTCTGCACAGCAAAAGAAACCACCATCAGAGTGAACAGGCAACCTACAGAATGGGAGAAAGTTTTTGCAACCTACTCATCTGACAAAGGGCTAATATCCAGAATCTACAATGAACTCAAACAAATTTACAAGAAAAAAACAAACAACCCCATCAAAAAGTGGGCAAAGGATATGAACAGATACTTCTCAGAAGAAGACATTTATGCAGCCAAAAAACACATGAAAAAATGCTCATCATCACTGGCCATCAGAGAAATGCAAATCAAAACCACAATGAGATACCATCTCACAACAGTTAGAATGGAGATCATTAAAAAGTCAGGAAACAACAGGTGCTGAGAGGATGTGGAGAAATAGGAACACTTTTACACTGTTGGTGGGACTGTAAACTAGTTCAACCATTGTGGAAGTCGGTGTGGCGATTCCTCAGGGATCTAGAACTAGAAATACCATTTGACCCAGCCATCCCATTACTGGGTATATACCCAAAGGATTGTAAATCATGCTGCTATAAAGACACATGCACATGTATGTTTATTGCGGCACTATTCACAATAGCAGAGACTTGGAACCAACCGAAATGTCCAACAATGATAGACTGGATTAAGAAAATGTGGCACATATACACCATGGAATACTATGCAGCCATAAAAAAGGATGAGTTCATGTCCTTTGTAGGGACATGGATGAAGCTGGAAACCATCATTCTCAGCAAACTATTGCAAGGACAAAAAACCAAACAGCACATGTTCTCACTCATAGATGAGAATTGAACAATGAGAACACATGGACACAGGAAGGGGAACATCACACACCGGGGACTGTTGTGGGGTAGGGGGAGTGGGGAGGGATAGCATTAGGAGATATATCTAATGCTAAATGACGAGTTGATGGGTGCAGCACACCAACATGGCACATGTATACATGTGTAACAAACCTGCACATTGTGCACATGTACCCTGAAACTTAAAGTATAATAATAATAAAATTTAAAAAAAAAAAAAAGAAAAGAAAAAGGGGTCTGCCAGCAGCAAGGTTCATTCTCCCTGTTTGTTCTCAGCCCAAAAGATGGGCATGGAGGCAGAGTGCCAGTGGCCCCATTTGCACAATGGCCTGTGCAGCAGGCCTCCAGCCACCCCCCTCTCATCATTCACCATCTTGCTTACTCATTCAACAAACGCCAAGTCCTTCCAGCTTCACACCATGATTAGAACCACCTAGAGGCACACAGTCACGTGAAGGAGGGTGGTGGCGTGGCCAGGATGACAAGCCAATCACCAGCGAGGCTCCTTCTATTCCTCAGACAGCATATTTGCTTCCTAGGGTTGCCATAACAAAATGGCACAGACAACAGAAATGTGTTCCCTCATAGTTGTGGAGCCTAGAAGTCCAAATCCCAGACGTCAGCAGAGCCCTGTGATCCCTCTGAAGGGCCTAGGAGGGAGCCTTTCCCTCCTGCAGCTTCTGGTGGCTCCCTGAATTCTTGGCTTGTGGCCACGTCACACCAATCCCCACCTCTGCCATCCCATGGCCCTCTTCTCCCTGGGTAACCCTCTGTGTCTTCTTTTATCCTTAGGCCTGCTGGCTTTGGCCTTCGGACTTTCTTTTTCTTTTTTTTTTTTTTTTTTGACAGAGTCCTTCTCTGTCACCCAGGCTGAGTGCAATGGCACAATCTCAGCTCACTGCAACCTCTGTCTCCCGGGTTCAAGTGATTCTCCTGCCTCAGCCTCCCAGGTAGCTGGGACTACAGGCGTGCACCACCATGCCCAGCTAATTTTTGTATTTTTAGTAGAGCTGGGGGTTTCACCATGTTGGCCAGTCTGGTCTCCATGTTGGCCAGTCTGGTCTCGAACTCCTGACCTCAAGTGATCTGCCCATCTCGGCATCCCAAAGTGCTGGGATTACAGGCATGAGCCACTGTGCCTGGCCTTCTCCTCTTATAAGGACACTGAGTCATTGGATATAGGGACCACACTAAATCCAAGATGATATCATCTCTAGACCCTTAACTGGTGAATCTGCAAAGACCCTATTTTCAAGTAAGATCCCATTCTGAGGTTCTGGGTGGACATGACTTTCGGGGGAATGACATTCCACCCATGACAGACAGGGACAAGCCCAGGAGTAGTCAAGGGAGTGATATGGGGTGAGGAACAGAAGAAACGTAAGAAGTCCTGCTGTCAGGCTCTGAGTCATATTGAAACTCCAAAGAAAATGGAGCAAACGAAAATCTGAAACTAAGGCAACAGTCTAGCACTTTGCATCCTGGTAGCCACAAAAGACATTTCACTGACGAGTTGTTTTCTTGGTGCTGACGGGTGCCGAGAGGGTGTATGTGTGCGTGTGTGCACGCGTGTGCATGTCTGTTGCCATTAAGTCTGTGTGTGAAGGGGGAGTGTCTGGGGACAGGGTAGCAAATCAAGGAGGACGAATCATACTTCCATTTTTTTTTTTTTTTTTTTTGAGACGGAGTCTCGCTCTGTCGCCCAGGCTGGAGTGCAGTGGCGGGATCTCGGCTCACTGCAAGCTCCGCCTCCCGGGTTCACGCCATTCTCCTGCCTCAGCCTCCTGAGTAGCTGGGACTACAGGCGCCCGCCACTACGCCCGGCTAATTTTTTGTATTTTTAGTAGAGACGGGGTTTCACCGTTTTAGCCGGGATGGTCTCGATCTCCTGACCTCGTGATCCGCCCGCCTCGGCCTTCCAAAGTGCTGGGATTACAGGCGTGAGCCACCGCGCCCGGCCATACTTCCATTTTTTTGACTGTGCAAGTGCTTTCCTTCACTCTCGATTTCAGAGTAAAATCTGGGAACACTGCCTCTCCCAGCAGCACTCAATGCAGCTCCACAGACAGTTGCTGAAAACCAGTGCTGGCCAGGCACGGTGGCTCACGCCTGTAATCCCAGCACTTTCAGAGGCCAAGGCAGGCAGATCATGAGGTCAGGAGTTTGAGACCAGTCTGGCCAGCATGGCGAAACTCCGTCTCTACTGAAAACGCAAAAAATTAGCTGGGTGTGGTGGTGTGCGCCTGTAGTCCCAGCTACTTGGGAGGCTGAGGCAGGAGAATTGCTTGAATCTGGGAGGCGGAGATTTCAGTGAGCTGAGATCGTGCCACTGCACTCCAGCCTGGGCGACAGAATGGGACTCCGGGGAAAAGCAAAACAAACAAACAAAACAGTTTTTTATCCCACTATATCTGCAAAGAATACACCTCCATTAAGGGTTTCTATTACACCAGCTAATTATAATAACTAGCCCTTCATAAAAGACTCATGGCCAAAATAGGCCTGTTTAGAGCTGTTCATTCCTGTCTGCTTTTCACAGAAAAGGGAGACATTTATCTGCCTTTGCAACAAGCCAAGAGTTACAGGGTGAGCCCTGCACCAGCCATTCAGTTGCTACATCCTGCAGCAACATAAATTCTCCTGTGTGACAAGGTAGAAAGCTTCATAGCCATCGGCAGCCCAGACGCTTTTTCATCCTAATTGCTCTGCAGACCACTCCTGCTCAGAGGGGCTCTCCACGGAGTTCCTGCAGGAACTGTAAATTGCGTGTGCGCGGAAAGGCTACAACCATCATTCGGCTGTTAGAGGCTGGCTTGGCCCACATGTGTGGGGCACGGTGGGGAATTAGGGGGAGATCTAGGGGCTGGAAGTTAGGGATGAGGAGTTCTTTGTTGTTTGCTGCTTTGAGGGGTGACGAGTCCTGGTCATAGCTGATGGGGAACAGCAGTGCCCAAGAGCTTCTTGTTCATCCTCCTGTCTAGCAGGTAGACTCATATTTGTCCCCACCCTTCTCCAGGCTAACCGTGGAGCGCTGGAGGTCAGGGTGGGATGCTGCCTCCTTATGGCAGGGAGACTTCCAGGCATCTGAGAGCTGGAAGGCGACTAGGATTTACGGGAAGAGTGGACTCATCTCGCTTGCAAGCTGGGTGCAGAGAGCTGGTGGCTGACAGCTTCCTGGAGGGGAGGCAGCCGGCCAACATTACCCACCGTCACCACATCCATGGACCCACTGGGGCCGCTTCAAGCAGAAAGAAACCCAAAGGACACTGCTCTACAGCTCAGAATAGAGAGCTGTGTGGGGTCCAAAAATATATCTGTGGCTGCAGAGGAACAAGAAAATGAGTTTGGGTTTACTGCAGGCCCCATGCCCCAAGGCAGCCTCTGCTTCAGAAACTGAAACATTTAGGAATCAAGGGGCTGGGCACAGTGGTTCACGCCTGTAATCCCAGCACTTTGGGAGGCTGACAAAGGAGCCCAGGAGTTACAAACCAGCCTGGGCAACAGAGCAAGACCCCCTCTCTACAAAACAAACAAAATTAGCCAGGTGTGGTATGCATTCCTGCAGTCCCAGCTATTCAGGAGGCTGAGGTGGGAGGATCGCTTGAGCCTGAGAGGTTGAGGCTGCAGTGAGCCGTGATTGCACCACTGCACTCCAGCCTGGGAGACAGAGAAAGGCCCTGTCAAAAAAAAAAAAAAAGAAAAAAGAAAGAATCGAAGGTCCTACTCTGATCGGCACATCTCCATCCATCATACAAACTCAGATGCTACCAGGGCCAGATAAAAAGTAGTGAAAAGGCTGAGAGTGGTGGCTCACACCTTTAATCCCAGCCCTTTGGGAGGCCAAGGTGAAAAGACTGCTGGAGCCCAGTGCCACTGCACTCCAGCCTGGGCAAGAAAAAAAAAGTACTGACAGGTGTGGGGGCTGCCGTGAGCTGGAGACATACTGCCATCAGATAAGAGCAGGTGCCACTCGGCACGAGCCAGTGGTGGTCATCTAAAAGGTGAGGCTGGCGTTGACATATTTCTGATTTTGAAGGATAGCAGGCCTATGGAAAACTATCTAGAAATCAGGATTTAACATAAACCCCTCCAATGTTTTCATGTTGGTTCCATTTTTTAGAACATTCTGAAATCCTAACCAAATTGGTCTGTGGCTCAGATTTGACCCAGAGGCTACCAGCTTGCAGGCACTACCTCCCAGTAAACCCTCTTAATAATGATAGTCCATGCTCATGGGACACCAGCTTCACATGAAAGCCTTGCTGAGAACGTTGCATGAGCCATCTCATTCAATTCTCTAGCAACCCTGTGAGTGCTTATTCATTTATTCATTCTTTCAAATCTCTTGAGCACCTACGACGGGCCCAGCAGCACTCACGGTGCAAGATCCAGCAGCGAACCCAGTATTGCCCCTTCTCTTGGTAGCAGCACCCTGGACTTCCTTTGGGAAACCCCCCTTCTTGCATGGGATCCCTAAATCACCACCCGGAGGGGAGGTGTGGCTCCTACCTGTCCAAGCAGAAGATAGAATCTAAACAGCCACAGTGATTGGTTCAGGGATAAGCACACAACTCTGTCAGCCAACAAGGCTCAATCCTTAGACATTTCATGGGAATTCTAGGAAGAGAGAACCTTTCTTTAGAGATTGAAACTAGGAGCACGTGAGGCTGAGGCTTCTGGGGAAATCACCATTGTAAGGGGCGGAGTGAGGGCAAACAATGAAAAGGGGTGTAAATAAACAAGGTCATCTCAAAACTGATGAGTGGCTCTATGGAAAAAGTCCTGGGGCTGGTGGCTGCTGGGGACAGGCAGTTGATGAAGGTCTGCATGGAGGACGCACATTTGAGCCAGCCTTGTGAGCAGAGGGATGCAGGTTGTTGAAGGAAGTCAGGAGTGCTAGGTCCAGGGGCAGCATGTCTGGGGAGGCCAGTGAGGCTGGAGGAGAGGGCAGGGAGGGCCATGCTGGGAGATGAGACAGAAGCCATGGGCAGGGACACATGCAGAGGGCCTGGCGGCTGTGATAGAAACTGGAACACAGCTGGGTGCAGTGGCTCACTCCTGTAATCCCAGGACTTTGGGAGGCCAAGGTGAATGGATCACTTGAGATCAGGAGTTCGAGACCAGCCTGGCCAATATGGTGAAGCCCTGTCCGTATTAAAGATTTTAAAAATTAGCCGGGCATGGTGGCAGGCAACTGTAATCCCAGCTACGCGGGAGGCTGAGGCACAAGAATCGCTTGAACCCAGGAGACGGAGGTTGCAGTGAGCTGATTGTGCCACTGCACTCCAGCCGGGGCGAGACACCATCTCAAAAGAAAAAAAAAAAGCAGCAGCAGCTGGAATGTTATTCTAAGTGCAGCAAGAAGCTCTTGGTTGGCAGGACCTTGTCTGCAACCTTTGCAGGTCACTCTGAGTGCTGGGGGCATGCACTGTCGAGGGGCAGCAAGAAGAGACCAGCTGAGAAGGGTCTTTGCAGAGGAAGAATATGAGCACTGTGTCTGCAAGGTGCATCCAGAGAGAGCACGTTACCTTAACAAAAATTCCTACAGGAAAGCAGAACACCCAGCTGTCCACCCGGGAGCTGCCTGCGGAAAGGGCTGACTGACACGCAGATGTTACAAGCTGAGACTCACAGAGGCAAACTGAGGACTGAGCGTGTGCAGTGAAAAATCCTACTAATTTCCCCAAAGTCTGAAACTCAAATATGAGCCATGTGTCTTTCCAGAACCAAGCACCACAGACCTACACACTGCAATTCCCCAGTGTGTCATTAACTAGCTGAAAAAATGTCACATCTTTCAAAAACAAAGGTGACCTTTGAGTGGATTTTCTGGTTGTTAGTAGGACAAAGGGGCTGTGAAGAATCGCCTCTCTCTCAGTTTCCCTAGGGTTCCCTGGCAAAGCAGCTGCAAGCCGGGCCACTGACCAGGGCTGAGGGGGCGGCATTGGTGGTGGGCTGCAAATGTGTCTTCGTGCAAAGCTGAGAGATCTGATTGACGATCAAATGTTCTCCCAAGGTAGCTTTCTGACCTTAGGGAGTCCTCAGACTCAAATGATCCTTCCCTCCATCTAGGTAGCTGGAGGCCAGCCATTTCTGCTTTAGAAATTCCTTTAAGTTCAGGTGCTTCTGGTCCTATGTGAATGCAAATGTCCTTCCAGGGAAGAGCGGCTTTAGGCCAGTATTTTTGAAACAGCTTGATACAGTTGGCTGTCATTGCTCAGCAAGCCTTAGAAACATGGCACGGAGGACTGGGAAGGTCACCTTGGGGGCCGAGAAAGGCAGCAGAAAGGGAAAGCCTCAGTGGAGGCCCCCAGATCCAAAGGAGGATACAATTTTCCAGCAATGATGAAAGGGCTTTGCTGAACAACTAATAATTTAGAAGAACCCCAGAGTAAAGTAGAGACAAATTCGATGAATTCATCTATCCTTGTTCAGAGGAAAAGAAAAATAGAGACATCATACTTTCTCTAAGGGCAGGGAGCACGTCAAGCTGAGGACATCCTGGGTTTTGGATATGGTGTTCTGTAGACCATCATTGTCTTACTTCAATCATCTTTTCACCTGTCGTTGATTTTGCTAAGGGGATGTTCCAAACTCTTCTACCTCTTAAAAATTAATATCGATATTTACTGAGTTCCTGCTACATGCCAGAGTTGCAGTAAGGGCTTTTATACAGTATTTTTATCATCCTAACAGATCTGCAATATCTTATCCACAATTCTGAAATTTTTTTGAAAAAAAAAATCACTCTCAAATTCAAAATTTTTTTCATAGGTTTGCATCAAAATATTTGGTGGGAAAACTTGCTGGAATAATGCAAAACTATATAAAATGCTTTTGTAGCACACTTACTGTTGCTGTCTTACATGTTTTACTACAGAAATATTGTTTTTATATTATAGGGTTCTACCTCAGATTGGAGGTAATCCTGAGTATGATACTATAAATTAATATACTATGTATCCATCTATGTGTAGAAAGATAGATGAATAGAGATTGTGTGTGTGTGCGTGTGTATGTGCATAAAACTTAAAATTTCTAAATCTTTTTTTTTTTTTTTGAGACGGAGTTTCTCTCTGTCACCCACGCTGGAGTGTAGTGGCGCAATCTCAGCTCACTGCAACCTCCACCTTCCAGTTTCAAGTGATTCGCCTGCCTCAGCCTCCTGAGTAGCTGGGATTACAGGCACCTGCTACCACACCCGGCTAATTTTTGTATTTTTAGTAGAGACGGGGTTTCACCATATTGGCCAGGCTGGTCTCAAACTCCTGACCTCGTGATCTGCCCACCTAGGCCTCGCAAAGTGCTGGGATTACAGGCGTGAGCCACCACGCCTTGCCTAAATTTCTAAATCTTAAAGCTCAATTGAGCACCAAGGTTTTCAATGAATGACTGTGGACCTGGGATAGACTGTGCAGTTGTTTAAAATATTCACTCCTGTTCCTTCCTTAACAACAGTCCCTACAGGAGAATCGTACATGACTGCCCCGCCCACATTGACACAGCCATATGACTTGCTCAGTCCACTGGAATGGGAACAGAAGTGACTTTTTTGCTGCTCCCAGGAGTTTTAAGTGCCATGAAAAGATCCCTCACTTCCCTTCTTTTTCTTCTCCCATAAGACCAGCAACACCCCAGGCAAGAGCTGTTCTGTTAACACAGTTCACAGAATGAACAAGATGTGATATCACAATAGACACGAAATGTGGCCCTGAAACAAATCTCTGATGAGTCACCGAGATGGTGTGGGGCGGGGGTGGGGGGGGGGGGTCCTATGTTTCTGCAGCACAAATAAAACTAAATTGACTGATATGGACTTATCACCTCCTTTCTCCATGCAGGTAACTAAGGCACAGAGAGGTTAAGAATTCTGCCCAAGATCACAAAGCCGGTCATTGGTGATGCCTGACCTCGACTGGGGGGAATCTACATCCCAAATATACTTTGTTGAGCATCACACTTGATCACCTCTCTCTGAGCCCATTTGGTATTTTATTATTATTTTTTGAGACAGGGTCTTGCTCTGTCACCCAGGCTTGGAGTACATTGGTCTGGTCATAGCTCACTGCAGCCTCAACCTCCCAGGCTCAAGCGATCCTCCCACCTCAACCTCTAGAGTAGCTAGGACCACAGGTACCCACCACCACACCTGCTAATTTTTATAATTTTTTCTGTAAAGATGCGGTCTTACTATGTTGCCCAGGCTGGTCTCAAACTCCTGTGCTCAAACTCCCGCTTCAGCCTCCCAAAGTTCTGGGATTACAGGCATAAGCCACCATGCCTGGCCATGAGCCCACTTTTTTAAAAATGACTTTTCCTTTCCTGAGAAGATCCAAGCTCCCAGGGTCTGTTCCCCTCACACTGCCCCCAATTCCAAGAAAGCTCTCACATGAGGCTGATTCTATTTCTGTGGAAGCCAGCCTGCTTGCTGCCTTCAGACCAGCACGACCCACGGGGTCTCATCAGAGCCTGGCCTAATGAGGGAAGATTTTCAGAGTGCTGATTTATTTTCCTGCCTCCTGAGGTGTGAGCCGTGTGGGTCAGAATAACTTACCCTGGTCTACTGAAGAGAAATTACCCTTCCACAGCTCCCCAAAGGACACTTGAGTCCCCTATCCATATGTAAAGGCGGCTGCGGGAATGTTCTGTTCCGCAGCCATAAAAGCAGCACTGAGTGTACCTTATGATCACGCTTGCAGCGGCCGCCTCCTTCTTTAACGGTAAACTCTCCTGACATCTCCAACCGAGATAATTACGGTGCTTAGGGGAACTTTTGGCCTTACTAAAAATACTTAGCAAGTTTGCACAGCAAGGAATGCACTTACAGGTGACGCAGTAAATATGCTGGAGCCAGCGTTTGCTCATTCATCAGGGAGCCCTCGAATCTGCCGTCTGACCCCGTGTTAGACGCATCTCCATTCCTCCTGCATCGCTGTCCTCCCTCACCTCACATCCCTGCTGTTGAAGCCAGCATGCTTAGCCGACCTGGATCCTACCTAACAGGGAGTGGATAGGGGGTAAGGAGAGGCACCTGCTTCGTTCCACTGCTGTGGCTGAAGCTGCGAGGTATCCACCAAAACAACTTCCTTTCCTCTTGGGAACGCAGCTCAACAGGATTTCTCAGTCCCCCCTGTAGTTAGGCAAAGCCAAATGGCTGAGGTTTCACCAGTGGAATGTGAGTGGGAGTGAATTCATGGTTGAATGAAGACCTGGCTTATAAGCACCTTCTCGACCTGATCCCTCCCTTGCACCATCTGCCAGCTGAATGAAGAAGCCACACAGGAGGTCAGAGTCCCAGGATGGAAAGGACCTGGGTCCCTGAATCACCGTGTGGAAGGAGCTCCCCAACACAGTGGCACTATTATATGAGTAGGACATAAGCTGTGTTGAGGTGCTATTTACAGCAGTCAACTTTGCCTAACACCGTGGCCCTGACCCAGGGCTGCCCCGACTAAATTCCAGGTGTCTTTAGTTGAGCCATTGGAGAATCCCCCGAGGTGCCCTAATCGAGATACTCCTCTAACCTGGACCAGCCTACACACCATATGTCTCTTCACGTATTTAGCAAACACTGTGGGTGCTCGCAGTTTATCAGGCATTCACTGGGCACCAACTTGGTGCAAGGCACAGAGATAGAGACTCATGGGCAGCCACTGTATACAAAGATTGTCAGATGGGCTCAGTCTCAGCCCCAGAAGTCCACACACCAGTTCGGGGCAGCAAGGCCATGTTTAACTGACATAATCCTACCCAAAGGGGCTGTGTTTGCCTATTTGGTCTCCTGAGAAGGAAGTACAGCAGGGTTTTTTTTTTTTCTTTTTTTTTTCCAGCTCTATGGAGGCATAATTGACAAATAAAAATATTATATATTCAAATGTGTCTAGCGTGAGGTTTTGAAATATGTATACACTGTGAGATGATTGTCACAACCAAGCTAGTTAACATACCCATCCCTTCACATAGTTACCTTCTGTGTGGTCAAAACGCTTGAGAGTTATTCTCTTCCCAAATACTATTAACTCTATCAGCACACAGCACATTAGGTCTCCAGAACTTATTCGTCTTATGACTGTAAGTTTGTATCCTTTGAACAACATCTCCCCATTTCCCTCACCCCTGACTCTTGGTCACCACCCTTCTGCTCTGTTTCTATGAGTTTGACTACTTTAGAGTCCACCTATGGGTGAGATCACGCCATGTTTGTCTTTCTGTGTCAGGCGTATTTCACTTAGCATAATGTCCTCCAGGTTCATCCACGTTATCCCAAATGGCATCATTACCATCATTACCTTCTCTTTAAGGCTGAATAATACTCCCGTGTGTGTATACAGATGCCACATTTTCTTTCTCCATGCATCCACTGGTGGACACTTGAGTTGATTCCATGGCATGGCTGCTGTGAATAGTGCTGCAGTGAACTTGGGCGTACAGATGTCTCTTCAATACACTGATCTCATTTCCTGTGGATACATACCCAGAAGTGGAATTGCTGAATCATATGGGAGTTCTATTTCTTTTTTTTATTTTTTGAGGAACCTCCATACCATTTTTCATCAAGGCTGTACAAATTTACCAGTTTGCATTCTCACCAACAATGTGTAAGTGTTCCCTTTTCCCCCATCCTTGCCAACACACCTTTCATCGTTTTAATACAGTTTTAATACCAGTGGCCACTGTATTAGCCCATTTTCACACTGCAATGAAGATACTACTTGAGACTGGGTAATTTATAAACAAGGAGGTTTCATGGACTCACAGTTCCGCATGGCTGGGGAGGCCTCAGGAAACTTACACTCATGGCGGAAGGCGAAGGGAAAGCAAGGAACCTTCTTTACAAGACAGCAGGGGAGAGTGAGAGAAGCCCACGGGAAACTGCCGTTTATGAAACCATGAGATCTCGCGAGAACTCCCTCACTGCCATGAGAACAGCATGGGGGAAAAGGCCCCCATGATCCAATCACCTCCCACCAGGCTCCTCCCTTGACACGTGGGGATTATGGAGATTACAACTGGAGGTGAGATTTGGGTGGGGACACGGAGCCAAACCATATGAGCCACCTAACAGGCGTGAGGTGGCATCTCACTCTGCTGTTGATTTGCATTTCCCTGATGATTAGTGAGGTTCAGCACCTTTTCATACACCTGTTGGAATTCAGTTTTCTCCTAATCCCCCTTTAGCCAAGAATGGGAAGCTTTCTTTTCACACCACAACTCCTCCAAGTGTCTTGAGCCCTCACATCGGGTGATCTTGCAAGTCATCTGAGCCTGTCTGGGGCACTGCTCACGCTGAGGAGTCTCACCACCATCTCTCGGTCAGCGGCCCTCACTGGAAGGGTGAGAAGAAAAGCAAACCCTGACCCAGCTGTCCCTGGCTCCCGGGCTCTGCCACGGAGGGTGTTCGTGGTCACCATCTGGCTCCTGTGTACAGGATGCTTCTAGGCCAGCTCCTCCCCCAGCCATGCTGCCTTGGGCACAGAACAGGGGCAGAGAAAGCTTGGCCTGCTAAGGTGCCTCTGCTGCTTTCTTGTACCATTGGCCTTGTGTACAAGAATTGATCATCTGCTGCCCTTAGAGTGGCCAGTCTCTTTCAAAAGTCTGACTGTCTTAGGGAGAAGAAAGGGCCTTTAAAGAATTTGAAGAACACCCAAGAAGAACATAAAGCACATTGGTTTGTTTAACAAATATGTTCTGAACACTGCCACATGCCACGTACCATTCAGGTTGCTAGGAAGAAAGTGATGGGAAAAATATAAAGTCTTGGGCCGGGCACGGTGGCTCACGTCTGTAATTGCAGCACTTTGGGAGGCCGAGGTGGGCAGACTGCCTGAGGCCAGGAGTTCAAGACCAGCCTGGCCAACATGGCGAAACCTCATCTCTACTAAAAATACAAAAAATTAGCCGGCCGTTGCGGCGGGTGCCTGTAATCCCAGCTCCTCTGGAGGCTGAGACACAAGAATCTCTTAAACCCGGGAGGCAGAGGGTGCAGTGAGCTGAGATTGTGCAGTTGGACTCCAGCTTGGGCAACAAGGGCGAAACTCCATCTCAAAAAAAAAAAAAAAGACTATATATGTATATAAAGTCTCTTCTCTCTTGGAACTTACATGCTAATGGAGAGAGACAAATACAAGGGATGTGTACGTGAGTTGTGTGTGCGGGTGTGTGAGTCTGTGTGTGGGGATGCGGATGTGTGTGAGTGTATGGGGGTGTGTGTGGGTGTGTAGGTGTAAGTGTGGGGGTGGGGGGAAGTGAGTCTGTGTGTGGGGCTGTGGATGTGTGTGTGGGTGTGTGAGTCTGTGTGTGAGGTGTGGGTGTGGGTGCGGGTGTGAATGTGTGTGTGCGTGTGGGGGTGAGTGTGTGTGGGCGTGTTGGTGTAAGTGTGGGGGTGTGGGGGGATGTGAGTCTGGGGATGCAGATGTGTGGGTGTGAGTGTGAGTATATGGGGTGTGTTGGGTGTGTAGGTGTAAGTGTGGGGGTGTGGGGAGATGTGAGTCTGTGTGGGGTTGTGGATGTGTGAGTGGGTGTGTGAGTCTGTATGTGAGGTGTGGGTGTGTGGGTGCAGGTGTGAATGTATGTGGGGGTGTGGGGTGAGTGTGTGTGTGGGTGTGAGCATGTGGGTGTGAGTGCATGGGTGTGAGTCTGTGGGGGATGTGGAGGTGTGTGTGTGGGGATGTGGATGTGTGGGTGTGTGAGTGTATGGGGTGAGTGTGTGTGGGTGTGTAGGTGTAAGTGTGGGGGTGTGGGGGGATGTGAGTCTGTATGGGGGTGTGGATATGTGTGTGGGTGTGTGAGTCTGTGTGTGAGGTGCGTGTGTGAATGTGTGTGGGGGTGTGGGGTGAGTGCGTGTGGGGGTGTGAGCATGTGGGTGTGAGTCTATGTGGGGGGTGTGGAGGTGAGTGTGTGTGGGGATGCGGATGTGTGGGTGTGTGAGTGTATCGGGGTGAGTGTGTGTGGGTGTGTAGGTGTAAGTGTGGAGGTGTGGGGGGATGTGAGCCTATGTGTGGAGGTGCGGATGTGTGTGTGGGTGTGTGAGTCTGTGTGTGAGGTGTGGGTGCAGGTGTGAATGTGTGTGGGGGTGTGGGGGTGAGTGTGTGTGGGTGTGAGCATGTGGATGTGTGTGGGTGTGAGTGTGTGTGGGTGTGAGTGATAAGTGTTATAAAGCAAAATAAGTAAGGCGAGCAGAATGCCTGCAGCAGGGGTGCTCTTATTTACGTGGTAGTCAGAGAGGGGTATTTGAGAAGATATCTGAAGGAAATGATGCAGAAAGACACAAAGAATCACAGGAAAGAGTGTTTGAAGCAAGAGTGATGAGCTGGGTGGGCAGGAGGACACAGTGGGAAGTGACATTAGAGAGCAGACAGGGACCAAGAATGGGGTAGGGCGAGTTTGACTTTCCCTCTAAGTGATATGGGAGTAATCAGACGATTCTGAAGACAGGAGAGGCACAATCTGGCAGATGTCCTAAAAGAAACAATCTGGCTGCTCTGCAACAAATACATGAGAGAGAGTCAAAGACGGAAGAGGAGAGACCAGGTAGCAGACCATCGCAATAATTCGGGGAGGTTTGGGGCAGAAGAGTGCCATAATCTGACTTGTTTTTAGTAGATTTATCTGGAGCAGGGCAAGAGTGGATCAAGGGAGAACAGGTAGAAAATCAGTGCAATAATCCCCAGAGATGAGGGTGGTGAGAAGTCCTCAGAGGCTGACAGAGCCAGAAGGGTTTGCTTATGGACTGACTGTGGGGAAGGGTTTGCTGATGGACTGACTGTGCGGCGTGATGGAAGCGGAAGAGTCCAGGTGACTCCAGGGTCTTCAGCTGGAGCATCGGGATAAATGAAGTTGTCATTGACGGAGACGGGGAAGATGGCTGTGTGAGCGCACTAACTCATGAGTTCTGCCTTAAGCATGTTAAAGTGAGATCTATGCTAGATATACGAGGAGGGATATCCAAAAAGATACTGCATGTGAAAATCTTGAGTCCGAGGTAGATGTCCAGGCCAGATACATAGACTAGAGAGTCATCAGCCTGTGGATTGTATTTAAAGAGAAGGAAGAGAGGAGAGGAGAAAAAAAAGACCTAAGGAATTGAAAAACGAGAAAGAACTTGCCCAGGAGATGGGGAAGGAGGTGCTAGTGGAGGGAGGTAAGAAACAGGAGGGAGTGGGGTCCCCAAAGGAAGAAGTTGATTCAGGAAGCAAGAAACGATAAATGGTGCTGTATGCTGATTAAAGGCAGATCAAGATGACGACAGAGAATTGAACATGAAGTTCAGCAACACTGAGATCACTGGTCATCTGAACAGGAACTTCTTTTCTTGAGTGCTGGGAGTAAAAGAGTAGCTTAACAAGAGTGAAGAGAGGAAAATACTGTGGACAGTTTTTCTAATGGGTGTTGCTAAAATAAAGAAGGGGGAGGAAAGAGAAAAGGTGGGATAGCAGTTTTCTTAAAAATTAGAGATATTATAAGATATTGCAGGGCTGATCAAGTGGTGAGAAGAAACATAATATTGCAAGGGGACAAGAGAACTACTTCTGGAATGTGAATGTCCTCACGTAGTTAGTTGATAGATGGGATGCACTGACCAAGGAGAAGGTTGACGTCAAATCAGAGCACAAACCATTCATCCATTGTAACGGGATGGAACCTATCTGTAGGTTGAGATATGGCTCTGAGAGCTCACAAAATTCTTCTCTTACTACTTCTATTGTACTCGGTGAACAGGAAGCAAATGGCTTTGGGAGCTATAAAGCGGTTTCTAGACTGCACTGAGGATCCACTGAAATTCACGGTAAGAAGATTTAAGCGAGGCCAGTGGGCATGAGCGGGTGTTTCCCCGGTTACTTTCAGCTGCCTGCATGCAGGGGCGATGTAGATGCAGTTGGATTTACCTGGAATTGCTGTTTTTGCAAGTGAATCTAACAGATGAAGAGAGAGCCCAGAGCACTGAGGGTATAGACAAGACTTCGATGATTACCGCGGAACACAGTGTCTAAGCTCAGCACAGAGAGAGGTGAAGATGAACTGTGTGTGTTCTGATTGGAGGTCAACCTTTCCTCCCCGAGAGTAGTGAAACGTGAGAAGGAAGTAGGAGCAACGGAGTACAGATCCAGGTGCAATAAAAGACCTGAAGGATTTGAAGAACGGGGGCCAGTGAGCTACACAGGTGAGAAGAGGAGACCAGAGAATGATGAGATATTTGGAATTGAAAGTGGGATGGGTGTACTTTTTTTGATAATGAAAAACACCTAAAGGGCGATATCAACAAGGGCTGCTTCACAACATCTCAGTATGCAAGGCTAATATCTGTCGCAGAGGGTTATGGAAGTGCTTTGGGAGCATAGAAATTCAGAAATTAATTCTTACTCATGCTCATTGAGGATGTTGAAGAAGGCTGCATGAATGAGGTGGGTTTTTGGGTTTTTGGCTGGGTCTTGAAGCATGCACAGAATCTAAGTGGGTGGGGATTGTGCAGTAGAGGCTAACCTTGCCCCAAGAAAGGCTTGGCTCCTGACCAGCCAGCCTCTAAGTCCTTGGGATGTCCTGCCTGACAAGAGCACCTTTGTTTACCTGGGACCTTTTGCCCACATTAGTCAATGTGATCCATGGTGGGGTTCTTAGACAATGCAGTTATCTGCTCAACCTCTGTAGGGGCTGGAGAATAAGGTCAGTCA
Organism: Homo sapiens; assembly: GCF_000001405.40. NCBI lineage: Eukaryota > Metazoa > Chordata > Mammalia > Primates > Hominidae > Homo > Homo sapiens. The sequence continues at coordinate 129,022,094 of NC_000012.12, read as the reverse complement.
TGAGGGTGATCAGGTGAGTCTACAGGACCATCACCCAGTCAGAACTCTGCCCACCAAGGCGGGGAGGGGGGGGGCGGGCTTCACTGGCCGGCGGGAGTCTGGGTGTGTTGCCATGCTTCATGGCTGGGGGTAGTAAGTGCAGTACCTGTGACTCCAGCGGGAGAGGACAACTGGAACTCTCCTGGGCCCACCCTGTGCACTGCTTCCATATGCTGGGTTCAATCTGCATGCTTTCGCCGTAATAAACTGTTGTTGTGAGCATAACCACTTTGCTGAATCATGGGCCTTCTAGGAAGTCATTGAGCCTGGGGGTAGTCTTGAGGGCCGCAGTATTTGAGTTAAAGATGAAGGCTAAGATACTCTAGTTAACGACCTAGTATGAAAAAAACACAGAAACTTGGAAATGTCATTTTCACATGAATAGACAGTACACAGAAAGGAAAAAAAAATTGCTCTTAAACATATGAAAAAAGAGTCCAACCTGACTTCATAATATCACAAGTATAAAAGTATATTGAGATACCATTTTTTTAACCTAGGAGATTGGAACAAATCCCAAAGCATAGTAACACACTGCATTGTCGAGGCTGTGGGGACCCAAGGTCTCTCACACACAGCTGGTGAAAATGTGAACCAATGCAAGCACCATATGGGTTAATTTGGGAATATCCATTAAAATTACAAGTACAAATACATTTGACCCAGCTATCATATGTCTGTAAACTTATCCCACCCAAATACTTGTACATGTGAGAATGCCTGTGCATAAGAATATTCATTGCAGCTTTTTTGTGTAATAGAAAAAGATTGAAAGTAACTCATATGTCTATTGGTAGGAGACTGATTGAATAAATTACATTATACTATCCATCAGAATAAATAATGCAATGCACCACATCTGAAAAAGAGGAACGAGAAAACTGTACTGATGTAGAAAGATATACATTTCAATGAAAAAAAGCAAGTTGCAATACAGTATTACAGCAGGCAACTATTTATGTTAAAAAGTGTGGAAAACAAGAATACACATTGTATTTGCATGTGTTCACATAAAGATACCATGTAATAATACACAAATAATGAAGAGATGTAATGGCCTCTTTGGGGGTGAAGAGAGGAAGGGGAAGGTATTATTTTTGTACATTTGAATATATTGTTTATTACAGGGATTAAATTTAAAAAGAAAGAACTGCTATTTTCTAAACTGCGGTACATTTTTGAATGCTTCTAAAAGACTGAAATGAAGTTGACTACAGAAAGATGTTTTGTGCCATTTCTGCTGGTTATCTGCTAACGTAGTAGGCAGCCTCTATGATGCCCCCACCAATGCCTGCCTCCTGGCATTCATGCTCTTGTGTAATCCCCTCTCCTCACACGTGAGCTGGACTTACTCACTTCTAATAAATGGAACATGTCATATGTGATGAAATGTCACTTCCAAGGTTAGGTCATAAAAAGGCTGTAACTCCCACCTTGGGTAGCAATGCAAGGTGAAATGTGTCCCTTTACAATTTATATGTTAAACTCCTAACTCCCAATGTGAATGCATTTGGAAATAGGACCTTTACAGAGCTCATTAAGGTTCAATGAGGTCATAAGGGTAGACCTATAATCTGATAGGATTGTGTCCTTATAAGAAGAGAAGCCAGGCACTGTGGCTTACTTCTGTAATCCCAATGCTTTGAGAAGTTAAGGTGGGATGATTACTTGAGCTCAGGAGTTGGAGACCAGGCTGGGCAACATAGTGAGCCCCCATCTGTTTAAAATACTTTTTAAATAATTATGGCTGGGTGCAGTGGCTCATGCTTGTAATCCCAGCATTTTTGGAGGCCAAGGTGGGAGAATCGCATGAGCCCAAGAGTTGGAGAGCAGCCTGGGCAACACAGTGAAACCCCAATTCTACCAAAAAAAAGAAAAAAGAAAAATTAGCCAGGCATGCTGGTGTACACCTGTAGTCCCGACTACTTGGAAGGCTGAGGCCAGAGGATTGCTTGAGCCTTGGAGGTTGAGGCTGCAGTGAGCCATGATTGTGCCAGTGCACTCCAGCCTGGGGAACAGAGCAAGACCCTATTTACAAAAAGAAAGAAAGAAAGAAGGCAACACCAGAGCTTTCTCTCTCTCTTTACTAGGTGAGGACACAGAGAGAAGGCTGCTATCTACAAGCCAGGAGGAGAATCCTCACTAGACACCAACACTCTGGGACCTTGATCTTAGACTTCTAGCTTCCAGAACTGGGAGAAAATAGATTTCCTATTGTGTAAGCCACACAGTCAATGGTGTCTTGGTATGGTAGCCTGAACGTGCTCCTACAGGTGACAGGTGTGCTCTCTCTCTCTCTCTGTCATTGCTTGTTCTAGAGGGAGTCAGGAGCCACATCACAAAAGAGCTCCACGGAGAGGCCCAGGTGACAGAGGCCTGAGGCTCATTGACAGCCACGTGAAAAAGCTTGGAAGCCAACCCTCTCCACATCAAGCCTTGAGATGACTTCACCCCTGGCCAGCAACATGAGAGGCCCTGAGCCAGAGCAACTTGACTAAGCTGCTCCCAGGCCTCTTACCTACAGAATCTGTGAGATACTGAATGTTAGTTGTGTTCAGCTGCTATGTTTGGGGGTAATTTGTTACACAGCAGTAGATAACTGATGCATCCACACAACAAGTTATTCCAAAGCTTAGCAGCCTGAAACAACAAACACTTATTATGGCACACAGTTGCTGTAGCTCAAAAATTGGTACTGGCGTAGCCATTGGTCCAGCTCAGGGCTCCTCATGGTTGCCATCAAGATGTTGGCCAGGGCTGCACTATTGGTTCAGATGGGGCTTGGGAGCCACTTCTAAGGTGGGTCACTCACAGGCTGCTGGAAGGAGGCCTCTGTTCCTGGCTGTGGGCAGAAAGTCTCAGCTCTCCATCACATGGGTCTCTCCACTGGGCTGCTTGAGGGTCCTTTCAACGTGGCAGCTGGTTTCCCCCAGAGCAAGTGATGCAAGAGAGAGAGAGAGAGGAGAGAGAGTGTGTGTGTGGCCCTGGATGTCACACACTATATATAATACCCTATTAGTGACACAGGTCAGCCCTATTCAGTGTCAGGAGGAAACTTCCCAATGGAGTGTACTCCAGAATCAGGGACCCTTGGGGAGCAGGTTGAAGACTCTGTGGAGACAGGATTTTTCCCTTGACCTTGACCCCCTCCCGGAGTGGTACATTTCACTCAGCCTGCAGTCTGTGGACAGCTAAGTGTTAACAGCTCAGTGAAGAGTTAGGATGACAGACTCCTGCACCTGCCCTTTTTGACACAGTTTTTGTTGGGTGTCCAGGAAGAACCAAGTCACATGAACTGTTTGAAAGACAATGAATGTGTAAGGCTTTATTGAACAGTGGAAGTGACTCTCGATGGAAGGGGAGCTGGAAAGGAGATGGTGCAGGAAGAAGGTGATCTTTCCCTGAAGCCCAGCCGTCTCTGGCTGAGCTCGCCTCCAAAGCTGCACCATCTGAAGTTCTCCTGCGCTCAGTTGCTGTTTCTCAGCTCCCCACTCAGCCGCTTGTATCCCGGCCCATCAGCAGCTTGTGTTGTTCTCTTCTTTTTTTCCTGCCACCTGGTCTGGCTTTTAGGTACACAGGACAGGGGGCAGGGTGAGCCAAAAAGGCAATCATTTGGAATGGGGTCAGCTGCTTTCACTTAGGGCCGTGTGTCCAGACTTGTGGGTGGAGTTTAGCTGGGAGCCCAGCCCTTCTGTATCAGGATCAGCTGTTTTCGCTTAGGATGGAGGGTTCCAGCTTGAGGGTGGAGTTTAGCTGGGAGCCCAGCCCTTCTGTATCAGGATCAGCTGTTTTCGCTTAGGATGGAGGGTTCCAGCTTGAGGGTGGAGTTTAGCTGGGAGCCCAGCCCTTCTGTATCAGGATCAGCTGTTTTCGCTTAGGATGGAGGGTTCCAGCTTGAGGGTGGAGTTTAGCTGGGAGCCCAGCCCTTCTGTATCAGGATCAGCTGTTTTCGCTTAGGATGGAGGGTCAGCTTGAGGGTGGAGTTTAGCTGGGAGCCCAGCCCTTCTGTATCAGGATCAGCTGTTTTCGCTTAGGATGGAGGGTTCCAGCTTGAGGGTGGAGTTTAGCTGGGAGCCCAGCCCTTCTGTATCAGGGTCAGCTGTTTTTACTCAGGGTGGAGGGTCCAGGTTTGAGGGTGGAGTTTAGTTGGGAGCCATTCTGTATCACTAGGACAACATTGATAACACAGTCCCAGGGCTGTGGGTGGGTATGAGGATTGGGGGGTTTCAGGATTCAGGTTTAGGGATGAACAAAGAATGCTTGAGCCTTATCACGTAACTACTGCTAACTACTTGGTGCTTTCCTTTCCTATAAATTTATATGGAACCTACATAAAGAAGAGGGAATTAACATAAATGATAATATACTAAATATACCTGTTGGTGATTTTTTTTTTTTGAGACAGGGTCTTGCTCTGTCACCAAGGCTGGAGTACAGTGGCAGGATCTTGGCTCACGGTAACCTTGACCTCCCAGGCTCAGGTGATCCTCCCACCTCAGCCTCCTGAGTAGCTTGGGTTAGAGGCGCATGCCACCATGCCGGGCTAATTTTAGTATTTTTGTAGAGACAGTGTCTCTGTATATTGTCCAGGCTGGTCTCGAACTTCAAGGCTCACGCTATCTGCCCACCTCAGCCTCCCAAAGTATTGGGATTACAGGTGTGATCCATGGCGCCAGGCCACTACTAGAGACTTTTTATACAACAGTATGTCATGGAATTCTATGTTAGCACATATAGGTCTACTTTATGTTATTTGGTTTTTTTAAAAAAAGTTATGGCAGTGAGGTGTTTAATATTGTCTTTTAAAATATACATAAACAGTGTAGATACATTTGAGTAATACTGAATTTTTAGAAAAAATCTATTGGAGTGTCATATATGAAAGAATAAGAGATTTGGGAATGCTTTTTTTAATTGGACAAGAAAACTGATCAAATCTAAATCTGGACAAACTGGAAACAGAAAGTTTGGGTGCTAGCAATACAAACTATAGACACATTCATTCTATCATCACTTCTACGTCAGAAGTATCAGAGAATTGCGATGCCTGCAAATGCATGCTCATACACACCAAGACATCCATTAAAAAAATAAAGCCAAGCTTTCCAGAGCATTTAGCACTAATTTAATGTACTTGTTCTTCCAAATATTGCAAGGTAGGATGGGATTTCTAAAGATAAGGGAATAAAGAACCGAGGCAAAGACAGCCAGCACATACACACTGAATCACTCTCTATAATCATATTGCTAGAACACCGTCAGGGAGTAGCCCTGAAATCACAGACCTGCTGCCATGACGTGCAATTACAGGACAGAGGTGCCAGGAGGAGAAGAGCCCATTGTGACCAAGGAAAGCCTTTGTGAGAAGACTACTTCAGGGTGCTCCCCATCAGAGGAGCACACCCCTGATCTTGTATTCCTCATTGGTCCAAGGTTCGTGTGAATTGGTCAGGTGGGGAATTTTTTCTTCCACAGACATCAGCCTCTTCTGAGTTTTTTTTTTTTTTTTCATCAAAGGCAGATTTGTGCAGCCTTAAATCTTCCGATGTAGGGAAGATGGTTAAGTTTCCTTTCAGCTACAGTGACACCAAGCATCCACAGTGCACAGTCCGGGTGGCTCAAAGCCTCACACAGCACCACCACCACATCAGCATCCAAGGTAACCAACCCAGTCGAAGTTCAGGCTCCTCCATGTTTTGCAGGCAGTGAGTGCCACAGCAAGGTCTTCACAGCAGGCACGGGTGATCGGCTATGTTTGCAGTGCAAGACACTCTCATCTACAGTGAGGGTGCTTCAAAGCATCACATAACTGTTTGACACCAGCGCCTCGTATTTCATCATGCCCAAGTTTCAGGGTCTTCAGTGTTTCATTGCAAATAAGAACAGCAGCAATGTCCCTATAGGAAACGGAAGTAAGGAAACAGTCCATCAACAACAACTCCTGTATGTTTCAGTCTTAGTGCTTCAGTGCTTCACACAGAGATGCCACTTCATTATCTTCCAGGAAATTTGACCCCAGGTCAAGGAGGGACAGGGATTTACTGCAGAAAAGGACGTGGGAAATGTCTTCACAGGAGACACAGATGAGACAGCAGTACATCAACATCAGCGTCTCCAGGGCACAGCAACATCATTCTTTTGTCCTTTTCGGGATTTTCTACCAAGGAGAGATGTATCAGCTTGCTGTTGCAGGCCAGGACAGAGGCGATGTCTTCACAACCTTCATCGGAGATGTCACATGTTCCCAGCATCAGCTCTTCTATCTTGCATGTTGTGTGCTTCAATGTCTCACACAGGTGGCTGACATCAGTATGGGAGAGGCTAGTGCCATACAGGCTCAGAAGTTTCAGATGAGGGTCGTGAAGAACTGCCTTAAATAATTCTGAATCATTTCCAAAGTTAGACATAAAAGTAAATTTGGGTTTTTGGGGCTTACAACAGGCTGAGCCAGCGCTTTGCCAAGAATTGCCAGGGAGGCATCACCGAGGCTACTGTTTTCCATGTCTATCATCTGGAAGTTCTTGTTGGTACTGAACATTAAGCAAAGCTCCCGCCAGTAGATGAGCTTCGCATTGTGATCTGAGATGCATCCTGAGAAATCTGGAAAATATTCTCTACACACATGCGAAGTGTAGTTAAATTTTGACAATGCTTCCGGCAGAATGAAGATACTACCAAATGTTCTATGTTACCAGTACAAATGAAAACTTCTTCAAAGAAATTTATCACTTCTGTTACAAATTCTTTTTCCTGAGTTGCAAATAAATCATGGAATAATTCCTGGAAACCTATCACTTCCCTATCAGCTTCTCATTGACTTAAACTTTTAAGGCACTGGGTTATTTCCTTCTTTAGGTCTTTTAACAGTGGAAAACCAAAGGATGTCTCCAGCAAGCTGATGATTTCTTCTGTTGAAATTCCAAACACGAATACCCCCACCTGGGTCGAGTGGGTTTGAGGCTGAGCCACACTTGCTCTTACAAGCTGGGTTATGCTTCCAATGGTTGGGTTAGGATCATCTTTGGGTCGTTTGAGCAAATAAAACATGGTGGCACAAAACTCTTGGATACATACATGGATGAAGGTAAAACACTCACCTCACCTTTGGAGAAGTTTCATACCCACCCACATTAAGCCCTCAGACTCAGATAACCCATTCCTCCAGAGATCCCATGGCAAAATACAAATGCATGTGTCCAAATTCCCTCTGCAGCCAAAGCACACAGGCTTTTTAGTCGGGCTCTGTTCACCTTAGGTGGAAAACTCTGACTTCCTGCTTTAAATACATTTGTTAAAAATGATGCATTCATTTTTAACAAATGAATGAAGGTGTTTTGGGAGTTTATTTCAAGGTCTTCTCCCCTTTCTAGCTGCCATTTCATACAAGTACAGACCAACCAGCATATAAAGGGATTATGGCACAAGATAAACCGCTGTCCAGTATCTCTCACAAAATGGAAGGCCTTCAAGGCTTTATTCTTCTCGCTGAAGAAGTAGGAGAAATACAGCTTCCTTTCAAGTTCAGTGAATCCTGGGAGCTTTATGAGTTTTGGATGCTACAACATAAAATAGTTTTTTTGCATACCCACTTTTCCTAATGCAATAAGCAGAGAGGATTCTGGAATCATCTTTTTTTGCAACAAACTGCTCAGGATAATTTGTGTTGGCTGCTGCTGCCTCCAGTCATCACACAAGTCAGCCTTAAGTTCCAAGTCAAACTTCAGTTGCTCAAAGCCATCCATGATGAACAGAATTTGCTCTGGCTGGGGAAAAAAATGTCTTTGATGTTCTCTGGAGACTCAGGCCAGTCCCTAGAGAGGAGCTCCAGTAAGCTGGTCTCTGTGATACCGTTCGTTTCATAGACATTAAGGAAAAAAACAAATGTAAATCTATCCTTCCATAAGTTTCCCTCTGCCCAGTCCAACATCACTTTTTTTTTCTTTTTTTTTTTTTTTTTTTTTTTTTTTGAGACTGAGTCTTGTTTTGTCGCCCAGGCTGCAGTGCAGTGGTGCGATCTCAGCTCAGTGCAACCTCCACCTCCCAGGTTCGAGTGATTCTCCTGCCTCAGCCTCCCAAGTAGTTGGAAATATAGGCATGCACCAGCACGCCCAGCTAATTTTTGTATTTTTAGTGGAGACGGGGTTTCACCCTGTTGGCCAGGCTGGTCTTGAACTCCTGACCTCAGGTGATCCGCCCGCCTTGGCCTCCCAAAGTGCTGGGATTACAGGCGTGAGCCACTGCGCCTGGCCCATCACTTTTCTTAAAAGGGCTGTTTTTCCAATTTCATCAGAACCCTCCAGGACCACAGTGAATAGTCTAGCCTCAGCAGTATATGCATCATTCAATACTTTGACTCATTTTTCATGGTTTCTTTGTAGAAATGCTCAGGGACATGAAGACAGGTTTCCTTTTCCCATACAAGTTGAAATTTTTCTTTCATATGCTTTCTATATGGGTTTAGCTTATTTCTTATCTCTTCCTGAGGCTTCATCCAGAGATCTTTCCTATTGATCTGAAGAAATAGGTTCAGTGTCACCTCCCATGCCTGTTTTCATGGATAATGTTTGTCCAACAGCTTTGCTACATCTTCTTTGGAAGCTCAGTCCAGGTGATTCACTTGAGTTCCAATTTCAAAGGTTCTTATTTGAGGAGCTCCTTAAATCTCCAAAAACTCTTCGTTTCTGAGCTGCTTCAGCTACCAAAACAAGCCAAAATCTGACAAAAAAAAAAAAAAAAAGGATTCTGCCATATTGTCCCAGATTGTGAGCTCAGATATCTCCAGAGGGAAAAGAAAGATCCTGAAAAATAAAGAATAAATGATACCCAATCCAGCTCCTGGTCCTTCCAGCTGGTACTTATCCTAATTTATGCTATTTTAACTGGCATATGGCACTTCACAGTATGTTTATAGACTGTTTTATTTAACTATTCACTTATTGGTGTACTTTTCGGTGAGTTCAAGTTTTGCACTAGGAAAAATAATAATAGACAATCTCAAAAGGTTATGTACCATATGATTCCATTTCTATGATATCCTCAAAAAAAAAAAAAAAAACTATAGTGATGGAGAACAGATCACAAGGGCCAGAGGTAAGGGGTGGGGGAAGGAGTGTGTTACTACAAAAGGTTAATGTGAGGAAATTTCCAGTGCCCTGATGGTGGTGCCAGTTACACCAATCTATACCTGTGTAAATGTCATGGAACTACACAGAGACAAGATGTCAATTTTGATAAGTGGTAATTTTTTTAAAGTAAATTGATTTTTAAAAGTAATCATATATGTACAATGCTGCTGTGACCATCCATATGACACCCAACACAAGGAGATTGCTCTAGGGCAGCCTATAGGAAGAGAGATACCAAGTCACAGGTTATCACATCTTTGATTTCAATATTTTCTGCCAATCCCCTTGAAAGCAGCTACACAGATGGGCTTTTTTTTTTTTAATTAGCAAATTTTGTTTCATATATTTGAGGTTCACAATGTGATGTTTTGGGGTACATATAGATGTTAAAAATGGTTACTGCAAAAGAAATAAAACAAAAAAAGAGACAGAAAATAAAATAAAACAATTACTATGGTGAAGCAGATTGACATGACCGTCGTCTCACATGGTTCCTTTTTTGTGACAAGAGCAGCTAAAATCTACGTATTTAACAAAACCCCTAATACAACTTTGTTAACTTTCGTCCGCCTAATGCACCCTGGACCTCTAGACCTGTTTATTTGGCATATCTGCTCATTTGTATCCTTTGACCCACATTGCGGCATTGTAACATAGTCACAATAACCAAGACACAGAAACAACCTGAATGCCCATGAGCGGACGAATGGATAAAGACAATGTGGTTCCGTAGAGGGAGAGAATGGAATAGTATTCAGCCTTTAAAAAAGGGGCTGGGCGTGGTGGCTCAAGTGTGTAATCCCAGCACTTTGGGAGGCCAAGGCAGGCGGATCATGAGGTCAAGAGATCGAGACCATCATGGCCAACATGGTGAAACCCCGTCTCTACTAAAAATACAAAAATTAGCTGGGCGTGGTGACACATGCCTGTAGTTCCAGCTACTTGGGAGGCTGAGGCAGGAGAATCGCTTGAACCAGGAGGCTGAGGTTGTGGTGAGCCAAGATCACGCCACTGCACTCCAGCCTGGGTGACAGAGTGAGACTCCATCTCAGAAAAAAAAAAAAAAAAGGAGATCCTGCCGTGTGCCACAACATGAATGAACCTGGTGGACATCATGCTAAGTGAGATCCAGACACAGAAAGACAAATCCTGCATCATCTCACTTATATGTGGAATATTTTCTAAAGAGCTCAAATATGCAGACACAAAGAATGAAACAGTCATTACCACAGGTGGGGTCTGGGGAAACGGGGAGATGTGGGTTAGGGGATACAAAGCAGAGACGTAGCATGGGCTTTTCTTAAAGGCAACATGGCCTCAGGGATAGTTCCTGCTATGGACTCTATGGGGGACCTCAACAGAGAAGTGAAAATCTATATATTAAAAATCCTCAATATCCCCAATCTATTTTCCAAACTGCTGTCCTTTCTTTTTACTGGGGTAGATTCACAATGCAGGTACAGAATGAGAAATAAAGCAGAAAAAGAGGAAATCAGAGGAGGAGTTGAGAACTCAAGTACCTACAGGGCCCAGCTGGTAACATTAAAAAACAATTATTATCATAAGTGTAGCAAACATTGACAGAGCTCTTTCAAGACGTCAGGCACTGGCTGATATGGTTTGCCTCTGTGTCCCCACCCAAATCTCATCTTGAATTGTAATCTCCACATGTCAAAGGAGGGACTGACGGGAGGTGATTTGATCATGGGGGTGTTTTCCCCCATGCTGTTCTCATGATAGTGAATTCTCAGGAAATCTGATGGTTTAAAAGCGTGTGGCTTCCTTCACTCTCTCTCTCTCCCTCCTGCCACCATGTAGACTGCCTTGCTTCCCCTTCACCCTCCGCCGTGATGGTAAGTTTCCTGAGGTCTCCCCAGCCATGCAGAACTGTGAGCCAATTCAACCTCTTCTTTATAAATTACCCGGTCTCAGGTAGTATTCTTTATAGCAGTGTGAGAACAGACTAATTCACTGGCCAAATGACTTTCCACATCACAATGTATTTGATCCTCACAACACACCTCTAAAGTAGGTTACCTTCATATCCCCCATATTACAGGTGAGGAAACTGAGGCACAAAGAGAGTGAGCAAAATACCTGATATTACAGCTAGAAAATAGCAGAACTCAATACAAGGCAGTTCAGAATGCATAACCGTAAGTGGATGAAATCAGCCAGGAGTTAGAATCCTGACATTCCATATTGCATTTTCAACACCGCACCTGACAACCAGAGTGAGGATCAAGGACGTGAGGGCAGATGTGGCAGGCAGCAGCTCCACGCGTGGCTGTCCTTGGAAAACACACCCTCAGCATCAACAGATATTTCATCTTTTTGTGGAAAGAGCTCAAACTTGGGATTTCTTTATAAAGTGTCTCAATTTTAAAATATGGACTCGGCTTATTGTAATAACTGTAGATCATCTTATGATCTGTGAATTAGAACTAGATAATGTTGTGTTGACACAAATTGCCAGCCCTCTGTGATTCATTTAGACCAGCTTGAGGAGCTCACCCAAGGATACCCTCTCTTTATCTATGATTGCATCACAAAACTAAATAACACACTAAATCTTAGTGACTTACAATGAAAACAGTTTGCTTATTATTATGGTTTATTGATTGTAATTTATTATGATGGTTTATTAATTACTATAACTATTGCTCATGAGTCTGCAGTTCTGCTGACCTAAGTCATGCTCGGCTGGTTGTGACTGGACTCACTCATATATCTGTGGTCAGATGCCTGGTCGGCTGGGGGCTGGCTGGTCTAGAATGGCACACAAGACACTGGTTCTACTGCATGCTGTTAACAAAAGCAAGTCAAGCGACCAGGCTGTGTTTTCCACTTAGGCATGAGGAAATAGACAACGAAGTCCTAGGCATGGAGCCCAGGCAGGGGAGGTGATAAGGCTGCAAAAATAACCTCACTTCCTTGCCACTGCACTCATTTTGTGGCCTTACCCCCTCCTCTGCCCCAGCTTTGCACCTAGGACTTTGTTGATTGCTTCAATAAAAGCCAAAGGCTAGAAAGGAACAATTAAACTTTCACCAGTGCTATTAAGTGAAATTATTCATTGACATCTGATAAATTCAAACTATTCAGGTCCAATTTTATTGTTTGCTCTTATTCCCATTGAAACAGTCATCAAAGGAAGCTGAAGTTAGAAGTTGAACCCTGTCAGGAGTTAATTCTATGGATTGCATACCTTAAAGGTAATAGGAAAAAAGTGAATAAATAGCCTTAGCTGAGGCGGAAGTTCGGCACTATATGAAGACCATCACCCTCTCAGAAGGCTTTTCCCACCTTCCTCCTAGAATGTGTGGAGTTGTGTGAATCTAACATGTTAACATGCAGAACAGTGCTTAGAACAAAGGGAGGACAATGTAAGTGTAAACTATTACTCTTATCATTTCTAAGTCCCACCATGTTTTACTAAGAACCTACTTAGTGCATGATGTTGTGATAAATGTGTGTTGTGGGATTTAATAAATGCTCCCTGAATTGAGAGCAGCCTGTCACTTTTGTTTGCTACTTGACTTTCTTTCCTTCCTTCCTTCCTTCCTTCCTTCCTCCCTCCCTTCCTTTCTCTCTCTCTCTCTCTTTCTCTCTTTCTTTCACAGAGTCAGGCTCTATCACCCAGGCTGGAGTGCAATGGTGCCCAGCTCTCTGCAACCTCTGCCTCTGGGGTTCAAGCGATTCTCGTGCCTTAGCCACTCGAGTAGCTGGGATTACAGGCACGCACCACCAAGCCCGGATAATTTTTGTATTTTTAGTGGAGACAGGGTTTCGCCATATTGGCCAGGCTGGACTCGAACTCCTGACCTCAAGTGATCCACCCACCTTGGCCTCCCAAAGTACTGGTATTATGGGCATGAGTCACCACCCCGGCCACTGCTTGACTTTCTAAGTGAGACATTCACATTCTGGACCTGCAGTAAACAGATTTGCAAAAGCCAGGAATGCAGATGAATAAGGTTAGTTCCATGTTCTTCTCCCCCTCCACACACACACTCTTTAGATTATGTGGTAAATATACAATGACACCCCGGAGATGTCCACATCTTAATCCCTGGAACCTGTGGAGGTGTTACTGACATGGCCAAATGGATTTTGTAGGGGTGACGTATTAGTCTGTTCTTGCACTGCTATAAGGAAATAACTGAGGGTGGGTAATTTACAAAGAAAAGAGGTTTAAATGGCGCACAGTTCTGCAGGCTGCACAGGAAGCCTGGTAGCATCTGCTCCTGGGGAGGCCTCAGGGAGCTTTGATTCATAGCAGAAGGTGAAGTGGAAGCAGATATCTTACATGGCAGGAGCAGGGCCAAAGGTGGGTGGAGGTGCCACACACCTAACCGGATCTCATAGGAACTCACGCACTCACCCTCCTGAGAACAGCATGGAGACAATGGTGCTGAACCATTGATGAGAACTCCGCCCCCATGATCCAATCCCCTCCCACCAGGCCCCGCCTCCAACCCTGGGGATAACAATGCAGCAGGAGATTTGGGTGGAGACACAGATCCAAACCACATCAGGTGATTATGTGAGCAGATCATCTGGGATTATCCCAAGAATCAAAATGTTTATAATAGGGAGACAGAGTCCCAGAACAATAGGAGATGCAAGGACACGCAGAGGTCAGAGAGACCTGAAGACGCTGTCCTGCTGGCAGTAAAGATGGAAGAAGGGGCTGTATGAGTCCATTCTCGCACTGCTATGAAGACATACCTGGGACTGGGTAATGTCTAAAGAAGCGAGGTGTCATTGGCTCATGGTTCTGCAGATGGTACAGGAAGCAGAGTGGCTTTGGCTTGGCTTCTGGAAAGGCCTCAGGGAGCTTTCAATCATGGTGGAAAGCAAAGGGAGAGCAAGCACTTCCCGTGGGTGGAGCAGGAGGAAGGGGGGAGGCGCTGCACACTTAAATCACCAGATCTCAAAAGAACTCACTATCACCAGGACAGCACCAAAGGCGATGGGGCTAAACCATTCATGGAGGATCCAAACCCATGACCCAATCACCTCCCACCAGGCCCCACCTCCAACATCGGGTATAACCATTCTACATGAGATTTGGGCAGGGACATGGATCCAAACCACGTCAGCGGCCACGAGGCAGGGAATTGGGCAGCCTTTAGGAGCTGTAAGAGGCAAGAAACTGATTCTCCCCGAGTCCTCAGCAGGAAGGGAGCTCTGCCAACACCTTGATGTTAGGACTTCTGACCTCGGAACTGTCTGATAATAAATGCATGCTGTTTACAGTCACCAGATTTGTGGTGATTTATCACTGCAGCAGTAAGATACTAATACAGAGGGATATGGGGGCAGCATACCCTCATCAGTTCTCAGCCTCCCCACTCCCGTCAAGAAAGAGCCCAGCACAGGGGCTGTCCTCAGGGTCTCTGGGACCAGCCTGCCTGTGTGAATCCCAGCTCTCACACAAGCCATTTGAATCCCCTGTGTCTCAGTTTCCTTACCTACACAATGGGCATAATACAAACTCATGCCTCATAGCGCTGATAGAAGGATTTACCCAATTAATACATGAAACGCGTTTCCAGTTTCCAGCACATATAAAAAATATGTCCTGATTTCTAGGGATTGGAAAACCAGTTTGAGAAGAAAGACAGTTCTTGGTGTTAATATTATGTATCTCCATTTCTAATTAAATTCAAGGAGAGAAGAAAAGAAACAACTGCTTCTGCAAACCTGGGTTTGCAGCGTTTCTCCGTGCAAGCCTTAGAGATCTGTGCACAAGTGTGTGTTGTGTGGGCCTGTTAGCATGTGTAACTTTTGACGGATCACTTATCTTAGTTATTGCTTTCTATTTTATTTCCCCTGGACCCCAGTAATAACTTGGGCCCTTCTATGGTATGAAAGATCTCTGAAAATAATTCAGACCCTGTTGGATGCCTACTAAAACATGATTGAATTAAGCTTAAACTTCAGATGGCCTTTATCTAGAGGGGTAACACAAGTAAAAGATTTTTTCATGTAAAAGGCTAGACATCACATTGGTTGCCATCTCCCTAAAGCCCTTGTAGACCTAGAAACATTAAAAAATAAATAAATAAATAAAATAAAAACACCTCGTGCATCTCGTTGATGCCCATCCTTCTCTATGGAGAAACATGCATTTGCTGGAATCCAGGAAGAGCCCACCATAGTGTCCCCCTGTGTTGCCCTCTGGCGCTTTTCTCCTCACCCCCACCCGGGTTCAGGTGCTCTGTGGTCAGTGCTGTGTGGAAGGCTGGAATGGAAATCGCCCAGATATTGTACCTATGCAAATGGAGTGACCAGTTGATTTGTAATGGTCGTTATGGTACAAATACATTTCGTCTGGAACATTTCTTGAAGGACAGTCCTTGTTATTTGGCTTTGCAAGCTCATGAGGAAAGTAATTTGTAGGACATGAAAAAGAGATTTGTTTCTTATTGTGTGGCAACAGGATTAATAATTAATCAATGAGTTAGCCCTAAGCTCCATTCATGTGTATGTAAGTATCTATTCCACACCTCTGGATGGGTACCTAAAAGGCACCTGTAACTCATTCTAACCACACGGGTTCTTGGTTTTTGTTCTACTGTTCATTCCTCCCCCTAAGAGTAGACTCAGCAGCACAGAACGGAAATCACAAAATAACAGCTGCATAAACATAACGGGCCTTATTCTCCCACATAAAAGGCATTGAAAGATGGACAGCTCAGGCCTGACACAGAGACCCCATGAAGTAATCAGGGACCAAGGCTTTTTCTACCCAAAGGTCACAAAGTGGCCCCTGAAGCTCCAACTACCATATAGCCATTCCAGGTAGCCGGAAGGAGAGGTAAGAGGTGGGCCCCTCTCGGCTGAGCCAGAACTTTTAAAGGCCCTTCCTGGAAGTTCCTTCCGAAGATGCCACTTTTATCTGATTGGCCAGGACTTAGTCACATGCCTAAACCAAACTGCCAGGAAAGCCAGAAGGTGCAGACTTTTTGATCTCAGCAAGTTGCCACCCCTGAGAAAGGCCGGGCTCTGAGGCCGAGAGAGGACAAGGGAACACCAGTGGGGCAACAGCAGTACCAGCTACCCCTCCAAACCGCTCTCTCAGCTACCTCCTCCAAACTGCTCCTCCCTCAGCTACCTCCTCCAAGCTGCTCCTCTCTCAGTTACCCCCTCGAAACTGCTCCTCTCTCAGCTACCCACTCCAAACCGCTCCTACCTCACCTACCCCCTCCAAACCGCTACTCTCTCACCTACCTCCTCCAAACTGCTCCTCCCTCAGCTTCCCCCTCCAAGCCACTCTTCTCTTAGCCACCCCCTCCAACTGCTTCTCTCTCAGCTCCCCGCTCCAAGCCACTCCTCTCTCAGCTACCCACTCCAAGCCACTCCTACCTCACCTACCCCCTGCAAACTGCTCCTGTCTCAGCTACCTCCTCCAAACTGCTCCTCCCTCAGCTACCCCCTCGAAACCGCTCCTATGTCACCTACCCCCTCCAAACCGCTCCTCTCAGCTACCCCCTCCAACCCGCTCCTCTCAGCTACCCCCTCCAACCCGCTCCTCTCAGCTACCCCCTCCAAACCGCTCCTCTCTCAGCTACCTCCTCCAAACCACTCCTACCTCACCTACCCCCTCCAAACCGCTCCTCTCTCAGCTACCCCCTCCAAACCACTCCTCTCTCAGCTACCCCCTCCAACCCGCTCCTCTCTCAGCTACCTCCTCCAAACCACTCCTACCTCACCTACCCCCTCCAAACCGCTCCTCTCTCAGCTACCCCCTCCAAACCGCTCCTACCTCAGCTACCCCCTCCAAACCGCTCCTACCTCAGCTACCCCCTCCAAACCACTCCTACCTCAGCTATCCCCTCCAAACCGCTCCTCTCTCAGCTACCTCCTCCAAACCACTCCTACCTCACCTACCCCCTCCAAACCGCTCCTCTCTCAGCTACCCCCTCCAAACCACTCCTCTCTCAGCTACCCCCTCCAACCCGCTCCTCTCTCAGCTACCTCCTCCAAACCACTCCTACCTCACCTACCCCCTCCAAACCGCTCCTCTCTCAGCTACCCCCTCCAAACCACTCCTACCTCAGCTACCCCCTCCAAACCGCTCCTCTCTCAGCTACCTCCTCCAAACCGCTCCTCTCTCAGCTACCTCCTCCAAACCACTCCTACCTCACCTACCCCCTCCAAACCGCTCCTCTCTCAGCTACCTCCTATAAGCCACCTCTCCCCAGACTTGCCCACCTCATGAACGGCACCCCCAGCTGCTCCAGCCAAAACCACAGCAGCACCTCTGGCTCACTTGCCTGCATCCTCCACACCTCATTGAACAGCAGGATGCACCAATTTTCCACACCCAAAATACATCTATTCCTGCCCACGTCTCTCTGCATCCCCGCTGCTACCCTACCCCCGAGACGTTACAGTAAGTGTAAACTATTGCTATTATCATTCCTAAGTTCCACCGTGTTTTGTTAAGAACCTACTGACCGGATGTGGTGGCTCACGCCTCTAATCCCAGCACTTTGGGAGGCCGAGGTGGGCAGATCACAAGGTCAGGAGATCACGACCATCCTGGCCAACATGGTGAAACCCCATCTCTACTAAAATACAAAAAAAAAATTAGCCAGGTGTGATGACACGCACCTGTAGTCCCAGCTACTTGGGAGGCTAAGGCAGGGGAATCGCTTGAACCTGAGAGGCGGAGGTTGCAGTAAGCAGAGATCGCGCCATTACACTCTAGCCTGGCGACAGAGTGAGACTGTCTCAAAAAAAAAAAAAAAAAAAAGAACCTACTTAGTGCACGACGTTGTGATAAATGTGTGTTGTCAGATCTAATAAATGCTCCCTGAATAGAGAGCAGCTGGTTACTTTCGTTTGCTGCTTGACTTGAGACCCAGCTGCTCTCACTTTCCTATAACCCACTGTCCACAGAGCAGCCACTCCCCTACTTAGACCTCTCCTATGGCGTCCCACGACAGGTAAGTTAGAAACACAAACTGGCCACTGCCATCCAGAGCCCCCATGGTCTCAGCTCCATAAGCCCTGAGCACTTGTCCTGCCTCCACACCGCTCACTCCTGTCACAGGGCAGGCCCTTCTTCTCCTGTTCCTCCAACAGCCCAAGCCCTTCCTGCCTGGGGCTTCTGCACTTCCTCTTGCCTGTGTCTGGACAGCTTCATCTCAGCTGTGCGCATGCGACCTCATGACAATTCCACCTCAAAGCGATGCCCCTCCTCACAAGCACCCGCTCCCATCACCTGAGACCAAGTCTCACCCCACTCTTACACGCCCGTCACTCTGTAGCCCTGTTTTGTGTTTTTAATTATTATTTATTATTATTTATTTTCGAGACGGAGTCTCGCTCTGTCGCCCAGGCTGGAGTGCAGTTGCACGATCTCGGCTCACTGCAAGCTCCGCCTCCCGGGTTCATGCCATTCTCCTGCCTCAGCCTCCCGAGTAGCTGGGACTAGAGGCGCCCGCCACCACGCCCGGCTAATTTTTTGAATTTTTAGTAGAGACGGGGTTTCACCGTGTTAGCCAAGATGGTCTCGATCTCCTGACCTCGTGATCCGCCCGCCTCGGCCTCCCAAAGTGCTGGGATTGCAGGCGTGAGCCACCGCGCCCGGCCAGCCCTGTTTTATCTTCTTTACAACATGGCCGGGTGCAGTGGCTCACATCTATAATCCAGCACTTTGGGAGTCCAAAGCAGGAGGATCACTTGAGCCCAGGAGTTCTAGACCTGCCTGGCTAACACAGCGAGACTCTGTCTCTACAACACAGAAAAAAAAAAAATTAGCTGGGTATGGTGGCGTGTGCCTGTGGTCCCCAGCTACTTGAGAGGCTGGGGTGGGAGGATCGCTTGAGCCCAGGAGTTTGAGTCTGCAGTCAGCCATGGTCACCATGGCACTCCAGCCTGGGTGACAGAGCAAGATGCTATCCCAAAATAAATAAATAAAACCTATCATTACCTGCAATTATCTTTTTTTAAATGTACTGGCTTACCGGTTCATAGTTCGACTCTACCTGTTAAAACACAACCCCCCATGAGGACAGGGAGCCTGCGTTTCTTGATGTCAGATTCCTTAATGTGCAGAAGTGCATTTGATGCATAATAGGTGCTCAAAAGCTGTTAAATAAACAAATGACTGGAGGAGTGAACCCTTCTGAGGCAAGCATGCATGAGATCAGAAAGGATGGGCGCTGGAGAGGTGGAATGGGCCTGGGGATAATAACCCACCTCCCTGGGAAAGAACAAACCATGAAAACACCGACAAGTCAACCAAGACCAAAGCAGGAGACAACGAATGCTCAGAGTTCACGCCAAGAAAGCTGCCCGGCCACTCAGCAGGACACCAGATAGAGCTGTTGACTTTCTCGTGACTTTGCATCTGACCTGAAAGAACAGGAGAAAGAGGGATACTTCCTGGAATGATGAAATTACACCGGACAAGTTAATGAAAAATTCTCAGTTCCCACTGAGGCATTAAATAGTTGATTTCCACATGGAAGCCTCCATCGCTTGTGACAAACTGTTTCTTTATTTTTTCCACAGAAATGTTAGAGACGAAAAAGATGAACCAAGAAGACCTCCCTTGACTGCAGCCTTGCCAGTGAGCTTCATTGCTCACCAGTGAAGATTCAGCCAGCGGAGGAAGAACAGGAACATCCAAAGATGGATTATGCTTTCGCTTCCAATTAGAATGGGCTGTTAATTACATGTTTTGAATTGACTTGAGTTATAAATTGCTCATAGAGAAAGAGAGCTGTTTTCCTTTTCCCAAGTAATTCAGCATTGCCACCTTCCATCGGCAAAAAATAAAGTCCTCTCTTGAGAGATTTTCAAATTTCAGTAACTGAGGTTGTTAAACAAGAAAAGGCAAGTTTAGCTCTGAGAGCTCAGAAGTAATTCACATTTGGTTAATTTGGGACTCTCAGGCTGGCCATTATGTCTTTAGATCACTCGGGTTGACTCTGAATTAAAGCTGGCATCCCAAATCGCTGCAATTAATCTGCTGAGTACACTCGCCACCGAATGTCAGGATTTCACTCTGTAGGGCCTTCAAAAAACTTGGCATGGCTGATACACTGACAGCCGCAAAACAGCTAATTTCAACTGAGTTAAGAACTGCAATGGCCATATTGATCCGTTAAACACCATGCCATATTTGAGTGGGAGGTTACTCCCGATCTCCCTCTTAAAACCCTCACAGATTAAAGTCATGTGCCCGTCTGTGTATGAAATGAACATTTCAACGTTTAATCCTGGAGCACTGTATTTGAAGTGTGCCCGACCTTTATGTCCAACTCTTTCTTTCTGCCATTTCATTAAGTACTGGCTAGAAGACCAAAACACAGCCTTAAGCCAGAAGCCCAGGAAATACCTACACAACACATGTTTTGAGCTTTGGATCAAGATTTCATGAGGTTTTAGGATGAAATATCTCCAGTGAGACGCCGGGGAAGAAGATGGAAAGGTGCCCTTCATGTTATGCCATGCCTTCAGCTAGTTCACTCCAGAAATGACACATTCGCCCCTCCTGTTGGCATTTGGACCTGGTAGGAACCAGAGACACAGTCACTGAGGGATGAGTCAGAACTTAGTAATTATGTTTTCTGCTTCATTCCCTTAATTCATTTTAAAATATCATGTTTTAATCTACCAAAAAATGCTCACTTTGGAAAACCTGAAAAACTACAAAAAAAATGCATAAGAAAATAAAAATTACTCATAACCTTATCACCCAAATACACACGTGCATACCACTACAAGCTCTGGTTTATGCATATGTATGCATCATTTCAATAAATATATATACATGTTTACCTATTCTATATAATAAATATAAAATATATATATGTGTGTGTATGTGTGTATATATATATATATATGTATATATATATATATGTATATATATATATATATATACCAAGTAGTTCTAAAGAAAGCTTGTGCCAAACTACCAATGACAATCCCTCTAGCAGCACGTGAGAGCTTGGTGATTTTAAGGTGTTTGCGTCTTTAGCCGGCACTTTGATGTCTTCCTTTCTTCCACCAACCTGCCTTCTAATTCCACAGGGCAGAGAGCAAATGCTCTGACTGATTTCATCAGTATTCGGTGTAAAATGTCCCCGCTTCCCATCCTCTCGCCCCCACCCCTGCTATAGCAGTGGCTAATTGCCTAAGCAATCCACATAGTGGACAGCTTATTCGTGCAGGGGGCCCAGGTGCGTTGAGAAGCTCTGGAGGGTGACATGCACATTTTATTCTGGAAACATGGAGGTCCTGGGTTGGCACATAAATGGATGGTCTTAGCTTGGCTAAAATGTATCTGCACTGGTGTAGTGGGTTGAATCGTGGCCCTCCAAAGATATGTCTACCCAAAACCTAAGCATGAGATCTTATCTGGAGCACGTATCTTTGCAAATATAATGAAGGCAAGAATTTTTTTTTTGAGACAGAGTCTTGCTCTGTCACCCAGGCTGGAGTGCAATGGCACGATCTCAGCTCACTGCAACCTCCGCCTCCTGGGTTCAAGAAATTATCATGCCTCAACCTCCGGAGTAGCTGGGATTACAGGCACCCACCACCATGCCAGACTAATTTTTGTATTTTTAGTAGGGACAGGGTTTCCCCATGTTGACCAGGCTGGTCTCGAACTCCTGGCCTCAAGTGATCAACCTCAGCCTCCCATAGTGCTGGGATTACAGGCGTGAGCCACTGCACCCAGCCAAGGTGAGGATCTTGAGATGAGGTCATCCTGGATTTGGTCCTAAGGCTGAGAATGAGGATCCTGACAAGAGAGAGAAGAGGAGAAGACAGAGAGACACAGGGAGGAGGCCACGTGAACACAGAAGCAGAGATAGTAGCAATGCGGCCTCAGGCCAAAGAACATCTGGAGTCAGCAGGAGCTAGAAGAGGCAGGAGGGAGCCTCCCCTAGAGCCTCTGAAGGGAGCACAGCCCTGGCCATCCCTGATTTCAGATTCCAGCCACCAGACTGTGGGGTGACAATCTCTGTTGTTTTAAGCTTCCAAGTTGTGATGACCTCTTTTTTTTTTCTTTTTTCTTTTTTTTTAAGACAGAGTTTTGCTCTTGTCGCCCAGGCTGGAGGGCCGTGGTGCGATCTTGGCTCACTGCAACCTCTGCCTCCTGGGTTCAAGTGATTCTCCTGCCTCAGCCTCCTGAGTACACTCCACCTTCTCTGTCCCTCAATGAGCCTGTGGCCCCTGCAGACGCCTGTCCCACCTTCCCTGTCCTGCATGCTGCGCCAGGGACTCGCTTGTAAGGATGGATGAGCCGCTTGCTCATCCAGTGGCTTCTAGGTATGGGGAGTATCAACAGCCAAGCAGAAGGGGGAGGAGAGTGGGTGTCCCTCCCTGCAGGGGCCCCACTGGGGCTGGGACCGGAGAGGCTGCACCCCTCCACACAAGGCTGCAGCTCCTATCAAAGCGCCCTCTCCACACAGCTTTCTCTCTCCAGGTATGGGAACCACTCCCACCCCTGCTCTTTGGGTCTGTAGATTTGAAGCTTCCCCCTCTATTAGTCCCAGAGATGCACCAACCCATGCGATGTTCCTAGACTCTGCTGCACCTGTGTAAGTAATCCTTGTATGAAACTCTTCTCAAAGTTGGATGGGGGCACCTATTTCTGTGGCATGGTTACATGAGTATATCATGATATTATTGCATGCTTTATGTATGTTCAGAATTCTCCATGACAAAAAGTTTAGAAAAATGTAACAGACTTTTTTTTAAAAAGAAGGCTGAGGCAGCAAACTGCTCCAATCTCCTGCAAGATGGTCCAGCTGCCACCTCCCTACCTCCTCATGCTTGCAAGATGGCTGTTGGAGCTCCAGCCATCACACCTGAGTTCTGGACAGGAAGAAGGGATAGGCAAAGGGTAAAAGGCATCTGTTTCTGGTAATGTCACATCTAGTAAATTCTGTTTATAACATATATGCTGGGACTGTGACTCATGGCCACAGGCAGACTGGAGGGATGTAGTATTGTTACCTGAACACATCGCCTTCTTTGAACAAAACTGGGGTTTAGTTGGTAAGAAAAAAGGAGACAGTAGGTACTAGGTATGCAATTAGCATTCTCTGCCACTGAGGGTGAATTCACGCAGAGGAAGCAAAAAGATTACCAGTGAGAAAACGTCACCAGTGAGAAGATCTCACAGCAGGTTCAGAGAGGCATGAGAGCACCCTCAGTCACAGCCAGAGCAAAACTCACGGATTTAGTGAACAGGATTCACCAAACCCTAAGCTTGACTGCACTCAGATGGAAGCTTTTACCTTTGACCTGTCAGTGCCTTGGACTAATCCCATTCCAGACTTCCAAATAGCCTCATTCACCAACAGCTTTCAAGTAATTATAAGCTGCTTTCATTGCAGTCCAACCCATACTAACGTAAGCAAAAAGCGTAATTTATTTTAAAGGTAAGAGGGGTCAGTTGGAACCAAAAGATAAGAACTATCTCAGGAACGACCAGAATCAGGGACTGGAGTGCCTTTGGATCTCTCCCTCTCTCACATTCTGCTTTTTTCTGTACCCTTTATTATATTTTCCTCTCTCCTTTGTGGCTCCAAATTGTCAGGGAAAGATTCCAATTGCCTGTTATCTTGAAACAAGCATTTACTCCTGGTCCAACAAACTGTGACCAGAGGAAGGGTTCTGAGGAAGAGGCTGTATATGATATATTATTAATAACCATATTAGTCCATTCTCACAGGCTATAAAGAACTGCCTGACACTGAGTAATTTACAAAGAAAAGAGGTTTAATTGACTCACAGTTCCACATGGCTGGGGAGGCCACAGGAAACTTGCAATCATGGTGGAAGGGGAAGCAGGCACGTCTTACATGGCGGCAGGTGAGAGAGAGTGTATAGGAGGAACTGTCAAACAACACTCATAAAATCATCAGATCTTGTGAGAACTCACTGTCACAAGAACAGCACGGGGGAAACCACCACCATGATCCAATCACCTCCCACCAGGCCCTGCCCTCAACATGTGGGGATTATGGGAATTATAATTTGAGATGAGATTTGGGTGGGGTCACAGAGCCAAACCATATCAATAACTAAATATATATATATACATATATTCTTGATTATAATTCAGACATTTTAAACATTTGCAACATTAGATATTAAAAATGATCTTAGTCAAATGGTGATGCAAATGATTTAGACCAGTCAACCACAAAGATTATGGCTTTGATTGGTCTTATCTGACCGTTTTTGAAAACTTCACTGAGCATATAGACATTGGTGTCTCAATCTTCTTCAAACTGACTTTGTTTTCCACTGATCCCCTCATTAAGGTGTTAAATGAAACTTAACATAGTTTCATTGGTAGAATTATATTTTTAACATTTTGAAATTTCTATTTGTAACATTGCTTATGTGGTAATCTTCTACCTTCTGTAAAATTCATGCTTTAACATCTGCCCTCTAAGCATATGCTGGGCACTCCTGGTTCTGGACAGGACGTCTAAGGTGCTTAGGTTACCTCGCCTTGTCTTGCCTCCCTCATTCCCTAACCCTCACCACCACTCCCCACCACTTAGGAGCACTTTTCAAATACAAACCAACCAATCCAGAGTCCACATCTACAACTACCTTCCTTATCAGGCTTTCATACCCTAGAGGTCAGTATCCACCTGCCCAATCACCCCAAAGCCAGGTACCAGACAACTAGAGGCAGCCCCTATGCTCAGAGCCCACTGAAACTATTCAAGCGAGTCAATACTAAGCCTTACTTGTTCCTGCCCATGGAAACCATAATAAAGGGTCTTCCCTGCATATTCCTCTCTCTGTGTCTCCTGAGCAACCCTGGTGCATCACGTGGGGTGAGAAGTGTCCCCTCCTCTTGGGAACTGTGAGTGACAGATATCATTTGAATGGCAGTCATCTCAGATCTGTTGGTCTTGCCAGAACCAAAATTTCCTATTAATTCTCTGTACTTGAGAACAGACAGCACCAAGATCATCTCTTCCTCTCTTGCCACAAGGTCACTGGGCCCAACACCTCCCCCAGCTGTGTCCTCTACTCTCAGATCACTGTGTTTAGTTGATCTCAGGGAGGGTGACAGAGGGGATGTGGCACACACCCTGCCCCTCCTGCATCCCACTCCCGGCTCCCACCCTCGCCCCTATCCCAGCCTGGGCCACCTTCTCATAGACCCAGGGGACCTGATTCATCTATTTTCTTTCCAATCTGGTAATTAAGGCACAGACGTTAAGCCTGAGTCCTTCAGGATTTTGAGTCCAATACCCATCTAGACCTTGCATTTTGAACATTAAAATCATTCTCTCTCAAAAAAACCCTGCTTTGCCATTCAATAGCTTTGTTTCTCAAGACTATTGTTTCCTCTCTCATAACATTCAAAAGCCTCCTCAGGCACTCAGAGCCAAGAATTTGACTCTTGATGACCTGAATTTGGTTGTGTTGATGGCCACCTCCACCCTCAAACGCAGTAAGCTCAGAATGGTCTAATTTTCATAATGAATTATACATGCATGTATGTGTGTATGTGTGCAAAACAAAATACTTACCAGTTAATATCTGAGTTTATTATTCTGCCACTAAAAAACAGAACAAACGTTTACATACAGGCAGTATCATAGCTTATGAGGTTTATCCAAAGAATAGTTATTTCTAGACTACTAAAGACATTCTAAAACCAATAAAGTCTCATTGTGTTTAGAACCCAATAATCAAAATTCCCTCTCCGTGCCTCTTATCAACAAATAACAATCCTTAGGTCAGAGGCGTTTGAACCAGTGCAACTCCATCTTGAACAGGGGCTGGGTAAAATGAGGCTGAGTCCTACTGGGCTGTATTCCCAGGAGGTTAAGGCATTCTAAGTCACAGGATGAGATAGGAGGTCAGCACAAGATACAGATAATAATGACCTTGCTGATAAAACAGATTGCATAAAGAAGTCAGCCAAATCCCACCAAAACCAAGGTGGTGACGAGAGTGACCCCTGGTCGTCCTCACACGGCTCATTATACGCTAACTATAATGCATTAGAAGGCTAAAAGACCCTCCCACCAGCGCCATGACAGTTTACAAATGTCATGGCAATATCAGGTAACTTCCTGACATTACCCTATATGGTCTGAAAGGGGGAGGATCCCTTAGTTCTAGGAATTGCCCCCCCGCTTTCCTAGAAAACTCATGAACAGTCCACCCCTTATTTAGCATATAATCAAGAAATAACCATAAAATAGCCAACGAGTAGCCCATGGTGCTGCTCTGCCTATGGAGTAGCCGTTCTTTATTCCTTTACTTTTTTTTTTTTTTTTTTTTTGAGATGGAGTCTTGCTCTGTCGCCAGGCTGGAGTGCAGTGGCATGATCTCAGCTCACTGCAACCTCCACCTCCCAGGTTCAAGTGATTCTCCTGCCTCAGCCTCCCCAGTAGCTGGGACTACAGGCACGCACCACCACTCCTGGCTAATTTTTTGTATTTTAGTAGAGATGGGGTTTCACCATGTTGGCCAGGATGGTCTCAATCTGCTGACCTTGTGATCCACCCGCCTCGGCCTCCCAAAGTGCTGGGATTACGGGCATAATCTGTGAGCCACCCAGCCCGGCCTATTCCTTTGCTTTCTTAATAAACTTGCTTTTGTTGCAGGACTTTTCCTTAGTTCAGCTAAAGACAGGGTCCTTGTCACATGGCCATGAAAATTTAGGCTCACAGACTATTTGAAGGGTGAGTAGGGCAGGGTTTTATTGGGTGAAAAGGAAGAAAAGAGGAAACAGGGACCCTCCACAAAGCCAGAGTCCCTGCTGGGGCTCATTACAGAAGAGGAGCCAGGCTCTTCCCTGCTGCAAACAGCGCAGACTTCGATGGCTCCACCCCAGTGTGCACTCCTCCCAGTATGCAGGCCAGCTGGAGTTTTGCCAGGGAGGCCTTCCCACCTGTCTGTCTCACTGTATTTCTTGTGCAAGAAGAAATAATTTGTGCTCCAAATTATTTCTTGTGCAAGATCCAACAACCCTCTCTTGGGGTCTGGATCAGGACCCCTTTCTGGTAACACTTATACTATGCACCTCATTCAAAGTAAATGTGAGAATATTAAAACTAATGGTTTCCTTTGGCCTGACTTGGACATTTGTCTAGCCCATGTGCAAACTGGATATCATAGGGTACAGCTGGCAACTGTATGAGGGAGGAGAGTTGCGGGAGAAAGAGACAGAGACAGAGAGAACCAGAGAGAGAATGAGAGAGCACAGTAGGCTGGGGGCCATGGCTCACGCCTGTAATTTCAACACTGGGAGGCCGAGGTGGGTGGGTCGCTTGAGGTCAGGAGATCAGCCTGGCCAACGTGGTGAAACCCCATCTCTACTAAAAATACAAAAATTAGCCAGGCATGGTGGCGCACACCTGTAATCCCAGCTACTCAGGAGGCTGAGGCAGGAGAATCACTTGAACCCAGGAGGCGGAGGTTCCAGTGAGCAGAGATTGTGTCATTGTACTCTAGCCTGGGCAGTAGAGTGAGACTCCGTCTCAAAAAAAAAAAAAAAAAAAAAAAAAGAGAGAGAGAGAGAGAGGCTTCCCAGCTCCCGCCCTTCCTCCCCCTGTCTCAGGTGCTTCCCAGCTCCCGCCCTTCCTCCTCCTGTCTCAGGTGCTTCCCAGCTCCTGCCCTTCCTCCCCCTGTCTCAGTGCTTCCTAGCTCCCACTCTTCCTCCCCCTGTCTCAGGACCAGGTTCAGGGCCTTGGCTTTCTCACTTGTAAATGTATGGGGTGGTTTGAGGATTAACTGAACTATTGTGGATAAGACACTGTCCAATAAGAAGCAAATCTGGACTCTGGAAGGGACTTTATTCTAACGGATCCCTAAGGGGGCAGGAAGGGAAGATGGCAATGTGGAGAGAGGGCTCTAACTGTGAGCTCTGCCAGTATCCAGGGTCAGGCAGCCTGGACTTTCCTTTTTTGGGGGGAGGCAAAAACAAGCTAGGAAGAGCCAGTACAGTGTGAGGAGCTGGGGCGAGGGTGGCAAAAACCAGACAGCAGATCCAGAGTTTTGCCTTGGAGCCATCTGCTCCCAGGAGGATCTGCTGGGGGCCATCTGCAGCTCAGGCTGGGGAGTGGCGCAGGCCTGGGAGATGGAGAGGAGCTTTAATAAAGTTTGGTTCACATGCCTTTTTTTTTTTTTTTTTTGAGACGGAGTCTTCACTCTGTCGCTCAGGCTGGAGTCCAGTGGAGCGATCTTGGCTCACTGCAAGCTCCGCCTCCTGGGTTCACACCATTCTCCTGCCTCAGCCTCCCGAGTAGCTGGGACTACAGGCGTCCACCACCACGCCCGGCTAATTTTTTGTATTTTTTAGTAGAGATGGAGTTTCACCGCATTAGCCGGGATGGTCTCAATCTCCTGACCTCATGATCTGCCCGCCTCAGCCTCCCAAAGTGCTGGGATTACAGGCATGAGCCACTGTGCCTGGCTAGTTCACATGCATTTTATTCTGGTCCACCATGGGGGTACAGTTCAGCTCAGTCACTGATGAGGCAAAGATTGAGATTTTGAAGGGGCTGTATCTGGCCTTGTCACAGGTAAACATAAGGGTATCTGTGAGTCTCCTCCCATTCGGGGAAGGGGCTCTTTGCAGTGAGGGGTGTCCTGACCTTTGCTGTCTTCCAGGTGTCAGCAGACAGGGAATATCTCCAGGGACTGTGGGAAATTAATCCACTTGAGCATCAGCCAGTTTTACAGTCTCCTGCCCCACAGCCTGTTCTTCCCCAAACCCTGGGTGGAATGCGGACACCTTGTTGGTTGGAACCCTCTCCTGACAGCCCCAGTAACTTATAGATGAGCCTGACTGAGCCTTCCTCAGTGCCACGCTAGAGCCTCCATCCCAGGGGCAGCTACAGCTTCATTACCATCACATGTGACCTGTGCTGACATGAGACTCACTGTGTCTTTGCAGCTGGGGCCCAAGCTCTACATGCAATGACATACCATCTCCCCTCTCCCCGACCCCATAAGCCCTCCTGTCACTTCCCCCCACGGAGACGCTGCTTTGAGGAACCCTCCCAGGGCTCTCCTTACTTCAGTCAAGTAGTAAAACTCCTATTGATCAAAACCCACATTGTGATGGAGTCATTTGTAACTCGCCAGGTGAATGAACCCAGGTATTTTTCAGGCAACACAGAGCTCGGGAAGTTCAATGTTGTCAGCACTGAGCACTGCCTGGCACAGAGTAGCTGTTCAGTTAATGTTTGCTGTGGTGGACAGAAGTGGAGCACTGTCCCCATCTGACGGTGTCTAATTCATAAACACGGCTTTGTTCCAAATCCTCTCATGACTGGCAGTTGTTTACAGAATGGCTGAGCCCTTGAGTGCATTTAGACGTCGGGAGAGACACGACAGAGAATCACAGAGAGGGACACTTTCTTCACAGAATCCAAATCCAGCAGGTCATTAGACTCTGTAAGCTATTTTTCCATATATTTTTAAAATCAAGGAATTTACACCAAATACTGAGTCAGAAACCTATTATAGTTGACTGTACTATCAATGACCGGCCTGTGGCCTGTTAGGAACGGGGCTGTGCAGCAGCAGGCGAGTGAGCAAAGCTCCGTCTGTATTTATAGCCGCTCCCCATTGTTCACATTACCACGATCCACCTCCAGTCAGATCAGCAGCAGTATTAGATTCTCACAGAAGCATGGACCTCATTGTGAACTACACATGTGAGGGATCTAGGTTGTGTGCTCCTTATGAGAATCTAATGCCTGATCATCTGTCACTGTCTCCCGTCACACCCAGATAGGACCATCTAGTTGCAGGAAAACAAGCTCAGCACTCCCAACGATTCTACATTATGGTGAGTTGTAGAATTATTTCATCATATGTTACAATGTAATAATAATAAAGTGGACGATAAATGCAATGCACTTGAATCATCCCCAAACCACATCCACCCCCAACCCCAGTCCATGGGAAAGTTATCTTCCATGAAACCGGTCCCTGCTGCCAAAAAGTTTGGGGACCGCTGAATTATACTTCTTGGCACCCCGATCTCTGGATTCTTGTAAACGTCTGGCTATTAACCTTTCTACCATATTTTTATATTAGATGGTAAAATGAAAATACAGATGCTAAAGACAACAATCTGTTTTCAACGAAGCATGACTGTTCTACTAGTTGAAGCTTTCCAAAGTGCTTAGGGTGATTTTAAAGGCCTCTAATGAAAAAGGCATGACTATGGTTGTTTTTTTTTTCTTCTTCTTTTCTAAGGAGAAAGCTTTTGAAGCTTTTGTAATTTAGCAGAATGATGTTATATTTTAGGAGGACAATTCTCTCAGCCTAAATTTTTAAGGACTATTTATGAGTCTGAAAGAAGTAAATTATAAAATAATCTCTTTAAAATAGATTGTGGCCGCAGAGGCAGATGAAGTCATTCCTTTCAATAAACCCCTCCCCCTTTTTTGTATTCATTTTTCCCAGAAATTCCTTTACTCTACAAAGATTCTCTTAGAAATTACTTGCAGCCTCTTGGATGTGGTTTTTATCCTGAAAAATTGTTGAGGCTGAATAGCTCTTAGGTCATGTTCTCAATGACTTTTGATCCTACCTTCTTCATTAGAGATGACTCTGTAACATTATGGAACACTTTCCATGAGAATGCATTAATGCTCAACCTGTAATCTCAGCACTTGGGGAGGCCAAGGCAGGTGGATCACAAGGTCAGGAGTTTGAGACCAGCCTGGCCAAGATGGTGAAACCCCATCTCTACTAAAAATACAAAAATTAGCTGGCATGGTGGCAGGCACCTGTAATCCCAGCTACTCAGGAGGCTGAGGCAGGAGAATCGCTTGAATCTGGGAGGCAGAGGTTGCAGTAAGCCAAGATCATGCCACTGCACTGTAGCCTGGGTGACAGAGCAAGACTCTGTCTCAAAAAAAAAAAAAAAAAAAAAAAAAGGAGAATGCATTCTAACACGATTTAATTAATACTAATTGTGAAGCACCCCTGCAAGGTAACCCCAGCCCCCAAAACACAGCCTGAGCCAATTATTCTAATAAAAATTTGTAGAATGAATGAATGAATGGTTATATAGCCACTGTCAAACAGGATAAAATAAACCCCACAGGAAAATGGGAATATTTCCACATTTCCTGCTGGAGACTCAGTTCTGTACCTCAAAACAGAATGGCTTGGAGAGTCAGACAGTCAGAGGTTGACTTTCTTCCACTGAGCTCAGGGGCTGAAAATCTTGACTGTGCATAGGATATGATGTGCAGGGCTGTACATATGCGATCAGACGTGCCGTGCGTGTGGGGAGTTTTCAAGGAGAATGTTGACTATACGAGATTTTGGTTTTAAATGCTACCTCTAGAACCTACACTCTGCACAAGATGGAATTCCATTTTATCTCATTTTTAATGTCAATTCTTGATTTGTTTTAGTCAAGCTCTGACTCATGGATCCCTTCAGAAGAGATTTCTATTTCCCAAGACCCTCCAACAGGAACAACAATGTACTTAGTCATTCAGGGTAGTCATAAAAACATTTACAAGGGCCAAAATTAGGCCGGGTT
This sequence comes from Homo sapiens, assembly GCF_000001405.40. NCBI lineage: Eukaryota > Metazoa > Chordata > Mammalia > Primates > Hominidae > Homo > Homo sapiens. Next base: position 128,990,393 of record NC_000012.12, on the reverse strand, counting down.
CAGTGGCTCACACCTGTAATCCCAGCAATTTGGAAGGCCAAGGCAGGAGGATCATTTGAGGTCAGGAGTTCGAGGTCAGCTTGGCCAACACAGTGAAACCCTGTCTCTACCAAAAAACACACAAAAATTAGCTGAGCATGGTGGTGCCCACCTGTAGTCGCAGCTACTTGGGAGGCTGAGGCAGGAGAATCACTTAAACTCAGGAGGTGGAGGTTGCAGTGAGCTGAGATCATGCCATTGAACTCCAGCCTGGGTGACAGAGTGAGACTCTGTATAAAAAATAAAAATAAATAAATAAATAAAAGCCAAAATTATATATAGTCGATACATTTAATTGTGTTGTGTTTTCCAGGATTGTGTCTCACTTAACACGGAGGGACATCTGAGGAGATTCAGATGAAAACCCCTGCACTCTTTCACTCTGAGTTTTTAATTTAGGAGCTGCAGGGTTTGAAGCACTAATCAGTAGAAGCAGTTGGCTGAGGACTCATTTTACAAATGAGGATCTTGGGGAAGAAAGGTGAGCTGTGTCACAGTGGACTCAAAGGCTAAATTAAAACCTGCTGGAAAACAGTTTTCTTGGCATTAAAAGGTATTTAGTGATTAATAAAAAGTAGGATGCCTGTAACTGCTGCAGACACTAAAACCAGTTTGTCTCAATAGCAGCTGCAACTTCAAGCTGCCCCTAAAGTATGCATTCTCCCTTTTTTTGTCATAGATCCCAGCTTTTCAACCAGGCACATGGCTGCTCAGAATACCCTGCATTTCCAAAATTCCCTTGCAGCTAGGTGTGGCCATGGGATGTAAGTGGAGGTGGAGATTGTCCTGGAAGGAAGGAGAGAGATGTCTTCATTCCTGCCTTCCATTTTCCTGCAGCCTGGAATTCAGGCATGATGCTGGAGCATGGGCAGCCACCTTGCACCATGAGGTAGAGACAGCCACAAACTGAGGATGGAAGAACAGGATGGAAAGAGCCTGGATCTTTGCCCCATACCTGCTCGGTGAATCTCTTGAGAGAGAGAAAATATGCATCCTCTTTTGCTTAAGCCACTGTTTATTATGGATCTTATGTCTGTTTTAACCAAATGTCATCCTGATACCCTCCCACTCCATAGCAGTGTCAAGTCGGTCCCTCCTCCTGACTCTTAGGTGTGTAAAATGTTTAAAATACTAACAGGATGTAAATACACTGAAAAGTAAAATTGCAAAGGTTGCAAAAGATGCAGGATTTGCTGAAATTGGTGAAATCGATGTTGGAGAATTACTTGGACCACAGGCACGTGAGGCTCTGGCAGTGCTGGAAACCGGCTAACAATTGAAGAAAAACCCAGAAGGAGGATAAGGGGGACAGGACTCGCGGAAGAAAACTTCAATTTCAAAGGAAGGAGAGAATCTCTGGGGGGTATCGATGAGGTACTGGCATGTTGTTTCTTACTTAGTTGTATGAAATATCTCTTGGCCTGGCTGGGCACAGTGGCTCATGCCTGAAATCCCAGCACTTTGGGCAGCCGAGGTGAGCAGATCACTTGAGGCCAGGAGTTTAAGACCAGCCTGGCCAACATGACAAAATCCTGTCTCTGCTAAAATACAAAAATTAGCCAGGCATGGTGGTGCTTGTCTGCAGTCCCAGCTACTTGAGAGGCTGAGGCAGGAGAATCGCTTGAACCCAGGAGTCAGAGGTTCAGTGAGTCGAGATCACACCACTGCATTCTAGCCTGGGCGACGGGGCGAGACTCCGTCTCAAAAAAAAAAAAAAAAAAAAAAAAGAGAGAAAGAAAAGAAAAGGAAAAAGAAGTATCTCTCAGCCTTATAAGGTCTTTAATGTCTTTTTCTTTTCTTTTCTTTTCTTTTCTTTTTAAATAAAGACAGAGTCTGGCTCTGTCACCCAGGCTGAAGTGTAATGGGGCCATTATAGCTCACTGCAACCTCAAACTCCTGGATTGGAGCAATCCTCCCTCCTCAGCCTCTGGAGTAGCTGGGACTACAGGCACGCGCTGCCATGTCTGGCTAATTTTTTGCTATTTTTTATAGAGATGGGGTCTCACTATGTTGCTCAGGCTGGTCTCAAACTCCTGGGCTCAAGCGATCCTCTCACCTTGGCCTCCCAAAGCACTGGGATTACAGGCATGAGCCCCTGTATACTCAGTTTCTATTATGCCTGCGTAAATAAATTTTATTCAACATAGGACAGATTTAACCTATTTTCATAATTTTGGGCTTCATTTTTCAGTATGAAGTCACAATCCAACCTTTTCTTAGACTGTCCTTGTTTTCCATGAAACTCTGGTCCGTATTCGAAGGGATGAGGTAAGTCAGCAGTTGTCAGCTTCTGCTGCACACTGGGTCACTGGGGTGTTTCGGGCCTGGGTCTCCCCTGAGAGTCTGATGCCTTTGGTCAGGGACACCACCTGAGCATCCAGATTTCTCAAAGACAAGGCTGGGAGCCACTGTTTCAAGTGGTCCTGCCAGGTACGGCTGATCCCAGGTACGGGGATCTCTGCTCACAGCATTCCCACATCAGCTCCTACCAATGACTGACCCTTTAAAGTGACATTAGAATCAGAGAGGGGAAGTGAGGGTGGGGACTGGGAAGATGCAAGGAAACAAAGAAAGAAGGAGAGAGGGAGGGAGGTGAGGAAGGAGAAGACAAACGTTTCTTCATCAGAAAATGGATAAGAAGAGCTAGCTCTCCCGTCTCATAAGAAGCTCCAGATAAATGCTAAAGAAGACAAGTTCAACCACCAGGGACCCTTCAAGGGAAGAGGTCCTGTAGCTCCATGCAAAGTACTACTGCAGAGGCCAAAAGAGGAAGGCAATTAACACGACACCAAGACACCTGCTGTGAGCTCAAATGTTTTCAAAATTCCATCCTTAACCGTACACAGGGAGTGCAGTCTTCACCACATTTTCCAGATCTGTGGGGCTGGCAAGGGGTCTGGCTGTGCCCGTGTAATCCCATTGACAAGGGGAGCCTATGCAGTCTGGTTTTTTAAACTTTAAGATGCACGATGAACCTTTGAAGGTGGAAAAGGTACTCTGTCTTACTGCTTTACTGTGAGAGTGTGGGAAAGGGCTGAACACTGGTATTTAAGGAGAAGCTGTAAGCCTCAACTCATCACTCGGACCTTCAGCCGAGTGTCAGCAATGCCTCTCTGCTACACGACACTAAGTTATTAGAGATATATATATACACACACGTGTATATATAATATAAACACACGTGTAATATACACACATGTACATATACACACATGTGTAATAGACACACGTATATACACACATCTATATATACACACATGTATATACACACATCTATATATACGCACATGTATATACACACATCTATATATACGCACATGTATATGTGTATATATCTCTATATACGCACATGTATGTGTATATATCTCTACGCACATGTATGTGTATATATCTATATATACGCACATGTATGTGTATATATCTATATATGTGTATATATACATATATGCATATCTTATATTGTGTGTATATAGTGTGTATATATGTATACTTACAAATACATATATGTATATATACATATGTGTATTTATATATACACACACACATATGTATATATAGTTTGTGTTTTGTTTTTGTTTTTGTTTGAGGCAGTCTTGCTCTGTCACCCAGGCTGGAGTGATGTGGCATGATCTTGGCTCACTGCAATCTCTGCCTCCCAGGTTCAAGCAATTCTCCTTCCTCAGCCTCCCTAGTAGCTGGTATTACAGGCATGTGCCTCCATGCCTGGCTAATTTTTGTGTTTTTAGTACAGACAGCGTTTTGAACCATGTTGGCTAGGCTGGTCTTGAACTCCTGGCCTCAAGTGATCCGCCTGCCTCAGCCTCCCAAAGTGCTGGGATTACAAGCATGAGCCACTGCACCTGGCTTAGTGTTATTTTTATTGAAAGTATTTCCCTCAATATGTAAAGGTTATAGTATCTCAATTTTATCCTGAAATGTATTTTTGAGTCATTCAAACCTGTACGTCAGCAAACTAAAAACTACACACAAAATGTCTGAACATTTTACCCAAAGGAAATCATTATACCCAAAAGACACCTGTGCTCATATGTTTATTACAGCACTATTCACAATAGCAAAGATCCAGAATCAACCTAAGTGTCCATCAATGGAGGACTCAATAAAGAAAATGTGGGGGCCATGCGCGGTGGCTCACGCCTGTAATCCCAACACTTTGGGAGGTCGAGGTGGGTGGATCACCTGAGGTCGGGAGTTCAAGACCATCCTGGCCAACATGGAGAAACCCCATCTCTACTAAAAATACAAAATTAGCCAGGCATGGTGGCATGTGCCTGTAGTCCCAGCTCCTTGGGAGGCTGAGGCAGGAGAATCGCTTGAAGCCGGGAGGCAGAGATTGAGGTGAGCCGAGATTGTGCCATTGCACTCCAGCATGGGCAACAAGAGCAAAACTCTGTCCTCCCCCGCCAAAAAATGTGGAATATATACACACAATGAATACTATTCTGCCATGAAAAGGAATGAAATCATGTCTTTTACAGCTACATGGATGGAAGTGGAGGTCATTATCATATTCACTGATACAACTTAGAAACAGAAAGACAAATATTGCAAATTTTGCCTTGTAAGTGGGAGCTAAATTATGTGTACACGTGGATGCAGAGTGTGGAACGCTGGGCCTTCGAGGGCTCAGAGGGAGGAGGGGAGGATGAAGGTTGCTTGGTGGGTACGATGTGCATTGCCCAGTGATAGATGCCCCGAAGACCCTGACCTCACCACCGTGCAATATATCAACAGAGCACAACTGCATGTGTGCCCCATGAATATATACAAATAAAAATAAATACATGTTTAGGCTGGGCGTGGTGGCTCACACATGTAATCTCAGCATTTTGGGAGGCCAAGGCGGGTGGACCACTTGAGGTCAGGAGTTCGAGACCAGCCTGGCCGACATGGTGAAACTCCATCTCTACTAAAAATACAAATAAAAATACAAATACTATATATAAATAAAAATAAATAAATGTTTAGGCCATGTGTGGTGGCAGGCGCCTGTAATCCCAACTACTCAGGAGGCTGAGGCAGGAGAATCACTTGAACCCAGGAAGCAGAGGCTGCAGTGAGCTGAGATCGCACCACTGCACTCCGGCCTGGGTGACAGAGCGAGACTCTGTCTCAAAAATAATAAAAATAAATAAATGTTTAAACATAAAGTGAACCAAGTATGAAACTAACACCTGTAGAACCCTCATGGAAAAGCCCTGGTTTTACATCTATACTTGGGTATTAAAATAGTGGCTGCATTTTAACCCCCTCTTAACTAGATGCTTGAGTGTCTGTACTTCCTTTGAAGACGCGGGGCCTGGCGGGTGGGGAAGGGGCCTGCTCCTTGCAGAACACTGCTCACCGTGGGAAGAAAGAGAGGCTATTTTCGTATGGCTAATGGTGACACACTTTATTAATTTAAAAACACGCCCTTCCCACATAGTGCGTGAGGCATGTGCACATTTTCCTAGAAGGACATGAATAGTGATGTGGAGGTACGGTGGAGGTCAGGCATCTACAGGGTCATTCGAGGAGGAACAGATTCAAGCTTTCGGACGATCAGTGTTTTGTAAATAGCAGCATCATCAGATCTAAGACAACATTGGACCTGGCAGGGCCTTTTCTTTGGGTGGCATTAATTACTCCAGATTCAGACCAGGCCATCCTCTCCCGGCCCAGGATCTGCCTCTCCCTCCTCTGTCCCCACACCTAGACATGAAAGCCATAACCCTTGGGCCCCTCAGAGGGAAAACACAAGGGGTGCGAGGGGTGGGGGGGCGGCGATGGGGGGCATTGTTGAGCAGTCCTCTCACGGCTGGGAGCCTCTGCTGCTTCCAGTTAACTGCCTTTCTGGAAAGCGATTCTATTACATGATGGAGGCAGCGGAATGAAACATTGAATTACACGGCACGAGATCCAAGCTAGTTGTTCTCATCCCCAGGGCATCAGAGTTTAAGGAGTTTAATTTGAGGCTACTTCTTTTAAAAACAAGATGTAGGTTGTGCCATTAAAAAAATGATGGTTGAAAACATGAAAGCTGAAAGTTCAGACATCCTAAAACTTGAAGCAAGGACAATGCTGGTGGAATCTTCTCCCTCGGCCCTCCTAAGCGTCGAAACCCGCTTTCACCGAACGCTTCCCACAGCAACGCCCTGCCCTGGCTTTGCCTTCTCGCCTCCTCAAAGCAGACTGCTTTCTACCCACAAGAGGTGGGAAACACCGCGTTCCCCATTGTCGTAAGGAATCCACAGGCATGCAACAATTTCAGTATTCAGTGGAGGTTCTCCCAGGCAAATTCCACTAGGAGAGGACAAGGAAGACTGCACGTCCTCATGTGACATGGATGACATGGATGGGGCGAGGCCACCATTACCATGATGGCGCGGCTGGCCCCGGACTGACCTCGCTGTGTGGCTGCAAAGCCCTGCAGACCCAAGCTCCATCCTGCCAAAGGCTGGAGGCTGGTGACCCTTCCGACATCCATCCCCGGGTCCCTGATGTGGGAAGGGGAAGAGCCCACCCTGGACCCAAAGCCTCAGGCCTCCATCTCAGGGTCACGCGGGCGATTTGCAGGCTATGCGTGACGTGGCGCTTGTTCCTTCCTGGTTTTCCACTCAAATTCAGCCAAGAGGTGGGCGGGGCCTGCGGGCAGCCTGGCCACTTTTCTAAAAAGCACAACTTTCAATTCCACCATTGAAAAGTGAGCTGTGCCGGGCGTGAGCTCACTCACAGCGCTTTCTAGTGTTCAGAGAAGCCTCGGGTCACCCACGTGCCTGTCAGAGTCCTGAGATCACAACAAAAATCCTGCGAGGACTCGGCTCAGCTGACACGTCTGTTTTGCTTTTGCCTTTCAAACTGGCAACGATGGGGAGAGGTTGGTCAGAAGGCAGGCGGGAGGAGTCTGAACCATGACTGCTTGAAAATAAGCCTCTATTGTCCACACCAAAGCCCTAAGGCAGGTAATCAAATTCTCTCCCAAATTCCCTGAAAACCAGTTCCCCTTTCCCTGTCCCAGTCAACCCAGTCACTCATGCACCTCCATCAGGACTGGCTGGTGAACACGCCTGGGACAGCATCTGAACGCACAGAAGGATATGGGATGAATGCAGTGGCTCTGGGGACTCACGACTAACATTTTCTAGGATTCCGCTGAGGCTGGTTTTATTTGAACTGCACTGGGCCCACGTGATCCAGAACTCTGTCTCTGAGTGTGCACCCAGAGCTGTGTGTCAGAGAGCAGGTGTCTGATGAGGCGGGGCCCTCAATCTTCAGTGCTTCCTTCCAGCTTCCTGATGAGCTGTTGGTAGGTGTCTCTTTCCACCTGCCATGAATGATACATTCTCACGTATTCCCTTCCGTTCACTACGATTTCCTTTTCTAATGCAGGATCACTAACCAGTCTCTTTGCCAGATGAACAAACTCCTGCAAAAAAGGAAGGAGAAGTAGACATAAATCACTGATGAAGGGAGATTTTGCAAATGCACCCAAGATCCTGTGTCTGCATTGGCTGCTGGCCTTGCCCTTGTCTGCCTCCTGGGCCTGGAGAGAGTGACTTTTAGGAGGGATGGGAGTTAATGCAAACACTGAGACTGAGTAGGAAATAATATATATGCACACACACACACACGCACACATACATGCACACACACATATGCACACACATGCACACACACGCACACATATGCTGGGATGAACATCACGAAAAATACTGGAGCCATCAACTCCCTTCCCTCAATCAACAAGACCAGCTGTCTTCCCAAGGACTCTCAGATCCACAATGTCTTCCCTCTCATGAGTGGAGCCTCAGATGTGAAATTAGGTGTTACCCCAGAGTCTGAGCCCCATACAATATGACCCCCAGCCCATTTCTTTTCCTTTGTGTTGTTCTGTCCTCTTCCCTGGGTGCAGAGCCAAGCCTGTCTTCACAATACGGGTGGTATCTGCTTTAGTGGAAAGCACTAGTGCTTCAGAGCCAGACCTGGGTTCAATTTCTTCTGAACGACCTCACTTTGCTGTGTGGCCTTGGGCAAGCTAGTGAGCCTCTCTGAGCACCACATTTCCCATCTGTAGAGGAGTGATGCATACTTAATCGGTAAACCCAGCCCTACCCCAAGTCCCAGGGGCTCCCAGCATGAAGAAGGGAGGGAGGGGGGTTTATCAGCTCTTTGCTTTTCTGGCCTTTCCTCCCGCGGCTCAGCTTCGGGCTGTGTTTCCGTTTATGCTCATTACTGAAGAAGGCTTGCAGACCCTTGGTGCAGCAATGAAAGAGTGCTCCTGCTGACCTGGTTTTAATATCAAAGCCCTTCAGGATTGGAAAAAAAATTAGAAGTATTTTCACTGTTAAAGGGTATTCAGGGAGAGGAGGGGACCAGTCGTTACTCTCCATGCGCGTGTGTAAGTCAACAGCAGAGTTCTTGACACGGGAGGCGTGGGTTTAAATCCACACCCTACCCTTCACGTGAGCGGCAGTGGGTCAATTTCTTACCCTCCCCAAGCCTCAGCTCCTCAACTGTCAATCAGGGGTAATCACATACCTCTTTCCTAGGGTGTTGAGAGGATAGCAAATGAGTTACTGCAAACAAAGAATTTTGAGCAAAGCCCGGCACATACTTAGCTCTCATTACCATGGTTATTCCCCCACAGCCCATGTAAATTCCAAGAAGGCAGCAATGCCTAAGATCAACATAGAGTGCTTTTGCTGTTTAAAAGGCACATAAACATATTCTCAAAATTATTGTTAATTAAATGTTGAGTGCCTTTTATAGCTGGCAATATAAATAGCAATATTTATCGTACAGTAGAATTATATGTTTATAGATTACGTTTATACTTCATAGTAAATTGGTGGTCGTTTTATAATAAAAATATGTTTATTCCCGTTTCAGGGTAGAACAACATTCTTATTAAAATCATTTGAGATGCTTATAGCTGGGTATATTATTTTATGATGCTGGTCATATCTTTGATTTATCTGACGTGGAGACTTTGGTGGAAACCCAACCCCCTCCTTCCCCGCTCTGCTTACTATTCCTACAGAATGCATGGCCCTTTTACAACCAAATCCTCAATAAAAGAGTTTCTAGGAACAGATTGTGATAAAACACACTCTTCTTTTCTCTCCGCATGGAAAAGTGAACGAAAAAACATAGACTTAAATAAAGCAAGAGAGAGGGGGGTTATGAGTAAGCAACGTCTTGGCTGCTGGCTTAAAACCCTGGATGAGTGGCAGAAAGAAAGGAAAGGAAAACCATTAGCAAAAGCAAAAATCTCTCTTGAATCCTAAGTCACTCCCTGAGGCTCTGGGATTTTCTTCTGGACTAAAAGCTCCTGTGTGGCTGCATCGGGAATCTGCTGGACACGCGCCTGTAGACGTGAGAAATCCATGTGGACACAGACTGTCGTGTGCTTACCAGCGAAGATGGTTTGCAAAGATGGCCACACCCTCTATCCCTGTATGCACATCTCTTTGCGATATGACACTGCCACTGTCCCCGTTGAGTGGGTGTGGTCTATTCCCCACCCCGCCCCCGATGAATCTGACTTGTTCGGGTAATTTGCTTTGACTGACAGGATATATCGGAAGTGATGCCGTCTGCCTTCCACACAAAGCTTCAAAAGCCCTTATAGCTTCCATGCGCCCCGGCCCTGGAGACCACCAGGTAAAGCAAAGCCTGGGCTAGTCTCCTGGGGGAAGGGAGGCCATGTGAACAGGGACACTGAGCAGTGACCAACACCATGAGTGAGGCCGTCTCGGAACATCCAGCTCCAGGCCAGCCGCCAGAAGACTCTTGCTGGACCAGTGGCCCCAGGCCACTCACCAGATCAGCAGAAGCACCACCCCGCGAATCCAGCTCAAACTGCAGACTCGGAAAACTGCAAACAAATCAAATGGCGGTAGTTGTAAGGCACTGACTTTTGGGATTCTTAGTTACACAGTGATGTATAACTGACACTCTTGCCAGGCACTCAGCTCCTCCTCTTCAACAAGAGAACCGTGAATGTTTGAAGTTCTACCCCTTTACAACATGGTCTGGGAAGAAGACCCTGTCTCCACTTCCAAAAGTTGGTCCTGATTTGTCCGAGCCTGTTGTGGGGTCGCAGACACACCCTGGGCTGACCCCAGCCACCCCCACCTGTGACGTGAGTGTGGGTGGACTTGCCTCCAACCAACAGAATATGGCAAAGGTCCCGGGATGTGGCTCCCTCGACAGGGTGGTGTCACACAGGACTTCATCTCAGCAAAGCAGAGCAGGGGACACCCTATGTTGCCAGGCCGTGGGGCAAGAAACCACAAACAGTCCCGACTTATGATGGTTCAGCTTAAGGTTTTTCAGTTTTTCAATGGTGTGAGAGTGAGATGCATTTGGTAGAAACTGTACTTCAGGCACCCATACAACCGTTCTATTTTTACTCTCAGTACAGTAGTTGATAAATTATATGAGATATGCAAAACCGTACTGTAATACAGTCTTTGTGTTGGATGACAGCCCAACTATAGGTTAGTGTAAGTGTTCTGAGCACTGATGAGGTAGGCTGGGCTAAGCCGGGATGCTCCGGAGGTTGGTGTATTAAGTGCATTTTCTCATCTTTTTTTTTTTGAGACAGAGTCTCGCAGTGTTACCCAGGCTGGAGTAGAGTGGTGCAACCACAGCTCACTGCAGCCTCAGCCTCCTGGGCTCAAGAGATCCTCCCACCTCAGCCTCCCAAGTAGCTGGAAATATAGGCACATGCCCCTTATCTGGCTAATTTTTGTATTTTTTCTGGAGACGGGGTTTCACTGTGTTGCCCAGGCTGTTAAGTGCATTTTCAGCTTCCAGTGGGTTTATTGAGATGTAGCCCATCACACATCCAGGGGCATCTGTCCTGGCAGCTTCTAAGAGCTGAGGGTGGCCCCTGGCCAACAACCAGCGAGAGAACAATGGCCTTAGTCCCACAGTCACAAGAAACTGAACCCCGCCACCAACCGTGCCCTAGAGGAGAATGTGGCCCAGCCACCGAGAGGGACTGGTGGGACATGAGGCCCCAAGCCGAGGACCCACCTGGGCTGTGCCCAGAGCCTGGACCTGTAGAAACTGCCAGACAGCAGGCAGGTGTGGCTTCAAGCTGCTGAGTTTGTGGTGATTTGTTACATGCAGTAGAGAATGAACACTGTTACCCTGTTCTCCCCTGCCAACGTTTGACCCAAGTCTGGCCACTGAGATTGTCAGAGGCGTTTGAACCAGAGGAACTCCATCTTGAATAGCAGCTGGGTAAACTGAGGCTGAGACCTGCTGGGCTGCATTCCCAGGAGGCTAAGGCATTCTAAGTCACAGGATGAGATAGGAGGTCGGCACAAGACACAGGTCACAGAGACCTTGCTGATGAAACAGTTTGCAGTAAAGCAGCCAGCGGAAACCCACCAAAACCAAGAGGACGATGAGCATGACCTCCGGTTGTCCTCACTGCTACACTCCCGCCAGCCCCATGACAGTTTACAAATGCTATGGCAACGTCAGGAAATTGCCCTATATGGTCTAAACAGGGGAGACATGAATAATCCACCCCTTGTTTAGCATATCATCAAGAAATACCATAAAAATGGGCAAACAGCGGCCCTCACGGTGCTCTGTCTACGGAGTAGCCATTCTTCTACTCCCTCACTTTCCTAATAAACTCGCTTTCACTTTACGGACTCACCCTGAATTCTTCCTTGCGACAGATCCAAGAACCCTCTCTTGGGGTCTGGATCGGGACCCCTTTCCCGTAACAAGATGGGAGGGAGAGATCAGCAGTCAGTGTCTTCTGGAAAAAGTGGTTTCCTCCTTCTAAGAAGAGAACACTAGGAACGACTGCCCCCTCCAGCCTCTGAGGCCACCCAGGTCGCATGGGGAGCCCGGATCCACTGCAGCAATTCCCACCGACCTCAGGACGATGCCGCACACAGGAAGGCAGGGCCAGACACTCACACGGAGGAGGAGAGCCGTGCCCGCCCTGACATGCCATGCCGGACATCAGCCATGGCTCTGGAATCTGACACCGGGCACCTTATCAAATGCACTGGAGAGCTACACAGCAGGACTTGCAGACCTGAGTGTCCCTGAGGCAGATCCTTCCAGCCCAGGTGCTGCAGGTTTCACACAGGTTTCAGCTGGGAGCTGCGGAAAAGCCGATTGGCTGACAGCCACACACACGCACTGTAACCCCGGAGGAGGGGGTGTCCACTCAGGATCTTCTGCTTGGCTATGCAGTGATCTACTCTTGAAAATTATTTATGAAAATAACTCACAGGCCGGGTGCGGGGACTCATGCCTGTAAACCCAGCATTTTGGGAGGCTGAAGTGGGCAGATTACCTGAGGTCAGGAGTTCCAGACCAACCTGGCCAACATGGTTAAACCCTGTCTCTACCAAAAATACAAAAAAATTAGCTAGTCATGGTGGCACACACCTGTAATCCCAGCTACTCAGGAGGCTGAGGTAGGAGGATCGCTTGAACCTGAGAGGCAGAGGTTGCAGTGAGCTGAGATAGCGCCATTCATTGCACCCCAGCCTGGGCGACAAGAGTGAAACTCTGTTTCAAAAAAAAAAAAAAAAGAAAAAAGAAAAAAGAAAAGAACTCACAAGGCATTATAGAGGGCAGACGCTAAAAACTCAAAGCAAAACCAAGTACAGAAATTCCATCTCTCAAGAGAGTTTAAAACAAGCCTCACCTGTTCCTGATCAGCGGTGGGAAACGCAAATGCCTTCCGGGGCCCAGCAGGTGAAGTGGGAGGTGCACACAGCCACATGGTAAATACAGGCCTATGCTGGTTGCCGCATTTCTTTTCTTTTCCAAGAGAGGTCTAAATTCTGGATATTTATGTAAAAGTGTTCCATGTTAAATATCAACAGGTAATTCAATATTTTAAGAATACAGCAAAGTAAACAAAACACATGTGCAGACCAGATGTAGGTCCAGGGCCACAGGTGTGCCAACGCTGGCTCAGGTAATGCACTTGTGATGTTAAATAATAATAATAATCATGCAAAAGAGCATGGTTTTGTCTTTAGAGAGTAATTACTCAATTAGTTGATGACCGTCCTCAGAGCTTCTTCCTTTCTGAGGAGTCTGGAGCTGCTGGTGGAGCATTTCTCATTGAATCCTTTTGACCTGCTCCATCCCCCTGAGGTTTCACCAAGATCCAGAGGAAAAGAAGTGGTGGCCATTTTGTTTTCTTGTTTTGCTTTTGAGATGGAGTCTCTCTCTGTCGCCCAGGCTGGAGTGCAGCGGCGCGATCTCGGCTCACTGCAACCTCTGCCTCCCGGGGTCAAGCGATTCACCTGCCTCAGCCTCCCAAGCAGCTGGGATTACAGGCTTGTGCCACCACGCCCGACTAATTTTTGTTTTTTCAGTAGAGACAGGGTTTTGCCATGTTGGCTAGGCTGGTCTTGAACTCCTGGCCTCAAGTGATCCACCTTCATTGGTCTCCCAAAGTGCTGGGATTACAGGTGTGAGCCACTGCGCCCAGCCAGTACCCATTTTATAAAATGAATATTAGAACCTCATTACAATCCTTCTCATGATGATGTCACCTCAAAGCCATAGAACAGAAGGGGAAAAAAACTCCTCCACGAGAAGCAAAAGCCTTGAGCAGGATGCATGCTGGGGCTGGCAGATTTAAAACGTTACGGTTTTAAAGAGCATTACATTCTGACAACCTTCAGCAAGTGATATATACTTATTTTTCCAAGATGAGCTACAGTCAATCACAGGAAAACTCTTGAATTTCAGGCTTGGTGTGTTAAACTAAACAGCCCCGAAGCTCCTCTCCCGCTGCTTCAAATACGACAGCTTGTCGATGGGAGACGTTGACGAGGAAGTGTCTCAAGGCTGGCGCAGGCCGCCGTCGTTAAAGATCTCGGGTTTTCCTCGGGCTTTTCTGGTTGGAGGCTTTGAGTTAATTAAGGCTTCGACGGTGGCTTTGCTTCTCAAACCTTGCTGTAAGACTCTCTAAGGGAGCTTGTAAAACACACACGCCCCACATACCCGCCCTCAGTCCCCGAGATACTGATTGGGTGGGTGGAGGGTGGGGTTCAGGAATGAGCGTTTTCTAACAGTGTCCAACAGCGCCCCCAGGGGATTGCAGGAAGCCTGACAGGTCTAAGGCAACCTGCCGTGCCTGCCTCATTTTCCAAAAATTATTTGGTCATGGGACAGATTTATTTTGTTGAAAACTGCAAGTTGTGAGGCTCCTCCTTCAAGACCTCAATGCCTAGAAGAGGAACGTGCATCTGACTGTGGTACTTTTCTTGTACACGGCACCATCCCTCTGGTCACATTTTATGGCACTATCCAAACTGTCAAACTGTCGCCGCTGACGACACATCAATGTGACCATGTCATCACCCCGACTGCCAGCGTACGTTGATTGTTCTCCCAGTAGCTCCTGCATCGGGTAAAGTCAGGACCATGCAAAAGAACACGAAGCTCTTCTCTAAACTCTTCAGCATGAACCTTCCACCCACCTCTTAAAACACAGAGTAGTCATTGATTTATAGGAGAATTGAAGTTATTTCACCCTGAACATCATGGTTACAGTTAGGGGCTCACTTTAAAATAAGTATCAAAAACAGCCATTAGGGGGCCGGGAGCTGTGGCTCACACATGTAATCTCTGCACTTTGGGAGCCCAAGGCGGGTGGATCACTTGAGGTCAGGAGTTCAAGCCCAGCCTGGCCAACATGGTGAAACCCTGTCTCTACTAAAAAACACAAAAATCAGCCTGGCGTGGTGGCACGCGCCTGTAGTCCCAGCTACTCCAGAGGCTGAGGCAGGATGATTGCTTGAACCAGGGACCTGGAGGTTGCAGTGAGCTGAGATAGCGCCACTGCACTCCAGCTTGGGTGACAGAGTGAGACCCCGTCTCAAAAGAAAAAAATAAAAAACAAAAAAACAGCTATGGGAATCTTCTGCAGATGGAAACTGAGCAAGCCAACTGGGTAGGGTCAGAAATAACCTCTCAGTCAATGAGCCCTGTGCATAGCAATTACTCAATACAGAGCCAGAGGACAAGGTGGTAGGGTGGGGACTCTGACCCCTACTCACGATGCTTGACTTCCCCCCGCCCCCAGTCATGATGCCTGAGTCTGACGTCCATTCCAAGACTGACCCCCAGTGAATCTGCCAGTGGGCCCTGTGTAAGCACGCTGAGCCAGGGAGGCTCCGTGCTCAGACCCTTTGCCGGGACAATGCCTGAGCGTGTATCTAACAGGCCACCCACAGACATGGTGGGTGCTCAGGAGTGACGGAGCGTGGGAGTCTGTAGCATGAGGAAGGAGGTTTGCAGGTGCAGGTGCGGGGGGGCACTAAACAAAGGAAAGCCAGCAGGTGAGAAAGCTAATTCCCATCCGATTCATCTTCACTGCTGGTGGAGGGGAGAACAGCCTCAATGAGGGGCAAATGCTTCTTTCTTCAACACTTCTTTAGCGAAGAGAGAGCTGGCCTCTGGCCAAGGGCCTCCAGTGGAGGTCAGGATCCAGCCAGAAATTAACAACAGCAGCCAACATGCATCCAGTGCTCAAAAACGTACACGGAATGAGGCTTCAGAATTCAGGACCTGGGGGATTTTAGTAATTCAGCTGCTATAGCCTTCTATTACATATCATCTCCAGCGAGGTCTAAGGCCATGCCCATCAACAACAGATCAGTGTTTCTTAATCAAAATGTATGAATAGTCCCGTGACGCAGGACAAACAGCCCTAGGTGACTTCACATCAGTTCAGACAGGAGTTTTGGCACCAAACTCACGAAAAAGAGTGGTCTTATGGATGGTGAGACAGTAAAACTCCTCTTTCCCTTCTGGCGTTTGCACAGCAGAGGTCGATTGTGCTGGTCAAAGGACAGCTGTTATTTGAGGAGGGAAAACAGTGCAAGACCTGGGTAGCTAACAGCAGGGTCACTGACCGTCGGAGAACCTGTGTTTTATTCCTGCCATTCCCGGGGCTCTGTGGCTCATGAAATGCACGATGCAGGGTTAGTGTGGCTCAAAGGCATTGCTGTGGCTGGGGTAGGAGGGAGCAAGAGCCCTTGCCATCTGTGAGCCGGGTGGGTCCGTAGATGTCCGTGTGAACAAGGACTCCGGCCATCAGCCAGGTACCTGCTAGTAAAAACGCACAGAGCTGGCAGGTGGGTCCCGACTGCATGTTTTCCAAGCGCTTTTTGGATTTTGAAATTGCAGAAAAGGAACTAGGAATTTGGACTATTCCTATGCGCCCTCTCCCCCTCCACACGCACAGATCAAGAGATGGGAGCCCAGGTCACCTGGGAACCTGCCTGAGGTTAACACATCACTGAGTGGCAGAAAAGGCATCTAGACCCAGACTGTCCCCCTCTGAGCACCGCTGCTGCATGTGGTGTGGAGCACAGATCACCAAGCGCCCCCCCCACACACACACACCCTACACACACACACACACCCCCTACACACACCCCCTACACACACACCCCCTACACACACACACGGGAAACCTGGGAGCCACCGATGAAGCTAAAAACAACTTCAGGAATATTTTCTGTGCTTCTCATTCGCTCACTTTCCAGACGATGGGCCGAGTAGAACACTAGCCATTTCAACACACACCCGGCTGGCTGAAAGGTGCTTCTGCTGCTCTGGTGTGCTTTGGGGGTTGGTGGGGAGAAGGTGGGCATCTTGAAGGAAAGAAGAAGGTGAGAGGCAGAAAAGGGAGGGAAGAGGGGGACCGGGAGACCTTCCTCTGGGCTTGTGTGACGGCTTGGCGGGTTAGAGCAGGAGGAAGTTGGAGGGAAAGAGCAGCCCATTAAAGTGCGGCGGTAAATCTGCCATTCGTTCTGGTTATGCCTGGGGGAGAGGAAAGAAACACAAGCAGGCTGGGGTGGTGGCTCACGCTTGTCATCCCAACACTCTGGGAGGCCGAGGTGGGTGGATCACTTGAGGTCAGGAGTTCAAGACCAGCCTGGCCAACACAGTGAAACCCCGTCTCTACAAAAATACAAAAAAAAAAAAAAAAATAGCCAGGTGTGGTGGCACATGCCTGTAATCCCAGCTACTGGGGAGGCTGAGGCAGGAGAATTGCTTGAACCCAGGAGGCGGAGGTTACAATGAGCCAATATCGTGTCACTGGACTCCAGCCCGGGCAACAGAGCGAGTCTCAAAAAAAAAAAAAAAAAAAAAAAAAAACCAAGCAAACAAACAAAACAGAAAAGACAAATACTTCATAATTTTACCTATATGTGGATTCTTAAAAAGTCAAGTTCATAGAAACAGAGTAGGAGGTTGGTTACCAGGGGCTGGCAGGCTGCAGGAGAGGAAATAAGGAAACACTGGTCAATGGTTCCGAAGTTTCAGTTAGGAGGGTCACATTCTGGAGACCTATGGGGCAGCCTGGTGACTCTAGTATACTTGAAAGTTGCTAAGTCAGTGGATCTTAAATATTCTCATTACAAAGAAAAGGTATGTGTGGGGATGGAAATGTTAATTAGCTCGATTTCATCATTGCACAATGGATGCACACAGCGAAACACTAAGTGATACACCATACATGTATACAATCTTTAAATTTGTCAAGCAGACCTTAATAAAGCTGGAAAGCAGAGTATGAACCTCAGCTGCACCTTTTACCAGGTTCTGGGCCTTGAGGAAGTTAACTCCTCTGTGCCTAGTTTGCTCATCTAGGAAATGGGGCTGATAAGAGCACATTTGTCATTGTGCAGGTTAAACGAGATAATCCACATTTGTATCTGCAGAGCAAGCATTCAACAGATGCTAGCCATCTTCCTTATGATGGGTCTTGTTTTCTGTGTTTTTTTCCTCCCAGAACATGTTAGCCTCAGTCTTTGGGGTGAAAGGAGGAGCACCCAGTCACACAGTTGCTCCCCGGTTCTTCCCGGGCCACAATTCCCAGCCTCCCTAGCAGCAGGTGTGATGTAACTGGGTTCCAGCCAAGGGAGCATGAGCAGAGAGGGGCGTGTGCTCCCTCCAGCCCAAGTCACACATACCTCCCATGGTGGACCCTGTCTTCTCTCTCCCGCAGCTACCTACACGTGGAGCTGGAGCCAGGCCATGGAAGGAGCCTGGGCTCTGAGTGACCGCATGGGCGGTGGTCACAGACCAAAACAACCAGCTCTGGCCTCCAGAAGAGCGAGAAATAATGTCTCCCAATGCTGCCCTCCTGAAGTGATGGGGCCCATTAGAGCAGCTGCCACTTCCTGTTGGCACCCTGGTCGTCTCATGGCTTTGCCCCGCATGCAGCCCAGTTCCGCTGCAGCCCAAGATCCCCAAGGGACAGCTTGCTCATTCAGACATGTGGCAGCGACCCTGGAGAGGGAGCCTTGACGTGTGCGACAGAGAGTCAGGGAAAACCACAGAGACCATTCTCCCGTATAAAGTGCAAACAATGGATTCTCCCGGCAAAACTCAAAAGAAGGCTGAGCTCACTAATGCGGAACGATGAGGTCAATGGCGCACAGAAAGGGAGAGAGGAGGGAGGGAGGAGGGAGGGGGGAAGGGAGAGAGGAAGGGAGGGAGCAAAGAAGGGAGGAAGGGAGGGAGCAAAGAAGGGAGGAAGGGAGGAGGGAGGGAGGAAGGGAGGGGGGAAGGGAGGAGGGAGGGGGGAAGGGAGGATGGAGGGGGGAAGGGAGGAGGGAGGGGGGAAGGGAGGAGGGAGGGGGGAAGGGAGGAGGGAGGGGGGAAGGGAGGAGGGAGGGGGGAAGGGAGGAGGGAGGGGGGAAGGGAGGAGGGAGGGGGGAAGGGAGAGAGGAAAGGAGGGAAGAAGGGAGGGAGGTAGGGAGGGAGGGAGAAAGACAGGAAGAGAGAGAAGGAGAGAGAAAGGGACAGAAGGAGAGAGGAAGGGAGAGAGGGAGGGAGGTAGAGAGAGGGAGGGAGGGAGGCAGAGGGAGGGATGGAGGGAGAGAGGAAGGGAGGGAGGAGGAGAGGAAGGGAGGAGGGAAGAAGGGAGAAAGGAAGGAGGGAGGGAGAAGAAATCAAAGAAAATGGGAGCAAAGAACAGATGAAGAAAAGGAGGGAGGAAGAAAGGAGGGAGATGAAGGAAGGAAGGAGGGAGGGAGGAAGGGAGGGCAAAAGAAAGACAATTTCTAAGCCAAAAGCATTTACATGGGATCTAAGCACCCAGGCAGGAGTAGGCGATCCTGTCGTTTTGCCGCGTGGCACTCAGCACCAGAACCTGTGACTGGCATGAAACTGTCAGAGACTACTTGCTAGGCATGGGGACAAAATCCGACAGGTGCCAATGATTGGGCGGGATGACTGCTGTCATCTGCGACTTTGAAAAGAAAAAGAAATGAGAGCAGTTAAAGTACAAGTGTGTGGCGTGCTGCATCGCTCACTATCAGATGAAAATAAAAAAACACGCCCTCTGGAAGGGTTGCGCCTTGTACGCCGGGGCATAATCATCCCTTCCAGTACTCACTGAGCACCCAGTCCATATCAGAGTCCCTGCGAGGGACAGCTGATGAGTAAACATGCCTGACTGCTGCCCTCGGGAAGCTTCCAGGCTGGGGACTGGTGTTTATAGATGGCAAAGAGTGCAGTGTACACAGACACAGGTGCGGGGACAGAGGAAACCCAAATGGGAACCCCAGTCACAGTGGGTGGCCACGAAAAGTCCTTCCAAGGTGATTTCAACCAAGAAACATTTGAGGAGGTGCCAGCCGTGGGCGCAGCTCGGTTAGAGACAGAGGGTGAGCAAAGCTCAGGTGCCGGACAGAGAAGCCTGGAACGAGGAGGGGGCAGCGCAAGCTGTGCAAGGCCTCAGAAGCCAGGCCAGCAGTGGCATTTTCTTCTAGGTGCAAAGGGGAAGCCACCAGAGGGTCCTCAGCTGCAGTGGATAGAAGCGGACTTTGACTTGGTGCCTGTGGCTGCGGGGAGGGAGTGGGCGGGCTGGAAGGAGGAGGCTGCTGGAACAGCCCAGGCAAGACCCTACAGCCCCTCGGTCCGGGAGTGCAGTGGAGATGGGGTCCAGCTGCGTTTGCAGACAGAGCTCAGGAGAAGTGGGACAGATGGGAAGTGGGGCTCAGGGGAGAGGGCGCGGCGGGCTTGGGAGCCCAGGACCCAGGACGGTGTGCCCAGCTGCTTGTGCACGCACCTGCAACAGGCAGGGGCTGAGGCTCCAAGCAGGCCTTCCCCTGCAGCATTACCCCTAAGGCTGCAGCCCACCGGGGTCCTCCACAGACCCTGGCCCGGCTTCTACCAGTGCCAACATGTCACCATCCTCTTCCTTCTGAATTCCAGGATACCCCAGAAACGGCCTTCGGAGCTGATTCCTACAGCAGCGTTGTTTTGATGTGAGGCAAGCACCCCGCTGACTGGGGACTGCATTTGTCAGGGCTGACACAGATCACCAGGAGGCCTCCAGGAAGCGCACACAGGCAGAGGCAGGGGGAGGGGAGGGTCTCTCCATGCCTGGCCCCTCCCCTAATCACAGTCCCCAGCTGGAGCCTGCGGGCTCACACTCCTGGCAGGTGCCCAGCAGGCTTTGCAGAGCAACAGGTGCACCCACGCGAGGGCCCAGGAGATGGTGGAGAGCCAAGTGTCAGGATGACGCAGAGATGCCTCCTCCTGTTCTCAGAGGTGGGGACTGAGCTCACAGCGGGAAGGAAGCTCTTCTCTCTCTGCCTCTTCCCTCTCTGTATTTTCAGAGAATTCCAGACGCGATGCAAGCAGGATGCTCCCTGCTTGGTCAGGAGTGAGGCGGCCAGGAGGAGCCCCGAGTGCCTCCGCACCTTGGTGATGGCCCAGCCTCTGTGCCTGAGCAGTGAGCCCCACCTTGTGGCTCACCCGCGTCCTGGCCCTGCTTGCCGCGCAGCAGCTCAGTGCACACTCAGCTCGGTGCACACCCAGCTCGGGGCAAACCTGCCCTAGGGGCTGCACAGTCAGCCAGGGGCTTCTCTTCCCACCTCTGGCTGCATCCAGGGGCATCTACACCCAGGGTGGGGCTCAGAAATGGTCCCTTCTCCCCAAGAATACAGAGAGAATCAGGGTGAGAAGAACCACTTTAGAAAAGGGTTAGGTGTAAAACAGGAGAGGAGGGGAGGGAGGGAGACAGGGAGAGAGAGAGAGAGTGAGAGAGAGAGCTAGAGACTGAGATAGAGGTAGAAACAGAGACAGAGGAAGAGACAATGAGAGAAACAGAGACTGAGAGGAAGGAAGGCTACAGAAACAGAGACAGAGGAAGAGACAATCAGAGAAACAGAGACTGAGAGGGAGGAAGGCTACAGAAACAGAGACAGAGAGAGACACAGACAGAGAGGAGGACGAGGGCTACAGAGACTGAGAGAGTGACTATGAGAGACAGAAAAAGACAGAGGGAGAGAGGAGCTACAGAGACAGACAAGGAGATGACGAGACAGAGGCAGAGGGAGAGAAAAAGGGAGGCACAGCAGGAAAGACGGGGCCGAGTGAGGAGGAGTTGCCACGGCAGCAGCAGGGAAGGGGGAGAGCAGGGCCATTTGTGCTCCTGGCGCTGCCCGAGCTCAGGCTCTGCAGTCAGACCCAGTCCTCACCCAGCTCTTCACCCCACCCAAGTGGCCCGAGGCAAGGGACCCACCCTCTCTAGCTCACTGGAGAATCTGTGTCCCTAACAATACACCAGCCCAGGCACCCAATCACAACCCCCAGGCAGGCTGTCCCTATGCTGCTCGGGTGAGGTTTACATCTGTTGTCCTAGTATTATTATTATTGAGACGATGTCTCGCACTGTCACCCAGGCTGGAGTGCAGTGACATGATCTCGGCTCACTGCAACCCCCACCCTCCGGGTTCAAGTGATTCTCATGCCTCAGCCTCCTGAGTAGCTAGGATTATAGGCACCTGCGACCCTGCTCAGCTGATTTTTTGTATTTTTAGTAGAGATGGGGTTTGGCCATGTTGGCCTCGAACTCCTGACCTCAAGTGATCCACCTGCCTCAGCCTCCCAAAGTGCTGGGATGACAGGCGTGAGCCACTGTGCCCAGCCTGGTGTCCTTGTATTATTATTAGTCCACTCTCAAATGCTTCCCAGTATCGTACAATAAGCCACCAGGTCACACTACTTGGAAATCCACATAAGTGACCGGGCGCAGTGGCTCACGCCTGTAATCCCAGCACTTTGGGAGGCCGAGGCAGGCGGATCACGAGGTCAGGAGATGGAGACCATCTTGGCTAACACTGTGAAACCCCATCTCTACTGAAAATACAAAAAATTAGCCAGGTGTGGTGGCAGGCGCCTGCAGTCCTAGCTACTCGGGAGGCTGAGGCAGGAGAATGATGTGAACCGGGAGGCGGAGCTTGCAGTGAGCTGAGTTTGCGCCACTGCACTCCAGCCTGGGCGACAGAGCGAGACTCTGTCTCAAAAAAAACAAAGCAAAACAAAATCCACATAAGTTTTGCATTAACCTCCAATGTAGTTCACACATGCTTTGTCCCGAGTTTCCTCTGGGCTTAACTGGAAATCCAATCAACGCAGCAGGATCTGCATCTCGGATTTCATGCTGAGGACCTACTGTGTGCTGTGCACGGGCTGGTGCTTACACATCCTGGATGCGTTGAACTTCCAAGAATTATAGATGTTACGTTAAAACACTTTTAAAACATAAGAGAGAAGTAATATGTTACATAATGTTGGCCAGTGGCCTCCCCAAATCCGTAAGTAGAACGTAACTCGAAGTAAGAGTGAGACGGGAATTTCTCCCTGGGTTCTCAGTGCTCTGCACCGGGTGGGAATCCTGCTGTGGGCTGATCCCAGCACTTAAACATAAGTGCTTTCCATATTCCACGGCTTCCCCTAGTGCACAGCGCTGCAAGCTGTGAACGCGGTTGAGTATTGGCAGGTTTTTTTCCAGGGGAAGGGAGAGGCAATAGTGCATGTGCCCTCCCTCAGCTATTCCCCAAAGAGAGGTCATGATCTCCACTCTCCCGAAGAAGCATCGAGCAGAGGGCAGGAGAGGTGTCCAGGATCACTCAGCTTCCAAGAGCAAAACTTGAGATCTCAGCGCAGCCCTGCCTGAATGAAAGTTTGGAGGCTGATGTTTTCTACCGGGCCTCACATTTCCCAAACATTAAACCGTTGACTGACTATTAAAGCCATTAGCGTTTGAAGAAAAATAAGCTATCTTTAGTGAAAATGCAAGTCACATAGAACACTATGGCCAGAGCCCAGCCCATTCTGGATAAATGCTAGCTCTGGTCAATGTCATTATTCCAGAACTTATGTTTTTCTATAGCTGTGCACCATACAAACAGAACCTCCAAGCAAAATAGGTTTGAGCTACACTTTAAAAGTCTGACCCTGGGACAGTGTATAGATTCACAGCTTCTATTAAATGTCAAATGGATTTTAATTTCGAAGCTATAAAACAGAGCAATAAAATACCTAGGAAAATAGCTCAACCCTTTTCTACTTCTTAAAAGGAGAAATAACAGGATTGTGGCGGTAAAGAAAAAATCAATCTTTAGTAGGTTTGGAAAGCTTTGCTTAAATTGAAGTTTTCCAGGGGTGAGGTATATAGAAATAGAGATTATTCTGTTCCTACCAGGGCTGAATATGTTTAATCGTCATTTTTTAAAAAAAAATTAAAAATGGCTTTTTATTCAGTTCAGTAGGCTGTCCTCATAAGCTCCCTAAAGCAAACTTCCCTCCAGATTCCCATTATCTTTGTGCCAACAGCTGCCACCCCCACCCCGGGACCCTGTGCTCACCATTCACCTGTCAACACACATTTAGTGCCAGGTGCTGCCCAAGTGCTGGGGCTGCGTGCAGAAGAGCACAAAACCCCCCAGATGAGGCCTCACTTCCCCATTTTACAGTTGGAGAAACTGCTCTCCTGGATCTAACAGTCTGAGGAGGTTGGGGAGGAGGGTGTGGGGAGCAAGCAGTGTGGCACCGTGACACATGCCAGGAATGAAATAAGATAGGGAAGGGTGGTGAAAAGAGGCTGGGGACTCAAGTTACCTGTGAGGGAGGAGCAGAGATGCCCACGTGGCCGCAGAGCAGCAAAGGCAGAGTGGTAGGCAGTGGTTAGCTCAGGGACAGCTTGGTGGCCATCAGAAAAAGTTTGGACTTTCTTCCAAGTGCAGCCAGCCACCCCTGGGGCATTTCAGGCAGGGATGCTGGCTGGTATGCACGCCCTCTCAGCTCAGCCCTGGCTCCCAGGAGCATTCTGCTGTCTCCTTCTCTCCAATTGCACCAGGGACTCCTACTCCCAGCCGCTCATTGAATACAGAAAGATGCAGTGGTTGCAGGGGGAAAGAGAAACGTAAGGTTTTCTCCAGTAAGACCCTATGAATCCCCTTGAATGATCTTCCATCATCTCAAATGTGATGCATTAATTACCTGAAACAGTCCTCTTTTTGGAGGTCCCATCTCTGCCACTGTGAACACATTCTTTCCTCCTCTGCAGCCAGCTGCATTGGCATCACTGGAAACTCTTCCCTTGCCTTCTTCCTGGAGCTAGTTCTCTTTTTCTTTATTTTTGAGACAGGGTCTTGCTGTTATCCAGGGTGGAGTGCAGTGGCAAGATCTCAGCTCACGGCAACTTCCATCACCCAGGCTAAAGCGGTCCTCCCGCCTCAGCCTCCCCAGTAGCTGGGACTACAGGCATGAGCCACCACATCTGGCTTTTTACTTTTTCTTTTTTTTTTTTTTTTTTTTTTTTTAAGCAGAGACAAGACTTTGCCATGTTGCCCAGGATGGTCTTGAACTCCTGAGCTCAAGCAATCTGCTTGCCTTAGCCTTCCAAAGTGCTAGGATTACAGGTGTGAGCCACCATGCCCAGCCTCTGGGACTAGTTTTCTATTGCTGCATAACAAATAGCCACAAACTTGGGACTTAGAATGACATCCATGTATTGTCTCATGGTTTCTGCAAGTCAAAGTCCAGGCACAGACATAGCAGAGCTGACTTTTCAGCTCAGCATCCCACGAGCCTGAGATCAAAGTTTGGGCTGGGCTGGGCTCCTGTCTGGAGCTTGGGGTCTTCCTTGAACCTCACACAGTTGTTGGCAGAATTCAGTTTCTGTGGTTGTAGGGCCCAAGCCATCTTTCTCCCACTGGCTGTCAACCAGGGGTCGCCCCCAGCTCCTAGAGGCTGCCCAAAGTTCCTTGCCATGTGGATCCCTCCACAGGTCCCAGTCTCTCTGAATTCTTCTGTCCTTGACCTCTAGATCTAAATTTAAAGGGCTCTGATGACGAGGTCAGGCCCACACAGTTCATATCTTTGATTAACTCAAAGTCAACTGATTAGTTACCTTAATCACATCTGCAAAATCCCTCTTGCCACGTAGCCTACCATAACAGCCGAACACCAGGAGGCAGAGGCCACAGGCCATCTCAGAACTCTGCTCACCACACTCCTCTATGTCCCATGCTCCTTACATCTGAGTTCCCTTTCATTTAGGCCATTCCTTCCCTCACACCTTTCACACTGCACTACGCCTAACTCTTCCAATGCATTGCACACTCTCACGCCCCTAAACTTTTGCCCAGGTGATTCCCTCTACTGTGAATGCCTTTCCCTGCCTGGGGAATCTTGTCCTTTGAAGCCCAGCTCAACGTCCCTTCCTTCCTTAAACCTCACCCTGCACAGGTAAACCTGCAGGCTTCTCGCCAGTGGTCCTTAGCAATCTCTTCACACTAATAACACAACATGCCAGGGTGACGAGTCTCCAGGTCTGGCTCTGACACTTACAAACTAGTTAACTGGGTTTCTCCATGCTTCAGTTCTCCCACAGGTCCAACGGTGATTATGAAGGTGTTGACGTCCTGGAATTGTTGTGAGAGTTCATGGAGTCCATCCATGTAAAGCAGAGGGAACCATGTCCATCACAGGGTGAACATTTGACAAGGGGTCATATTGTGGGGTGAATGTTTGTGTCTCCTCAAATTCATACACTGAGCTGCTCACCCCCAAGGGGACGGCAGGAGGTGAGGTCTTTGGGAGGTGACTGGGTCATGAGGATGGAAAGATTGGTGTCTTTGTTGTTTTGAGACAGGGTCTCACTCTGTCACCCAGGCTGGAGTGCAGCCACGCCAACATGGCTCCCTTGCAGCCTCTACCTCTCAGGCTCAAGTGATCCTCCCATCTCAGCCTCTCGAGTAGCTGGGACTACAGGCATCTGTCACCACCCCCAGATAATATTTTACTTTTTTTGTAGAGACAGGGTTTCTCCATGTTGGCCAGGCTGGCCCTGAACTCCTGGGCTCAAGCAATCTGGCCTCCCAAAGTGCTGGGATTACAGGCATGAGCCAGCGCAACTGGCCAAGTTTAGTGTCCTTATAAAAGGGACCCCAGAGAGCTGTCTCGGCCCTTCCACCATGAGGACACAGGGAGAAGACAGCTGTCTATGAGGTGCCCATCTTGGACTTGCAGCCTCTAGGACTGTGAGAGAGAAATGTTTGTTGCTTAAGCCCCCAGTCTATAGTATTCTGTTACTGCAGCCGGAACAGACTAAGACAGGTGTCGCTCATGATGGGCCGATGATGCAGAGGGCATGCTACCTGCTGCCGTGCTCTGCCATCTGCGCACCACCCACAGCCAACTGTGCATTCCCGAGGGCCTTGCAGCCTTTCTGTTTCATTCCTTCACCTTCAGGACCTGGCTCCGTGCTGGGCACATAGTAAGAACTCCATAAAAGCTCTCTGCCTAACATGACTGTGCGTGATAGGAGCCAGCACACGTTAATTTTCATGTAGAGAGAGAAAAAAACACCTTTTTGTTTTTGTTTTGAGACGGAGTCTCACTCTCACCCAGGCTGGAGTGCAATGGCGTAATCTCAGCTTACTGCAACCTCCACCCCCCGGGTTTAAGCAATTCTCCTGCCTCAGCCTCCCAAGTAGCTGGGATTACAGGCGCCCACCACTATGCCTGGCTAATTTTTGTATTTTAGTAGAGATGGGGATTCACCATGTCACTCAGGATGGTCTCGAACTCCTGACCTCAAGTGATTCACCCACCTCGGCCTCCCAAAGTGCTGGGATAACAGGTGTGAGCCACTGCGCCCAGCATCCCACTGTTGTTTTATCACATCAAGTCCTTTCTATTTTCTGGCCCATACGACCCTGGAATCAACCCCACTCCACTCCCAAACCCACAGCAGGCCCTCCTGGGACAGCTGACACCTCTTCTGTCAGGAGCGAGGAGGACACTGATGGCCAGAGGCAGCCTGGACTCTGGGACCAGACGTCACCTTTGATGTGTCCTCCTCAGGTAACCCACTGTCGTTGGTGTGCACAGTGTGCTCCGGCTGAGTTACAGTTCTCATTTTCAGCGGAAAGGGGTATCCCTGATCCAGAGCAGAGGTCACAGGCTGGCAGCAAATCTCCCCACGAATGTGTAAGTAGGTCCCCATCATGTTTAAAAGAATCATTTTGGCTGGGCGCGGTGGCTCATGCCTGTAATCCCAGCACTTTGGGAGGCCAAGGCAGGCAGATCACAAGATCAGGAGTTCCAGACCAGCCTGGCCAATATGGTGAAACCCGTCTCTACTGATAAAATACAAAACTTAGAGGGCATGGTGGCGCACACCTGTAGTCCCAGCTACTCGGGAGGCTGAGACAGGATAATCACTTGAACCCGGGAGGCAGAGGTTGCAGCAAGCCGAGATCACATCACTGCACTCCAGCCTGGGCAACAGAGGGAGACTCAATCTCAAGAAAAAAAAGGAATTATTTTAGAATCTGACTGAGTTGTCTGCATTTATAAATCGGTAATACCCACATAAGAATCGACTTTCAGCCGCTCTTCAACAGCAGCAAGGGCTGTATGTCTGACCCCAAGGTCCCTAGGGTTGCACCTGACCAGGCCACCTCACCCCCTGCATACCTGGGTGCCCTCCAGACACCTGAGCTTGAACCTCCTGCCCAGCACAGGCCACACTGTGTTCTACTCCCTCCACTCATTCCTTGCCCACACCTGTTTGCCAGGAAGTCTTTCCCTAAAGACCTCATTGCTGCTGCCCAGGCTAATCCATGCACTGCTATAGCCATTGCTGATATCTTAGTCCTGTCCCTTCTTAGATGAGATGTGAATATTCATTCAAAGACTCTGGACATTGTGTCTAGACCCAGAGCTAGCCCTGCAGGTCTGCAACAGGCAGCTAGGAGAACAGTTGACTGCCCCAATCCCACTATACACTGCAGCTCACTCCGCCCTTGAAGGCATGACGTGTTCAACCCCTCACTGGAGCACGCACACGGGGCCGCCATAGGACACAAGTGCCAGGAGGCCGAGGGGGACAGGGGCACACACACGGGGCTGCCATAGGACACAAGTGGCGGGAGGTGGAGGGGGACGGGGCACAGACATGGGGCCGCCATAGGACACAAGTGCTGGGAAGGGTGGAGGGGGACAGGGGCACACACACAAGGCCACCGTAGGACACAAGTGTCAGGAAGGGAGAGGGGGACAGAGTTCGGGTTACCAGAAAAACTGCCTGACTCACAGAGTGAGTGTTATGGTTTCAAAAAAAAAGGTCACATTTCTGTTCCTTTTGTTGGTTTAGTCTTTACGATGGTTAATTTTATGTGTCAGTGTGCCTGGGCTAAGGGATGTCCAGATAGCTGGTGACGCCTTATCTCTGGGTGTGTCTATGAGGCTGTTTCTGGAAGAGATTAGCATTTGAATCTGTGAACTGAAGAGGGAAGATGCACCCTCAGCAATGTGGGCCAGCACCATCCAATCCGAATAGAACAAAAAGGGGAATCTTCCTGCTTCTTGAGCTGGGACATCCATCTTCTCCTGCACAGAGACATCTAAGCTCCTGAATCTCAGCCTTTCAGACTCCAAGAATGTGCGATAGTCATCGTTCTTTGCCTACCGTATTTCACTTAATATAATGACCTCCAGTTCCAACCACGTTGCCATAAATGACATGACTCCTTCTTTTTTATGGCTGAATAGTACTCCACTGGCCATATGTACCACATCTTCCTTATGCATTCATCTGTTGATGGACACTTAGGTTGATTCCATACCTTGGTGATTGTGAGTGGCGCTTTGATAAACATGGGGGTGCAGGTCCATATGCTGACCTCCTTTCTTTTGGATTCACAACCCTGATTCTTGGGCTTTTAGCCTCGGACTGAATTGCACCACTGGCTTTCCTGCATCTCCAGCTTGCAGACAACAGATGATGGAACTTCCTGGCTTCCATAATCATGTCAGCCAATTGCTATAATCTCCTCACATATTTATATCTGTCTCCTACTGGTTCTGTTTCTCTGGGGAACCCTGACTAATACTGTTTTATAAAAGATTCACAAAATGAAAAGAATAGGGAATGCCCTTTAACAGTCACCCACATCCTTTACTGTATGTAAAATCAGTTTTCTGTTTTGAAAAATAGGTAACTGGGGTATTAAACATACAATCTAACCTGTTGAACTTCATCTTTTTATATCGGGTTTCTTTACATTCTCAATTAGAAAATAAAAGCGAATGCAGAACTACTAACTGCACATTTAGCATTGATTTGAATAGCATACATGGTAATATATACTCCATATATGTACATAACTAAGGCTGACGCTCTGACATGGACATTCCTTCTTAAAAAATGGAATGCTGGTTCTAACGCATATTGAAATATATATTTAATTTTTTTTTTTAGATACCCAGCTCTGTCACCCAGGCTGGAGTGCACTGGTGCAATCTCGGTGCAGTCTCGGCTCACTGCAACCTCCCCCTCCTAGGTTCAAGTGATTCTCCTGCCTCACCCTCCCATGTAGCCAGGATTACATGCACCCACCACCACACCTGGCTCATTTTCATATTTTTAGTAGAGACAGGGTTTTGCATGTTTGCCAGGCTTGTCTCGAACTCCTAACCTCTGGCAATCCACCCACCTCAGCTTCCCAAAGTACTGGGATTACAGGCACGAGCCACTGTGCCCGGCCTCATATTTAAAATTAATCTTGCCAACACTGGCAACCCACTAGTGGTTCCTTTCATCTGAGTTTCTTAGTCAAGATTCATAGAACCATAGTCCCTGACTTATTTAAAATGCATGTTGTTGTTTAAAACAACAGCTCCTACCCCATGCTAGGTAAAATTGGAAGAAGACCGTAAAGAAAACCAAACCAGACTGAACCAGGTGCGACATCCACGTCTAGCACACTCTTTCAACGTGTGTTAAGAATCGCAGCCTCCCCCAACATAAAACCAGAAGAGTTCTATTTTTTTTAACATCCTTTGTGAAATGAACACGAAAGCGCTGGAATCAAAATAAGTCTGCAACGAGACTCCGTGAGTGCCGCAGAGTCGTGTCTGATGGCTCACAGGAAGCCGGTAACTCGCAGAAATGACCTGAATACATCGGCGGCACGATAATGATTTGCAGACATTAAAAGGAGTATCTTACAAGAGGCTGTATGAAATTGGAAGAGCCAAACAGCTCTCATTCTTTTGTTCAGCCTAATAGATCCACTTATAAGGAATTGCTATTCAGACGTTCACTGATAAAGTTGGAGTGCTTTCTTTGGTCCTCTGAAATTGAGCTATAAAGTAAATAGACGTTGCCTTTTGGGAGATGGAAAAAAAAAATCCCAGAACACTTTGCCAGAGCGGATATTAATATTCACTGACCTGAAGCTTGGCTGGCGTTGATTTTGAGAGACATGGAATATGGTAAAAAGCAATAAGCCTTTGTTTGGAGAATCAACAAGTAACTACTGAAAACTCTTCCTATTCTGATATTATTTAGGTTTTTAGGTATTACTATCAAAAGAGAAGCCTTTAGTGCTACCTACACCTTTTGTAGACAATAACAGAGAAACTCCTGGGTCCCACCTTTGCTATTTCCCTCCGCTTCCCAGGATGGTCAGTGCATTTATTCATGACCTGCTGATACCTTGCGACTTGCAATCTCCACCCCCACCCCCTGCCAGCCCCCACTCCCTTGCTGCCCCCCCACCACCCGCCGTTCCCCACCCCGCTGCCACCTCCCCACCCGTCCCCCCCCACTGCCTCATGAAGCTGGCTTTCATCTTGTTTGTGCTGGAATTTGTTTACGACTCTGTGAGAAGCAGGCAGTGAAAAGCATGACACGTCACCACACTATAGAAAGGGAAAGTTGAACTTGAATTAAACATCTGCTGTAGGAAATCTTAAAAACTGAATATTCAAGTATTTGAGTTTTTAGTTTTTAAGCATAACTTTCTGGATTTTGGAATATCATATGTGCTTTAATAAAGATGGTTAGGCGTAAAACCTAATATTTTTTTAAGAAGCTAATTTTTGCTGAAGGTGGTGCTCATGCCTGTAATCCCAGTACTTCAGGAGACCAAGCAGATGGATCGCTTGAGGCCAGGAGTTCGAGACCAGCCTGGGCAAAAAGGCAAGCTCCTGTCTCTAAAAAAATAAACAAAATTAGCCAGGCGTGGTGGTGCATGCCTGTAGTCCCAGCTACTTAGGAGGCTGAGGTGGGAGGATCGCTTGAGCCCAGGAGGTCAAGGCTGTAGTAAGCCATGATCACACCACTGCACTGCAGCCTGGGCTACACAGTGAGACCCTGTCTCATAAAAAAAAAAAAAAAAAAAAAAAGATTTTTATTTACTACTGCCTAACAAGAGGCATACGTAGTGACAATGCCTTCCTTTTTTTTTTTTTTTTTTTTTTTTTTTTTGAGGCAGAGTCCCACTCTGTTGCCTATACACAGTGCAGTGGCGTGATCTTGGTTCATTGTAACCTCCATCTCCCGAGTTCAAGTGATTATCCTGCCTTGGCCTCCTGAGTAGCTGGAATTACAGGCATGCACCATTCCCAGCTTTTTTTTTTTTTTTTTTTTGTCTTTTTAATAGAGACGGGGTTTCACCATGTTGCCCAGGCTGGTCTCAAACTCCTGACCTCAAATGATCCTACCACCTCAGCCTCCCAAAGTGCTGGGATTACAGGCGTGAGCCACTGAACCACTGCACCCAGCCAACACCTTCCCTTTTGATAATATCCGTGTTTACTGAGCTCTGAGCATGTTTCATGTGCACCTCTAAGCTCTGCCATCAACTCATTCAGCGCATGTCACAACTCTAAGAGGCAAGTATTACTATGAGCTCCACTTATCCAGAAGAGAAAGTGGGGCTTGGAGACTCGGCCAGGGTCACTCTCTGCAGGAGGCACTCAGGGCGTCGGATGCAGGCAAACCCTGGACCGCAAATCCCCAGAACTGTCTGTGGCCCCCTACACTGGGCAACACCTTTCCATGCTCCTGGGAGGTGATGGCACACATGTGTGCCCCAGAAGTTACTGGATAACCAGCTGGACCGATGGACAGGTACATGGCCCTTTCTTCTATTTCCCGACATTCACACGTGTTTCTGTATTTACACAAGAACCCTGCATACTTTGTGCGTTTGTTTCAAGGAATGAAAAGTGATCGCATAGGCGCCCGTCCTTTGAAAGCCAGCAGATGTTCCATAAATACAAGGTTGTGTCTGAGAGTGCACGTTTCAGAAATCAGAAATCCGAATATCTCAGAGGTGATTATCTTTCCCAGCCCCTTAGAGCAACTTGGCAACAGAATCAGGAATGGAACTCAATGCTCCTGTTCCCTAGGCTTCTGCTAGTGGTACACCCAGGCAGCTGCCCAGGTGATAACAGAAGACAGCATGCTCTCCGCAGGGCTCCGGGTAGGACAGGAATACTAAGCGCTAACAGAAAGAATCTCTCCATTAAACATAGAGGAAAACTATTCAGATAAGGTGAGTGAATGGAGGGAAAGAACTTTTCTTTACCTGAGGATTGGAAAACAGTAGCCCTGTGACTTCATGCTTCACCACGGCAGCATTCCCGGGGATGTTCCTGGCCAATACCGGTACTTCTAAATCCATTGCCTGGAGGAGACAGGAGAAAAGGGGGTGGAAGGCAGTCATTTCAAGAGCCTCTGCGGCAAGATGAGTCAGGGCGGGGCAGAATAACTTCTTGGGTTAACTGGACCTCTGGCACCTCACAAAAAATACGCCTTTCCAAAACGATATCCCAATCTCAACAGCATGTTTTCAAAATACATCTGAGTTTTAATTACTTAGTATGTTTGGAAGCTCTGAAACACTATACGCTGTAATCGTTTGTCTGACATAATTATTGCAGTGTCACAAAGAACCCCCTCTCTCTGAATGCTCATTTGACACCTCTTCACCGACCGACCGCATGGAGCATGCATTTTTAATTACCATCATCACTTTCCCTGAGGAGCCATTTCCTTCCAGCACAGGCAAGGGAGTATGAATGCCACAAAAACCAAACTCAGCTCTCTGACATGCAGACAAAAGTAAAAGGAAAATGATTTATCATTCTGATTATTCACGAAGCCGACTTTCCATTTCCGAAGGTCTGGAGATATGTGCCTGATGCCCCACAGCCTGGCAGCACCTAGCAGCTGTGCCACAAGAAGATGGCCTGACAGCACAGTGTGCAGCCCTGGCCTCGCCTGCCCGGAAAGGAGGCATTTTGCGGGTTCTCTTTCTACAGTGTTCTAAGTTCAGTGATGTCAGGTTGAAAGGAAACAGAAGCCAACTTCAAGGGGATCCCACTGACCACAGCGGGACAATTTTGCAACTTCAAAAAGAATAATGATTGTAACAGATGGTAACACACTAAATTTCAAAAATACCTGATTCCCTAGTCATGAGAGGGAAATGAAAGGAAAGAGGAGGAGGAGGAGGAAAAGTAGGAGGAAGAAAAGGGAAAGCTCATCTCTGCAGAAGGGTCTGCACATATAATAAGTGTAGATAGAAGAGCGGAATTAGAAAATCATCACTTTGTAACCCCCAGTGTAATAAGTGATTCAGGTGAGGATCGGGGATGAACAGTTGATCCTAGTGGATCCCGATCAAATCCATTGAGTAAAAGGTCATCGGGAAACAGGATACAGATGGTCTCTGACTTATAATGATTCGACTTAGGATTTTTTGACTTCATGATGCTGCAAAAGCAATACATGTTCAGTAAAAACCATATTTCAGCAACAATATAACCATTCTGGTTTTCACTTTGAGTACAGTATCCAATAATATCTTCCGTGAGATATTCAACACTTTATTATAAAATAGGTTCGTGTTAGATGATTTTGCCCAACTGTAGGCAAATGCAAGTCTTTTGAGCATATTTAAGGTCAGCTAGGCTGAGCTATGATACTTGGTAGGTTAGGGGTATTTAACGCATTTTTAACTCACAGTATTTTCTTTCTTTCTTTCTCTCTTTCTCTTTTTTTTTTTTTTGAGATGGAGTCTCGCTCTGTCACCCAAGCTGGAGGGCAGTGGCGCGATCTCGGCTCACTGTAAGCTCCGCCTCTCGGGTTCACGCCATTCTCCTGCCTCAGCCTCCCGAGTAGCTGGGACTACAGGCGCCCGCCATCACGCCCGGCTAATTTTTTGTACTTTTAGTAGAGATGGGGTTTCACTGTGTTAGCCAACTCACAGTATTTTCAACTTGTGATGGGTTTATTGGGATGCAGTCCCATCATAACTCGAGGAGCATCTGTGTCCCCAAATCCCAAAGCACCACTCCACAGATGACTTATCAATCACAGAGGAGAGGTGAGGGACAGGTGAGCCCTCACAATGGAGCCATCTGTCACCAACAGTCAGAAGAGCTGACCAGATGTGTCTCCCGTTTGACGTGGTGGGAAGTACACATCACCTGCGTGGAGTCCCAGCTGGAAATAGGATGTAAATCCAACCCTGAGGAATGCGTCAGCCAAATCTATCAGTATGTTCTCAAGGACAACTGACCAGGACCTTTCAGAGGGTTCAGTGTCATGAAGAGCTATGGGGAGCTGGGTTGGGGGACACTAAAGAGACACAAAGCCAAATGCAATGCATGAATGGTGTGTGGATCCTGCCTGAAAAAAAAAAAAAATACAACACCGAGGGAATTATGTATGGAGTGCACATCCAGTGATGTAATTTAACTAACACTGAACTTTCTCAGGCATGCTCATGTCTTCTCAGGTGCAGGAGAAGACACCTATCTGCAAAGTTTCAGAGAGAAATATTAGCAGTGCCTTGATCAACCTCAACCACCTTCTTTCAGATGATTTGGCAAAAGAAAAGAGAGAGAAAGAGACTGTATGTGTACACAGAGAGATGAGGGAGAGGGAGAGGAAGCAGGAGGATGAACGTGGGTGAAGGGTACACAGGTATTTGCTGTACCATTCTTTCAGTTCTTCTACAGATTTTACACTTTTTAAAAGTAAACAGATAATCACATTTGTAAGGGAAGCTCTGAAACTGACCTGCCTGGGTGTGAATCCTGGTTCCACTAGATACTAGTTGTACCATCTTGGGTCAACATCTCAACCTTCCCCAGCTGTTTGACTGTTTCCCCTGAGGTAAACAGAGACAATAAAATCTCTTTCAAAAGGGTAGTGGGAAGATTAAATAACCTTTTTGCAGGGGAAGACGGGACAGGGTCCCAGGAAGAGGGGACAGGGTCTCACTCTGTTGCCCGGGCTGGAATGCCGTGGCTCAATCTCAGCTCACTGCAACATTCACCTCCTGGGCTCAAGCAATCCTCCCACCTCAGCCTCTCTAGTAGCTGGGACTACAGGCACATGCCACCATCCTCAGCTAATGTTTTTAAAAATGTTTTGTAGCAATGGGGTCTTGCTATGTTTTCCACACTCATCTGAAACTCCTGGGATCAAGCAATCCATCCACCTTGGCCTCCCAAACTGTTGGGATTACAGGTGTGAGCTACCGTGCTTGTCCAGATTAAATGGCTTAATACTACAGAATTTACATCTGTCCCTGGGAATTGTTATAACTGCAAATGAGATTACAGTAGCAGATGGGCTTCCTACCTGACTCAGTAAGTTTTATAGAGCATAGTGACCTGTCCCAGGTCTTGAGAACGCACTCCACACCCATAAATCCCAAGTGAAAAACAGGTGACCTTAGAACCAGACCTCGAGATAAAGCAAATTAAAATTATATTAAAGCTATATTAGCCTGGGCACAGTGGCTCACGCCTGTAATCCCAGCACTTTGGGAGGCTGAGGCGGGAGGATCACAAGGTCAGGAGATCGAGACCATCCTGGCTAACATGGTGAAACACCATCTCTACTAAAAATACAAAAAAAAAAAAAAATTAGCCGGGTGTGGTGGTGGGTGCCTGTAGTCCCAGCTACTCAGGAGGCTGAGGCAGGAGAATGGCGAACCTGGGAGGTGGAGCTTGCAGTGAGCCGAGATCGCGCCATTGCACTCCAGCCTGGGCGACAGAGTGAGACTCCATCTCAAAAAACAAAAACAAAAACAAAAACAAAAAAAAACAGGTGACCTTAGGACCAGATCTCGAGATAAAGTAAAGTAAAATTATATTAAAGCTATATTAGACTGGGCGCAGTGGCTCACACCTGTAATCCCAGAACTTTGGGAGGCCAAGGCAGGCAAATCACCTGAGGTCAGGAGTTCAAGACCAGCCTGGCCAACGTGGTGAAAGCCCGTCTCTACTAAAAAGACAAAAATTAGCCAGGCATGGTGGCTTGTGCCTGCAATACCAGCTACTCAGGAGGCTGAGGCAGGAGAATCGCTTGATCCCGGGAGGCGGAGGTTGCAGTGAGCCGAGATTGCGTCACTGCACTCCAGCCTGGGCAACAGAGTGAGACTCTGTTTCGGAGACAAAAAAAAAAAAAAGCTATTTTAGTCATTGTTAGTGCGCACAGGCCAAAGAAGGAAGGAATTTGGAATCTGGCCCCTTCCTCACTCCACACACACAAAATTCACTCAAAATGGATCACAGACATAATGGACAAATTAAAACCATAAAATTCTTAGAGAGAAATACACAAGTTAAGTCTTTAAGACTGTGGGTTAGGCAAAGCCTTCTTAGACATGGCATCAAAAACACAAGCAACAACAAGAAAATAGGAAGATTGGACTTCCTCAAAAGTAAAAACTTTCAACGAGGTGCAGTGGCTCATGCCTATAATTCCAGCACTTTGGGAGATTGAGGCAGGAAAATTGCTTGAGGCCAGGAGTTTGAGGCCAGCTTGGGCAATATTGTGAGCTCCTTTTTCTACAAAAAAATAAAATAATAAAAATAAAATTAAAAACTTTTGAGCTTCAATGGAAACCATTAAGAAAGTGAAAAGACAATCTACAGAATGGGAGGAAATATTTAGGAAATAAATATCTGATAGGCTGATAGGAGATTTGTATCTATAATATATAAAGAACTCTTACAACTCAACAACAAAAGGAGAACACAGTGAAAAAGTGGGCAAGGGGTTTGACTAGATAGTTCTTCAGAGAAGGTATAAATGGGGCGATAAGCACGTGAAAAGATGCTCAACATGGGCCAGGCGTGGTGGCTCACGCCTGTAATCCCAGCACTTTGTGAGGCTGAGGTGGGAGGATCACTTGAGGCCAGGAGTTCAAGACCAGCTAGGCCAACATGGTGAAACCCAGTCTCTACTAAAAATAGAAACAAAATTAGCTGGGCATGGTGGTGCATGCCTGTGGTTCCAGCTACTCGGGAGGCTAAGGCACAAGAATCACTTGAACCGGGGAGGTGGAAGCTTCAGTGAGCCAAGAATGTGCCACTGCACTCCAGCCTGGGTGACAGAGCAAGAGTACGTCAAAAAAAAAAAAAAAAAAAAAAAAAGCCAGTCACGGTGGCTCACACCTGTAATCCCAGAACTTTGGGAGGCCGAGGCAGGCGGCTCACCTGAAGTCGGGAGTTCAAGACCAGACTGACCAACATGGAGAAACCCCATCTCTACTAAAAAAAAAAAAAATACAAAATTAGCCAAGCGTGGTGGCGCAGGCCTGTCATCCCAGTTACCTGGGAGACTGAGGCAGGAGAATCACTTGAACCTGGGAGGTGGAGGTTGGGGTGAGCCGAGATCGGCTATTGCCCTTCAGCCTGGGCAACAAGAGCGAAACTTCATCTCAAAAAAAAAAAAAAAGAAAGAAATTTCCCTTTTCAGCCCCACCCCCCCCCACCCCCACCCTACACCCCTGCCCAGGGACCTCATTCTAACTTGATTACCTCTATCTCCAAATACGTTCCCATTCTGAGACGCCAGGGGTGAGGACTTCAACACAGGCATTTGGGGAGGGGCCACAGTTCAGCCCATGACAGCATGGAGCCTCCCTGAGCACATCCCCGCCACCCACTGTCACGTCGTGCTGCTGCGCTTCCTCCTCAGCACTTACTACGTCCTAAAGTTCTCTGTTCACTCTTCCATTTGCCTGCTTCCTGCCCATCTCCCAGTCCTTCTTTCCGTCCCTCACAAGGACACGGCTTCCATGATAACAAGGCCCTTTAGCGTCTGTCCGCTGCGGCATCTCCAGGGCCTGGCAGACCTGGCACTCTACACATTTCTGCTGAATGACAGAAGGCATGAACTCACTCATCCCATTTGATGGTCCACAGTGCACGGGGAGACGCAGGGGAGGATTCCACACCATGGCGGGCACGGCCCTGCCTCCAAGGAAAACCGCAGTTCAGCAGAAAAGATGCAACACAACCCACTCACGACGTGAAATGAACAGAGGGCGAAGAGACTTCAGTGTAATCTGAGGGTTTCACATTTACAGAAAACTAGTTCCGAAGTCAACTCTCGGAAAACCAACAAAATGTACCTTTAACAAAGGAAACGTCTTAAGGAGAGAAGAACTCCTGGACGATGATGACGTTGTGCAGCTGGTCCTGAGGGAGACGGGCGGTGCCTGGGCGGACAGTGCACAGAGGTGAGTGTGCTCGACCTCAGAACATGCCCCATGAGTCCACAGGAGGGCACCGTGCATGACTCACAGGCTTGGGACGGAAAGCGGTTCAGAGCCAGCGTCAGGCACCCCACTCTGGGACTAAGACAAGTGAAATGTCAGGATCCAAGATGCACCTGACACCTTTGTGTTTGAACTCACTTGATTAGAAAAACAAACAAACAAACAAAAAAACTGGCAAGCAAAAATTGCCTACATTTACAGTGTACAACATGATGTGTTTTTGTTTTCTTTTGTTTTGTTTGAGATGGAGTCTCGCTCTGTCACCCAGGCTGGAGTACAGTGGTGTGATCTCAGTTTACTGCAACCTTCGCCTACCAGGTTCCAGCAATTCTCCTGCCTCTGCCACCCTAGTAGCTGGGATTACAGGTGCACGTCATCACACCTGGCTCATTTTTGTATTTTTAGTAGAGACAGGGTTTCATCATGTTGGCCAGGCTGGTCTCGAACTCCTGACCTCAGGTGATCCACCCACCTCAGCCTCCCAAAGTGCTGGGATTATAGACGTGAGCCACCGCGCCCGGCCACAACATGATGTTTCGATACACATCTACCCCGTGGGATGGCTAAAGCAAGCTAATTAACATATGCATTACTTCATACTTGTTTTGTGTGGTGAGAACACTTAAGATCTACTCTTAGCAATTTTCAAGGATATCGTTATTAACTGTAGTCGCCATGACGTGCAATACAGATCTTTTGAACTTATTCCTCCTAATTGGAAGTTCAGGTCCTTCAACCAACATCTCCCCACTCCCCACACTCCCAGTCTCTGCTACACACCATTCTACTCTCTGCTCCTATGAGAACTCACTTGATTTCTTATTTACCCCAGATGAGCTCTCCAAGCTCTTAGCAGGCAGAAGGAAACTTCATTTGAGACTCTTTGTAAAAGCCTTTGTGGCTAGGATGCCATTTTCAGCAGAGCTGATAAAGGTTTACAGAGACAGTGCCTCTGTTCTACCCTGCAGAACAGTCATAAGACACTCAGCAGCCAGGCCCCTCCCCAAAACAAGTGAAGCTGATCTGTGAGGGGGGGGCACCATCACCTGTATTTATGGTTTTTTAAGCTTCAAGGTCATTCTGGTGTATACCTGGGGCTGGAAACCACCATGTCTAGATTTTCTTGCAGAGAGGTCGGCTTGCATTTTAATGGTTTTTACTAAGCGTCTGTCAAGTCAAACAAGCATTGCTTGTCATGTGGCGATGGAGTTGGGCTACACGTGCCCACAGCACATTCGGATCTTACATAATTGGGGTTACGGTGATTCTCAATGAGGGTGCCAATGGCATTTGGGTACAACTCTGATGCAATGAATTGATTAGAATCAATTCAGATAGCTGAAGTGTTCAATCATGGAATAAGTGTCTATCACTTTTGAAGGAAGTGATCTTTTGACCTTTCAGAATTAGCTATATTCTGGCACCTTGAACCGGCACCCCACCTCCCTGCAGCTGCTCCATCCCAAATACATGCCAGTAGCATCTTCCTAATGATGAAAACTCAAAAGGCCCTTCGCTTTTCAAAGTGGGAAAGGCCTCGCACTGCCGTATCCACACACACACTTACAAACACTTACAGACACACACACACACTCAGAAACTAGTCAAGGTTAAAGTGACACAGAGTCGCAGCTGCCTTTGAATGCCTTCACATCCCACTTCAATCACTAGGGCTGGAGTCTGGAAGCCAAGAGGCCAGGAATCCCCTCCTTCCTGCAGGTGCTCGTCTCTGCTTTAGAAGATGGGCTTCCTCTCTCTCAGGCAGAGCGTGTGTGTGTGCGTACACGTGTGTGTACGTGCGTGTGCATGTGCGTGTGTACATGTGTGTGCATGCATGCATCTGTAGGTGCATGTGTGTGAGCGTGTGTGTGTGTGCCTGTGTGTGTGCGTGTGTGTGTGAGCCTAATCATGATGGCTGGGATAAGCAAATAACTGTTTATATACTTTTAATGTAATTCTCTGCAGGATTCAACTCCGTCAAAAAGCTCAAAAGTGGAAACAACTGATTAGTTGTAGAATTGTTCACCCCGCTGCCCACGAATCCAGCTAAAGTTTGATTTTTGGAGTTTATCAGTAAGAAACGTGTTTCTGCAAATGGGACGTTTCTATGCTTCCATGGGAAAATACAGCTAATTCTGAAAGGTCAAAAGGTCACTTCCTTCAAAAGTGATAGGCACTTATTCCATGATTAAACACTGTGGCTATCTGAATTGAATTCTAATGAAATGCACCCTTACCACTCCTCTAAAATCAGTTTCATTCAAAACACTTCGCCCAAAGGTTATTTTGGAGTTTTCAAAAGGAACACAACATCAAGATTTTAAGGCAGTCAGAGTTGCTAACAGCTGCCTTTGCTTTGAAGTAAATGAGGTTTGACAGCGATTCATCCGCAGTGAAGTGCTGTGTGTGCTAGTTATAAAATCATTCCCGAATTTCACTCTACCTTTCCTTAAGAAGTTGAAAAAAAATGTATATTTACCTACAAAGGAGCAGTTCACAATAGTTCAAATACTGGTACCATAAGCATATACACTTTTAAAGCCTACATGACGAATAAAATGTATTGCCCCGAGGACTGCAGTTGGGAGGTAATTTGAAAGGACAATGGAGATTAATACTAGTGACAACCCCTAAGCAGAGGTGCTGACATCTGGCTGAGGATGATCACGTTACAAACTCACACTTTGTGCTCTGAAAGCACCTAACAGCAGATTCATGGGCACGGACACACAGCTTCTGCCATCTCCCTCTGTGTTTTTTTCTTTGGGGTCTTTTTTTTCTTTTATAAATGATGCCAAATTAAGAGCAAATATTATGCATACAACGTCAGTCATTTCTTAAATGTAAGGAGAGGATTTTTTTCCTAGTTTATTTACCATGTTCTCTCTGGACCCCAAAGGTTTGCAGATCTTAACTTTTGTCAGTAAGTTCAGTACATTCACCTGGTATCCAAGGGGATACATGGATATCCCAAAGACTTATGATAAAGTAACAGCGTGAACCTAAGTAGACACTGACATAAGAAATCTACGTATTCAGAAAGAACACATGAAACCTGGATCAAAGACCTCAGGAAGCAGTGGCCACATGTTTCCTTTCGACAGGAAAACAGGCTTTATCACGTGCCCATCAATGCTTGTTTACGCCATGTCTGTCGTGTGCAGTGTGTGTGCTGAGAACCACCAAGGGAATCAGGCTTGTGGTCCTGGGTGCTTTAATCGCATGAGGAAAACCCAGTGCTAAAGGCTGGCGTTGGTGTGAGTGAGCCCAGCCTGCCCTTTTCTGGGTTCATTCTTCAGGAGCCCCCAGGGCAATGAACTAACAACGAAACAAGAGAAGGAACATCTTTTTCTGTGAGACACATGCTGGTGATTCTCTCTAGGACCTAATATCAAGCACCGAAGATAATGGTTAAATACCCCAGTCAAAAACCTCTCAAGGAGGAGAAGAGATGTAGGTGGTCCCATTGCAAAGGGAATGCGAGGATTGCCAGGATCTTTTACAGAAGAGGGGACACAGCCCAGCCAGGGCCTGCCTGGGTTTCACGAGCACGGCCTTCCCACTCCAGCCTCGGTCCTGAAAACACAGATATGCTGGTGGGGAATTGCAGAGTGGTGCTGGGATAGACACATTTTGTCAAAAAAGATGAAGCGATTTTATAGAGCTGACTGCTAGATGAAGAGATCAGATCCACCCTGGCCCCCACGCCACCCCGTCATCTACGAACACTACCCTGCCCCTGTCTCCTGCCACCTGCAAAGTCCAGCCCTTTCTTCCCCTCCCTTAAATTCTGGAATTACAGAACATATGGAAAAGAAAGAGAAAAGATCAAGTAAAGGGAGGCTTCCTGCAAAAATACCTTCAATCTGTTTCCTGTCTCAATCTTTTGTAACCTTAGCTGCCTTCCTGTCAGAGATATTTAGAAGGTCAGAGAGGCAATGCTATCCCAGTTTTATTTTACATCGTAGCTGGCTAGGAGAGATAGCAATGAGAAATGAAATGATATTTTTAAACTCCCAGATAGAACTTCAAAAGTACTTTTGAACTCCAACAGGTATGCTGCTTGGCCTTTTTAGCTTTGAGAAGTGCAGAATGTTATTGACAAAGACGTCACCTCCGTAAATAGGAGAAGGAGTGATGGACAATTTCACACTCCCACTTTCAGTACTCGAGTTACATAATTACCTCCAAAATTGCAGCTGACATGCCTTCAGAGACAGAGCTATTCACCACCGCGAAGCAATTCTTCACCACCGCGTGCAGATCTTCTTGAGGCATCTCTCCAATCAATCGTACCCCAGCGGCTCTGAAACACAAAGCAGGAAGAGTGGCTCTGATTCCAAGAATCTCATGGGTAGGCAGCTGGGAGGAGGAGAGATGACAATTTGGGTGTAATACTCTAGATCAGCAAGTAAGCATTGTTGACCAAGCGTTCAGCCAGGAGAACTATACTGGGGTGGAAATCCTTACAGCTCATGTCCCTGACAAGGGAGGGAGGGAGTTGCTTAACATGTCTGCTTTTGTTTTCCATATGCTCCATAAAGACACCTGCTCTCAAGGACTAGAAGAGTCAGAGACAAGGTTCATGCCATTTTCTCTGCATGATTTAGAGAACATTTTTCTAATAATTCAACTTTTTTTCAAATAATTCTTTAAAATACTAATGAGACAATAAGAATAGAAATAATAGAAATAGGCCGGGTGCAGTGGCTCACACCTGTAATCCCAGCATTTTGGGAGGCTGAGGCGGGCAGATCACCTGAGATCAGAAGTTGGAGACCAGCCTGGCGAACATGGCGAAACCCCGTCTCTACTAAAAATACAAATATTAGCCAGGCGTGGTGGTGCGCACCTGTAATCCCAGCTACTTGGGAGGCTGAGGCAGGAGAATTGCTCGAACCCGGGAGGCGGAGATTGCAGTGAGCTGAGATTGTGCCATTGCACTCCAGCCTGGATGACAGAGCAAGACTAGGTCTCAAAAAAAAAAAAAAAAAAAAAAAAAAAAAAAGGAGGCCGGGCGCAGTGGCTCACGCCTGTAATCCCAGCACTTTAGGAGGCCAAAGCGGGTGATCACGAGGTCAGGAGATCGAGACCATGGTGAAACCCTGTCTCTATTAAAAATACAAAAGATTAGCCGGGCGCAGCGGCGGGTGCCTGTAGTCCCAGCTACTCAGGAGGCTGAGGCAGGAGAATGGCGTGAACCCAGGAGGTGGAGCTTGCAGTGAGCTGAGATCACGCCACTGCACTCCAGCCTGAGCGACAGAGCGAAACTCTGTCTCAACAACAACAACAACAAAAAAGAATGGAAATAGAAATACTAGAGACGATAATGTCACAAAAGCCCTGTTCCCAGCACACAGCGCTGACAGCTATTTTGTCATAGACATTTTGCCTTGTTCTATTTTTTTCACCAGACAATGTAAATCTTCGCCTTTCTTCGATCT
The DNA here is from genome assembly GCF_000001405.40 of Homo sapiens. Classification (NCBI taxonomy): domain Eukaryota; kingdom Metazoa; phylum Chordata; class Mammalia; order Primates; family Hominidae; genus Homo; species Homo sapiens. The sequence goes on along the minus strand of NC_000012.12, from coordinate 128,946,199 downwards.
TCCCCGTCCCCACCGCTGGCCACCACTCTCATGGCTCTGCCAGGCCTCCCTTCCCCGAGCAGGTGATACTTTTGCACACACGCGTCTGCACCTAGGAGCAATCTAAAGATCCCTGATTATAGATGGGGAAAAAACAGTCTTTGTCAGTGCCCTTTGTGGTTGGTGTGGCCAATGAGTCTGGCTGGAATCCTGGGGGGCTGTGAAGACACCACTTTACAGGGGGCTGACCCAAATAAGACCCACATCCTTCTGGTCTGCTCATTCCCATCACCCCACTTAAAATGCAGACTGATGACACAGCTCTATAGCTACCATGTCACCTTCAGGATGGGAGCCACAGGCTGAGGAAGTCAGGACAGAGACAGGAGCCAAATCCCTGAGGTCTCAGGGAAGCCTCCGTTTTGCTCCTTGAATGACCACCCTCAGACTTGTTGATGTGAGCAATGAAAGTTCAATCTGTTCAAGCCTGTGCTGTTGGGTTCCTGGCCGACAAATGCAACTTATAACCAACACACCAACAAATTGCCCTCCAGGCAGGCTGTGACAAAGGGCAATACCCCTCCATTCTTCCAAATCCTTGAGAGTTTAAATCTTTCCATTCTGGCCAATGTGATCCATTAAAAATTATAATCACAAAGTGATTTTTATTGGCCTTTCCCTGGGCAAATAATAGTGCCTAGGATGCCACGGGCTCGCCGGGAAGATGCATGAGGAAACAGTTGGAAACTGCTTGGAATAGTGCCTGGGACTGGATAAATGTGAGTTCAGGTAACCCAGGGGCCACTCAGGCTTCCCGTTCTGCAAAATGACTGGTCTCCACCAACTCTTACCTTTTCACTTTGGCTTTCACTTCCCTTGTAAACACTGGATCGACCTGAAAAGAGACAAAGATAAATGTCAGCGGTCGCCGCCTGCTAGTGGCGCTGCCAGCCGGCCAGCACGGGCCAGGCCAAAGCCCTGGTGCCAGCGCGGCGTGGGCCTCGGTCTGCGGCCACGGGGGTGTCCTCGCGGCTGCTGCGTGTGGTGATCATGGGGGCCCCCGGCTCGGGCAAGGGCACTGTGTCGTCGCGTATCACTCAATACTTCGAGCTAAAGCACCTTTCCAGCGGGGACCTGCTCCGGGACAACATGCTGCGGGGCGCAGAAATTGGCCTGTTACATGTTCTCACTCATAGGTGGGAATTGAACAATGAGAACACATGGACACAGGGAGGGGAACATCACACACCGGGGCCTGTTGGGGGTCGGGGGCTGGAGGAGGGATAGCGTTACGAGAAATACCTAATGTAAATGACGAGTTGATGGGTGCAGCAAACCACCATGGCACATGTATACCTATGTAACAAACCTGCACATTGTGCACATGTACCCCAGAACTTTATATATATATATACATATATATATAAATTGACGTGTTAGCCAAGGCTTTCATTGACCAAGGGAAACTCATCCCAAATGATGTCATCTTGGCGTGGCCCTTCAGGAACTGCAAAATCTCACCCAGTCTAGCTGTTGGATAGTTTTCCAAGGACACTTCCACAGGCAGAAGCCCTAGATAAAGCTGATCAGACCGACACAGTGATTAACCTGAATATGTCCTTTGAGGTCATTAAACAACGCCTTACTGCTCACTGGATTCATCTCACCAATGGCCAAGTCTACAACATTGGATTCAACCCTCCCACAACTGTGGGCATTGATGCTCTGACAGGGGAGCCGCTCATTCAGCGTGAGGATGATAAACCAGAGATGGTTATCAAGAGACTAAAGGCTTATGAAGCCAAACAAAGCCAGTCCTGGACTATTACCAGAAAAAAAGCGGTGTTGGAAACATTCTCCAGAACAGAAACCAACAAGATTTGGCCCTGTGGATATGCTTTCCTCCAAACTGACGTTCCTCAAACAAGCCAGGAAGCTTCAGTTACTCTATAAGGAGAAATGTGTGGAACTATTAGTAGTAAGATGGGCAAACCTCATAGTCCTTGCATTTAGAAGCTGCTTTTCCTAAGAATTCCAGTATGTATGAATTCTTTGAAAATTATATGACTTTTATTTCTACTGATTTGATTCTAGATACTAAGGATGTGCCAAATGAGTCAGATACTAAGATTCATCCTTTGAAATCATCTAGTGTGTTTTACGCAGCTATCCTCAAAAACATCAGTGATGTCTGAACTTTTAAAACATCTGTTGGAGCAAAATTAAAAGAGCATTTGGTAGTAATCTAAGTTTTTGTTCAGTTAATAAGTGGTTGATAAAGCTTCCGTATTTTCCCGGAAAAGTTAAAAAAAAGTTACATGTCATTGGGGGAAAATATGTGATCAGAAATGTTTGCACAGATCGATGCCACAAAAGACATCTCCAGCGTTGTGGAACATGGGGAGACACTATATAAAATACCAGAAAGAAAGCAAGTGGGTTTACAGATTTGTTGTAAGACACAAATCCTCTGCTACTAAGAAATGTGTATGCTAACCATATATGCTGTATTTATTTTGTTGTTAAGCATACTTTCAGTTTACTCAGAATTTTCAATTTGCTACAACAATGTATCCATTCGCATATAGAAAAATATTACTTTAAGATGACTTGTTTCCTTTGAAAATACATATGTACTGAGGGTTATGATTTATGTCAGAAATTAACATTATAAGTTCTTGGACAAGCACCGAAGTTGAATGAATTTTCAACAAAATGTAATTAAAATCTATATGTTTTCAGATGTGACTCAGGTTGAGAAATGTGTTTTAGGATCTACTTGCCGGTTCCTCTTTTTGATCCAAATGTATGATCCGCCCTGATAAATAACAAGTTATAGTGCCACTCCCTGCCAAAAAAAAAAAAGAGAGAAAAGAGAAAACCTGTGGCACTATGTAAATAAAGTAAGCACACTTTGTCGTTAGTAAATAGATGAGATATGCCTGGGAAACGCTCCCTTGGCATAAATAGCAATCAATCATAATTAGTAAACAGGTGTGCCAATAAAAAGACTTTACACAATAGGTTAACCAGGACCAGTAAGTGAGTTTCCTGAAGGAGTTCTTTGTTCCTGATCCAAGAAATCGATACCTGTTAGCATTCACTGCCACCTTATTTTAAAGGGAAAGAACTCTGTTGGTGTCATCTGAGAAGCCATTTAAAAACTGGAATCTAGGCCGGGCGTGGTGGCTCACGCCTATAATCCCAGCACTCTGGGAGGCCGAGGCGGGTGGATCATGAGGTCAGGAGATCGAGACTATCCTGGCCAACATGGTGAAACCCCGTCTCTACTAAAATACAAAAAATTACTCGGGCTGGATGGCGCGCCTGTAGCCCCAGCTAATCAGGAGGCTGAGGCAGGGGAATCACTTGAACCCGGAAGGTGGATGTTGCAGTGAGCCTAGATCGTGCCACCGCACTCCAGCCTGGGGGGCAGAGCGAGACTCTGTCTCAAAAAAAAAAAACAAAAAACAAAAACAAACAAACAAAGAAAATTGGAATCTAAAGTGATTCCTGAGTGGGGCAGCAAGGATGGCTGCTGATGTGCTGTGTGGTCTGGGAGAAGTGGGGCAGTAGGAGAGGTGGACGGAAAACCTGATGGCGTCTTCCATGGCGTATTTACTCTTTACTTGGTGCCAGAACAAATGAAACAAGCCCTCGTACAAGCTGTTATTAATTGCCTTTAAAAATCTTTTCCATTTTTTCCCCAGGTACTTAAAATACAAGTGCCAGTAAGCAGTTCTTATGTATTTTTGGGGAAAAAAATTTATTTTCCTTTTCTTCTGATATTTTAAAAATTCATTGATCTTTCAAGATGAACCAAAGTTTCTTAAAAGAATTATAGTACACACTTCATTCTTTATAAAACTTTCTATAATGCCTTATTTAAATGTTAATCGTACGTGCTTTCTAAAAATGTTGTGAACTACCAAACTTGTGGATTATCACTAGGTTATCAGGCATACATTAGTCTTTATCAGAATAAAATGAAATTTCATAACTGAGGCTATTACTTTGTCCTTGGTCCTTCACAGGGCCTGCTCCACCCCACCTTCCTTCCTGCTGCCTGATGTCTCAGTGGCTTCTGAATGACTGTGTTCTAATAAATGACCTTAAAACAGTGGAAAAAAAAAAAAGAAGACACATGTTAGCAAAAGCCTGAAATGAAGCTAAGTCTCCAGGAATTACATCAAATGGCAGCAGAGCCAGACTCAACAATTCAGAGAGGGAAAAAAATAAGTAGGAAATGGTACTATGAGCCCAGCTATTAAATAATAAAAACAATAATAGTAAAAAAAAAAAAAAAAAAAAAAAAGAGAGAGAGAGAGAGACCAGGCACGGTGGCTCATGCTGGTGGCTCATGCCTGGAATCCCAGCATTTTAGGAGGCTGAGGAGGGGGGATCATGTGATCAAGAGTTCGAGACCCGCCTGCTGGCCAACATGGTGAAAGCCTGTCTCTACTAAAAACACAAAAATTGACTGGGCGTGGGGGTAGAGTGAGCACCTGTAATCCCAGCTACTTGGGAAGCTGAAGCGGAAGAATCGCTTGAACCCGGGGTGCGGAGGTTGCAGTGAGCCGAGATGACCGCATTGCACTCCAGCCTAGGTAACAGAGTGAGACTCTGTCTCAAAAAAAAAAAAAAAAAAAAAGAGAAAGAGAGAGAGAAAGAAGAGACAGAATGTTCCAAAGAATACATATAGACTCTGGTTAGGAGCCTGTATGGCTACACCTGAGTGTGGTGAGTGAGAACCCTTCAGCCAACTTAAGGTCTTGAGACAGAGTCGTTTCCAGAAATGGGACAATTTGACAACCACCCAATATTGCAGTGGAAGTGTTGCTTAAATGATGCAGAAGGATTTTGTCATAAAATCATTCAGGCAGAATAGGTTGGAATCCTTAGTAAGTCTATGACCAAAGGTCTGACCATATCAAAATATTTTTTAACAGGATGACTTCGCAGAAACAGTTTGAAAGGCCAGGACCTGATCATCAGCTGATGAATGAGTAGACGTGATGTGCCAATCCATACAAAGGAGTGCCACTCAGCCGTGACAAGGAAGTGCCAACTTAGGCAGCAACAAGGGTGAGCTTGGAAAACACGATGCCACGTGAGTTACACCAGACAGGAAAGACCACAGAGTGTATGATTCCATGTCTATGAAATGGCCAAAGCAGGCAAATCACAGAGACAGAAAGTAGATTGGTGGTTACCCAGGGGTCACTCAGGATCTAATTAGGGGTTATTGGGGTGAGGCGGAAATGGGAAGTGACTGCTTAGTGGATAGAGGGTATCCTCTTGGGGAGAGAAAAAATATTCAGGAATGAGATAGGTGTGATGGTTGCACAACTTTGTGAATAGACTAAAACCCACTGGCTTGTACCCTCTAAAATGGTGAATTTCGTGGCATGTGAATTCCACCTCAACTTTTTAAAGGCCAGGGGCAGCCTTTTCATTAGTCACAACCTAACATCCTCCAGTCCCGACTTGACTCCTGCTTTGCATCTGGAAGGAACAGGTGCTTTGGGGCAGGGACTATTTCCGTCCTGTTGCATTCCTGAAGGCTAATAACACACTTGTTGAATTCATGCAAAAATTAATAGCAACATGTTCAAACTTATCGCTCCTCAAAGACAGGCCAGAAGTTTTTAAGCAAACTCGTAGTGGATGTGTGGAGGCCAGAAAGAGGCAGCACCAGACTGAGGGGACTCCGGATACAGAGGGCCAGGGTCAGGCCACCCAGGCACCAAACTAGCCTCATGCACATTAACGGACCTCTCTGCGTGTCAGTTTGCTCGTCTGTCCAATGAGAACTCTAGCACCTTGGGATTGCTCGGAGGAGTAAATGACTGAGAAGACATGAAGCGCTGAGCCTGTATTCACATTCAGCCTGACCCCAGGGGCTGAATTCGTAAAACTATGCTCTGCTGCCTCTCTGGTTGCTGTTAGAACTGTGCCTGGGACACAGTAACTGCTATATGTGTTGCAGAAGAAAAAAGTCAAATGTCGAAGTCTTATTAGAAAAATGCTAGAAGAAAATAACGATGAGAGCTACAGACGACACCACCAATACAAAATACCAATACAATACCAATACAGATCCCACCACCAATACAAAATACATCTGTTGAGAGCTACAATACAATACAAAATACATCTATTGAGAGCTACAGACGGCACCACCAATACAAAATAATCTATAAGCTTAATCTTATATATGCACACATATGTGTGTACATATATAAGATATATATATATATATTAAAAATGGGGTCTGATATGGTTTGGATCTGTGTCCCCACCCAAATCTCCTGTTAAATTGTAATCCCCATTGTTGGAGGTGGGGCCTGGTAGGAGGTGATTGGATCGGCGGTGGGGGGGGGTTTCTAACAATTTGGCAACATCCCCCAGTGTTGTCTCGCGATGGAGTTCTCAGGAGATTTGGCTGTTTAAATGTGTGTGGCACCTCCAGCCTCGCGCTTTTCCTCCTGACCCAGACATGTAAGACGCGCCTACTTCCCCTTCGCCTTCCACTGTGATTGAAAGTTTCCTGAGGCATTCCCTGGCTGTGCTTCTTATACAGCCTGAGGAACTTGAGCCAATTAAACCTGTTTTCTTTATAAATTCTCCAGTCTCAGGTAGTTCTTTATAGCAGTGGGAGAACTAACACAGGGTCTCACAATGTGGCCCAGGCTGGTCTCGAACTCCTGGGCTCAAGTGATCCTCCTGCCTCGGCCTCCCAAAGTGCTGGGATTACAAGCATGAGCCACTGTGCCCGGCTGAGCTTAATCTCAAATGTGTACTTTTTTTTTTTTTTTTTTAGTAGAGACAGGGTTTCGCCATATTGGCCAGGCTGGTCTCGAACTCCTGACCTTAAGTGATCCGCCCACCTTGGCCTCCCAAAGTGCTAGGATTACAGGTATGAGCTGCTGCACCCGGCCTCAAATGTGTACTTTTGAGATTAAGTACACATCTGAGATTAAGTGACACTGCCACACTTCTGAAAACTCCAGAACTGGGAGGTAGAGAGAAGCTCCCTGATTGCCTGAAAGGAACCCCTGGATTCCCAGGGGCAGCAGCCACACTCCTCACCAGCAGAAACCTCACCGTGACACGACATCATCTTATGCAACCTCGTCTTGTGCAATGATCTCGTCTTGTGCAACAACCTGGCCTCAGGTAAGTTTGCTTACTGAGGTGCTGAGAGGACCTTCCTAGGGTGCTGTTTCACCTTTTCCAGCCCACTCAGGACAAAGCTGCAGAATACAGTTATCATATCTGGCTCATCCAACAGCAAAGTCTTCAACAAAACAACCAACACCCATGCCTCTCCTGGTCTTATCGACAATGAATAGAATTTTAAAATACTGAAAAAAATTCCTAAATATATGCAAGTGTAACACAAAATTCTAAGCATTTATTCAAAGATACAGGCAGAGGGTCTAAACACATTTTGCTAATGCTATGCCTGCAGTTTCTTCCCAGCTGCTACTCCTGATGAGCCGGGAGTGAAGGCATATTCAATTTCTATTCTCATTTACACTTTACCAGTAGGCATTATGAGTTACAAACCAAGTTGGTTTGAAGAATATGATGATATCCCAACAGTTTATAACACTAACTGAAATAACGCTGCTTTCTAGAAACTTTATTTCCATTTCTTCTGGCAAGGAGATGTTTCACGTGTGTATTAAACCCCAGCTCCTTCAGATGACCAGAAAGCCTGAGATTTAACGCAAAGGATTGGTAATGTTAAGCTCGTTGACATCCCTGAGGTCACTAAGTCACTGAAAATTTGCTGTTAGCCTTCAGCCAATTTGGATGCATAAGAAAATTTAAAAGAATTCCTAGAAATCTATTTCAAGAGAAAAATTATAGCCATACACAATTTTTTTGTTTATTGCTGTTGTTGCCATTAATAGTTAATACTTCTCGGCCACCTACTCTGTGCAGAACATATGCTAAGTCCTTTACATGCATTAGCTTATTTCTTCCAACAACCTGGTTATCATTACCCGCCTTTTACAAATGAAGACACTGAAGCTCAGAGAGTTCTATAACTTAACCAGGATCACACAGCTAGAAAGTTGCTGAGCCAGTATTCACATTCAGGCTGACTCCTGGGGCTGAATTTGTAAAACTATGCTCTGCTGCCTCTCTAGTTTCTGTCCAAAGTATTTCCTCAGATATAGTTCATAAGCTTACGTCGATTCTGGAAAGCCTACCTACTTATTAATTTATCCACTATACCCCAACCGTGTCCGTATTCGTCTGTTCTCGCACTGTTAATAAAGACACATCCAAGACTGCATCATTTACAAAGGAAAGAGGTTTACTTGACTCACAGCTCCAAAGGGCTGGGGAGGCCTCTGGAAACTTACAATCATGGTGGAAGGGAAGCAAACACGTCTTTCTTCACATGGCAGCAGCAAGGAGAAGTGCAGAGTGAAGGGGGAAGCCCCTTATAAAACCATCAGATCCCGAGAACTTACTATCACAAAAACCAGCGTGAGGGTAACCACCCCCATGATTAAACTACCTCCCATGACACGTGGAGATCACGGGATTGCAACTGAAGATGAGATTTGGGTGGGGACACAGCCAAACCATATCAGTGTCTATCTGTGTCCCTGCATTCTCTCTACCAGGAATGTCATCCTCTGTCCCCAAAACCTATTCATCCTCTGAGATGCAGGCAATGCCCCCTCTCTGAGACACTTTCCCATCACCCTGTCCAGAAGTAACATCTCCACCCCACGCTATGGTAACACCTCCTACCACAGGGGCCAACGTCTTTTGATACTTGCCCACCTTCTCCTCCTATCTCCATGTCCCTCCCAAGGCCATGCACAGGGCCCTGCATATAGTTCTATGCTCATAAGATCTGCAAAAAGAATGATTTCCAGCAGACCCCACCTTTCCATTTCCCATTTCTGATGCCTTTTGCTCGAATTATCCTAAACAACTGAATTATCCTTTAACCCTAACATCTTATCATGAAAAAGTACACAGTCCAATGAAAGCCTTTTTTGGGCTCTACATATTAATTTTCAAAATCACATTTTATGAGTATTTTTAGTTAGGAATTTCTCTTACTTTTAATTTTATTAGCATGCCTCTGCTCTCATGAATAACTAAGGAAAAATAATTTATCAAGGAAAGAAATCAAATTTTATAAGACCACAAAAACACTTTATCTAAAACTTAAGGCATAACAGCAACTTTCAAGTTGAAACTAAAAACTGCATTAAATTTTTCTGGATTTACCTTCCACATCAGTTCACTTTCAAATCTCTTAGTGAAGCCACGTGGAACAAAGTGCAAGATAAAGAGAAAAAGAAGGGGGGATATTTTTATTTAATGAAAGCACATGTCATGAAATTTTAAAGGGCAAAAGCATCGCAAGCCACAATGAAAATTCTCATTTCCTCCTTCCAAGCTTATTTATTTTCTAGCAAAATACCTTGTTACAACTCCTAGGCTTAAGGGAAGTAATCTTCGATATAAGAAGTTATTGTGGAAAGTCATTAAGCTGTCATGCTCAAACCAAATGTGCATACCCCACTCCTTATCAAAGAGCACCAGAAAATGCACCCACATATGATCGCCTGCAAGCAGAGACCATATGCTTCGTTGAAACGGTTGAGCTAAGAGATCAAAGAAGCTTTAATAGAAAACCAAAGCCACGCTCAAACCATCCTGCAGCTAAAACAGAATCTCAGCATGTCAAAGCAGAAAGGTAACATCAGCATGAAAAGATATTTTATGGCCGGGTGCGGTGGCTCACGCCTGTCATCCCAGCACTTTGGGAGGCCGAGACAGGCGGATCACCAGTTCAGGGGATCGAGACCATCCTGGCTAACACGGTGAAACCCCATCTCTACTAAAAATACAAAAAATTAGCTGGGTGTGGTGGCGGGTGCCTGTAGTCCCAGCTACTCGGGAGGCTGAGGCAGGAGAATGGCGTGAACCCGGGAGGCGGAGCTTGCAGTGAGCCGAGATCAGGCCACTGCACTCCAGCCTGGGCAACAGAGTGAGACTCCGTCTCAAAAAAAAAAAAAAAAGATATTTTATTTAACACTCACAGGATGCTGCCTAGGAACCAGGCACTATTCCAGGCACCGTCCAAGTGTTCACTCATCGAATCCCCGCTGCAAACTGTGAGGCAGGTAGTATTAGCTCAGTCGTCCCCATTTTATAGATGGGGAAACTGAGGGACAGAGCAGTTAAGTCCTGCGCACCCAGGTAGCTGGATCCAGAATCCACGACATGCGTGTGACCACTCTACTACAAAGCCATGTGGTTGTGGTCTAGGGGTGTTAACTAACTTGCCAGCGGTTAGCATTGAATGATTGCGTGGATTTCGTACGGGACTACAACCCATCTTTTTAAAAAGTTCTTGCTAAGAATTACCACAAAAATGAGCATGTGTACGGCACCTAAAAACTAAAACAGTGCTAGGCATGGTGGCACAAGCCTGCAGTCCCAGTGACTTGGGAGGCTAAGGTGGGAGGATTGTTTGAGGCCGGGACTTCCAGACCAGCCTGAGAAACATAGTGGGATCCCATCTCTACAAATAAATACATAAACAAATAAATATAAATAAAACATATGCAGCCTCAGCGACATTTTAGGCAATCTAAGAACATCTCTACTCTATTGTTCTTTTTTTTTTTTTTTTTGAGACAGAGTCACTCTGTCACCCAGGCTGGAGTGCAATGGCACAATCTTGGCTCACTGCAACCTCTGCCTCCCGGGTTCAAGCGATTTCCTTGCCTCAGCCTCCTGAGTAGCTGGGATTACAGGCATGTGCCACCACACCCAGTGAATTTTGTGATTTTAGTAGAGATGGGTTTTCACCATGTTGGCCAGCCTGGTCTCGAACACCTGACCTCAAGCGATCCGCCCACCTCAGCCTCCCAAAAGGATTACAGACGTGAGCCACCGCGCCCGGCTACTCTACTATTTCATAAAGCTCTGGTAGAGTAGAAAATGCAAATTAAAAAGCAGAGAGATGATATTCAAAGAAAACTGCTTTGAATATCAACTGCCTCCTGGCTGCGCCCAGAAATGGCCAGTGCAAAAGTCCACACAGCCCGCACCCCGCCTGTACTTGCTTCTGCTGAAGCATTTCCAGCCTGTCCTGTTCCAGGCTCACAAAAGGGTGGGCTATGACCCAGGCGGGGACAATTCAGTGCCCTCTTCCTGGACCCCGTCCTTGAAGAGAATGACAGAGACTTCCAGGACCCTGTCCTGGACCCCGTCCTTGAAGAGAATGACAGAGACTTCCAGGACCCTGACCTGGACCCCATCCTTGAAGAGAATGACAGAGACTTCCAGGACCCTGTCCTGGACCCCGTCCTTGAAGAGAATGACAGAGACTGAGGCATGGGTGGGGCTCATTTTCTCAGGTGTGAAGCCTTGAATGAAGGGCTTCTTGACGCGACATCCTGGCCTCTGGAATGTCTTGGTTCTGCCTAAATCCAAGCTGGCTCGCCAGCCTGCCCAGGAATTCTCTTAGTGAGACCTTGTCTTCTTCTAATCAATAACTTTTGGCTGGCGTTGGGCCAGAGGTGGTTTCTGATGCCTGGGGTGGAGGCTCAGGACTGAGCTGGTGTGGTTTCTTCATTGGGACCTCCTGCGAACTAGGGCTTCAAGGAGAGAAATGGACAAGAGGGAAACACTGCATAGATGCACTGCCATTGCCTCCTAAAAATAGACTGAGCTGGCCGGGCGCAGTGGCTCACGCCTGTAATCCTAACACTTTGGGAGGCCGAGGCGGGTGGATCACCTGAAGTCAGGAGTTCGAGACCAGCCTGGCCAACATGGCAAAACCCCGTCTCTACTAAAAATACAAATATTAGCCAGGTGTGGTGGCACGTGCCTATAATCCCAGCTACTTGGAAGGAGAATCGTTTGAACCCAGGGGGTGGAGGTTGCAGTGAGCCGAGATCGTGCCACTTCAATCCAGCCTGGGCAACAGAGCAACACTCCATCTAAAAAAAAAAAAAAAAAAAAAAAAGACTGTCTCTTTGAAGACACAGTAAGTCAATGTGGTTTTGTACTAAGAGGCACTGAACGTGACCTAGAAAAGCTCCAGCCCTCCAAAGTGTCTAGCTGATACCTAAAGGGTGTGTTCATTCATTGAGCTTTGCAGTTAACAGAGAAAGACATGGGCTGAAGCAGAGTGCACTCCCGTCGGATGTCACGAATAGTGGTGAGATTCAGGGTGTTAAATCTGTTGTATGCCATAGTCTTTCCAATAAGAATTTTAATGTGTCCCAAGACTTGACCTCTCGCCCACTTCTCAGATCCATCTCCCAATCTTCAGCACGTGCCCTAGTCACACTGCAGGAAATAGTCAACTTCAAGCATGAAATCGCCTTAGTCCCCTCCTAGTTCTGTATTCAGAAGTGTAATTAAATTGAATACTTGACTCTGAAAAGCAGTCGATGTTTGGAAATGTTATAATGATGATGGAAGAGAGGGAGTTTCAGTTGGGTGGTCAGGGGAAGGGTGTCTGAGAGGGTGGCATCTGAGCCAGACTGAGGTCTGCAGAGAGAGAATTTCACCCCAAGGAAGCAGTAAGTGCACTGGCCCTAACCAGAGTCCAACACACCCACGGACCCACACACAGACCCTCCATCCGGGGTCACCCAAGTCACAGCTTTTCAAACTACACCCTAAGTAGCAAATTATAAAATCAATTTTGGGGTAAAATAAAAAACAAGCATTTCTCAAAATGACGTAGAATAGAACAGCATATCATCCCAAAGGGCAGCCCGGGACAGTTTTTAAAAAATCAGAATGCATGAACTGCATGAAGTAAAAGAAAGCGTATTGTTCAATAGAGCTTGTTTCTGACGTGCGCATGCGTGTGCGCCTATGGCGGCTTCCCGTGTGAAATGCGCGGGACTCGGCTCCGCCTGCGCACGGGCGCCGCCTGCGTCTACCCGCATCGCTTCCGCACCCTGTGTTCAGTGACGTCGGCTGAGGAACTAGAAACTGGCCTTGGTAAAGCATTGACACATGGACACTGATAAACAGGGCTTTTAGGAAACAGGGCTTCCCCACGTCCTAAAAAGCTCTCTCTCCCGGAGAGGAGTGGTTTCCTGCTTACGGTTAAAAAACAAACAACAAGCGAAGACACCAGCCTATCTGCAGCACGAGGCACTGAAACACCTGCCCAGAGGCCCCCCACGCTGTGAGGCTTCAGTGGGACCGGGGGAGTCCAGAATAAATAAGTTGTTGGAAGGGGCTTGTAATTTCTTAGACTCCGCGAGACCTTAGAAACGTAGAAACTCAAATTATTTCATCCACTGAGATGGCGTCAAGGTTTTGTGGCGGTGGCTATTGCTTTTCCCTTAGATATGGAGGACCTTCGACGAGGCAGGGATCTTAAACCAGGGTCGTGCCCAGAGCCGGATCTTAAACCAGGGTCGTGCCCAGAGCCTTCGCCTCTGCTAAAGGCCCCCCGAGGCTGAAGACCGGCGGCCTCGCTGCAAACCGCGATTGGATGTGGGAGCCGCGGTTTCAGCAAATCCCAGGACAGCTCGGGGCTGCGTGTCAACAGGCACAGACCTGGCGCTCATGACCTGTTTGCTGAAACAACAAATCCATAACCAAAGGGTGCACTTTTCCATTGCCTAGGGCTGCTTTAATTATAGACAGCAAAGTGCCTCGTGAAAGAGGTGCTTTAGAATTCTTAATAATTGATGGCGACGAATTTAAAAAACTCTCAGACCACAGTCCTTCCCACCAGGGTCCCGGACACTCTGCTGCAGGGCCGCCTCTCCCAGCTACCCTTTCCTCTCATTACTTTGTGTTCTCTGCTCCACCCAAGCCAACTAACGTGCTGGGCTGGACGTGCAGCTCCAGACGGGGACATGGGGGTTTCAGGGACGGCGATCCAGTTGGGGTGTGAGCTCTAGGGGACTCATCTGGGACCCGTACTTGCCTACCACGTATGTTGTCATCAGGTATGTTACAGATGTGTTGGACTAGCTTGGAAATGGAGAGGGGGGATCTCTGGAAATCAAGGAGGAGCTAAAGCTTCCCCAGACGGGGCTTTCCATCGCGGCCAGGAGCCGGCAGCACCTTCATGCAGCCCCACGCCCCCGACTGTTCCCTAATCCTGCAATGTCAAGTCCTAGTCAACTCCTCAACAGGCAAAGCCATGGCGATCCTTGCTCAAACCCATTTCGCGATGACCTCCTTCCAGAATTAGGAAAGCAAAGAAAATACAGAGATGCATTTTGTAGGACATACAAGGCCAACGTTGTGTGTGTGTGTGTGTGTGTGTGCGTGCGTGTGTGTGCACATATCCTCACATGAACACAGTGTTTAGTTCCCAGCACTTAAAACTAAAGGCATTTCACTGACATTATTTTTAATTAAAAAACCACACACATTCACCCCTTCAAATAAAAAGAGGAGGCCTCTGGACTTGTGGCTTCTCCTGCAGAGTCAGCTCCCGGCCCTGCAGGGACAAGATTCCTAACAGACACTTTAGGAGGGAAGACAAACACTTTTTACACTCACTGTGCTTTCAGAAGCAGGCAAACGAAAGTTAGAGGGGAGGTGCCGTGTTCCATAGAGAAGTAGTAAAAGGGGGGCCAGGCGCGGTGGCTTACACCTGTAATCCCAGCACTTTGGGAGGCCGAGGCAGGCGGATCACCGGAGGTCAGGAGTTCGAGACCAGCCTGGCCAACATGGTGAAACCCCCGTCTCTACTAAAAATACAAAATTTGCCGGACGTAGTGGTAGGCGCTTGTAATCCCAGCTACTCGGGAGGCTGAGACAGGAGAGTCGCTTGAACCCAGGAGGCGGAGGTTGCAGTGAGCCGAGATCGCACCACTGCACTCCAGCCTGGGTGGCAGAGTGAGACTCCATATCAAAAAAAAAAAAAAAATTAAAAAGTGGCCAGGTGCAGTGGCTCAAGCCTGTAATCCCAGGATTTTGGGAGGCCGAGGCAGGCAGATCACGAGGTCAGGAGATTGAGACCATCCTGGCCAACATGGCGAAAGCCCGTCTCTACTAAAAATACAAAAAATTAGCCAGGCGTGGTAGCACGTGCCTGTAGTCCCGGCTACTAAGGAGTCTGAGGCAGGAGAATTGCTTGAACCCATGAGGCGGAGGTTGCTGTGAGCCAAGATCACGCCATTGCGCTCCAGCCTGGGCGGCAGAGCAAGACTCCGTCTCATTTTAAAAAAAAAAAAAAAAGGGTGGTAGAAGAGACGTATTTCCTCCGGGAGGTGAAAAACATTTCTGATTGCTTCATATGAAAACAACAGCAGCAACAACGGTCGTCTCTCCTAAAAGACTATTACTTAAGAAGCCATTAAGAAACAAATGGCACCTGCTCCCTCACCGGCAGGCAGCTGAGTTAAAGAGGACAGATCAATCCAGGCAGCGTCCTTTGTTCTAGCAGCTCTCTCTTCTCCCGCCTCTGCAATCAGCTTACACGCGCCCAGAGTCTTTACTTCTCTGGAAGAGGGCTCTGTCACATACCTAGTGCTATCTGTGTGCCCCTGCGTTTGCCCCCCGTACCAGCTTCCTGATCCAGAAAAAGCCAGACATTGCGACCAGATGATCGTCAGTTCAGTGTTTGTGGATGATCATCTCCAGCAGGGGTTCTTTTTAAGTATTTCTTCCATCCCACACGCTAATGCTGTACAGAACTCTTTCCCAAACTTTGGCTAGTCGCATGCACTTGCACCGTTTTTCATATCTGCATGCCATCTGCACCACTGCTTATACTTTTTGTGAAGTCAATTTATTTTGAAAGGCAATTTTCATAATTGGAAAGCTGGTATCAAGCACTGTACCTGAGATGTGATCATCAGAATGAAAACAATGAAAAAGAAAACCACATTATTAAATGCCTTCTAGATACTGTTGTTGCCTGCTCATGGCTCCCAGTCTGAGGCCTTCTCTCTTGATTAGCCAGAATTTTAGCATCAAACTAGAAGTTTTTCTTTCAATGTTCTTCAAACAGAAAAATGACAAGATAATTTTAAAAAGTAATAATAATAACCATACCTCTATGGGACTTAACATGAATTAGCACACTGGGAATTATCTTGTTACTACTACAATGCTAGCACTTAAGGTGTGTGTGTGCATGCATATATGTGGGTGTATGTTAACAAACTGCCACATTTAAGCGTAATTTATC
Organism: Homo sapiens; assembly: GCF_000001405.40. Lineage (NCBI taxonomy): Eukaryota > Metazoa > Chordata > Mammalia > Primates > Hominidae > Homo > Homo sapiens. Next base: position 128,930,043 of record NC_000012.12, on the reverse strand, counting down.
TTCCATATGGTATTCAATGTGGTCACACAGATTCTAGCCCTTGATGTTTTTATTTGTTTGTTTGTTTTGAAACAGAATCTTGCTCTGTCACCCAGGCTGGAGTGCAGTGGCGCAATCTTGGCTCACTGCAACCTCCGCTTCCCAGGTTCAAGTGATTCTCGTGCCTCAGCCTCCCGAGGAGCTGGGATTACAGGTGCAGGCCACCATGCCTGGCTAATTTTTATATTTTTAATTTTTGTACTTTTAGTAGAGACGGGGTTTCACCTTGTTGGCCAGGCTGGTGTCAAACTCCTGACCTCAGGTGATCGCCCCTCTTGGCATTCCAAAGTGCTGGGATTACAGGCCTGAGCCACCACACCTGGCCTAGCCCTTGACATTTTTAATACCTTTTGTGGCCCTTTCCAGGTAAATATTTCCAAAAGCCTTTGAAAATACTGAGAAAAGCTTGTAACTCCCATGTCATGCTTTTTTGGGGTCCCTAGGGAACTACAAAAAACTATATAAGAAAGAACCACAAAACAGACAAGGTGCCTGGCAGTTGTGTAGAGTTCGCTTCACTCAGATTTTCAGGGACACTGCTGCTTTAGGGACCGGAAACAGAACACCCCTGAAGAAACGGAGTCATCACTGCCAATGGTACACCCCATCTGGCTGGAAACGCTAAGTGCGTTTTGTTTTCCAAACTGCTTGGAGTCAGTGCAAGCTCTTTCTCATGAGATGACCAGTGCAGCCACACAGACTTTATTTAACGCTGCAGACCAGGCAGCTTAGTCCATGTGAGCTGCTATTGCAAAATACCATAAAGCAGAGGCTGACGAACAACAGAAATGTGCTGCTCATGGTTCCAGAGGGTGGAAGCCAACACTGAGGTGCGGGAAAGATGGGTGTCTGCGAGGCCTGCTTCCCATCCAGATGCTCGCCAGGTCCTCGCTTGGTGGAAGGGGCGAGGCAGCTCTCCGGGGCCTCCCTAATGGGCACAAATCTGCCCTCATATCTGAATCACCCCCAAAGGCCCCACCTCCTAATACCCTCACACTGGGGAACAGGTTTCAACATAGGAATCTGGAGGGATGCACACACTCAGGCCATAGCAGCAACCCTGGAACAAAAACCCCACAAAGAGGCCGGGTGCGGTGGCTCATGCCTGGAATCCCAGCACTTTGTGAGGTCGAGGCAGGTGGATCACCTGAGGTCGGGAGTTTGAGACCAGCCTGCCCAACGTGGTAAAACCCCCGTCCCTACTAAAAATACAAAAATTAGCCAGGTGTGGTGGCAGGCGCCTATAATCCCAGCTGCTAGGAAGACTGAGGCTGGAGAATCGCTTGAACCCAGGAGGCAGAGGTTGCAGTGAGCCGAGATCACACCATTGTACTCTAGCCTGGGTGACAGGAGCGAAACTCCATCTCAAAAAGAAAGAAAGAAAAAAAAAAACCACAAACACGCGGAGCTGTCACTGGCAGCGGTCCACCCTGTCTGGCTGGAAACACTAGGTGTATTCTGTTTTCCAAACCGCTTGGAGTAAAGACGAGCTCATTCTCATGAGATGACCAGTGCAGCCACAGATTCTATGAATCCTAAGCCCTTGGGACTTCTATTAGGACTGGCGTGGAACACAGCACGTGTTTGGTCCTGATCTGGTGAGGGACGAGTGAATATCCCAGAGTCCCCATGGAATGGGAGGCGGCATCTGCAAGTGGCTCTCAGGGGCTCCATCCCTCGGTCACGGCCACCATAGTCACGGCCACCAGAACGTCTCCCATCCCAGCGTGTTTCTCGGATTTACAGATACTCATTTTCCACACAACAAGGCTCCCAAAGGTGTCACCTGCCATCTGATGCTGGGTGGAAGGAACCGTGCCAAGTTTGTTGAGCAATTTAAGGAAATTTCAAAGACAATTTGGATCACACATAATATTTGCCTTATGCACCAAATTAGACTAATTTTCACTTTATATAACTTTAATTTTCTTTTTATAGGACTCCTATGTATTTCTTTTCTTTTTTTCTATTCTTTTTTGTTTTTTTTTTTTTTTTTTTTTTTTTTGAGACAGAGTCTTGCTCTGTCGGCCAGGCTGGAGTACAGCGGTGCGACCTTGGCTCACTGCAGCTTCCACCTCTCGGGTTCAAGCGATTCTCCTGCCTCAGCCTCCTGAGTAGCTGGGATTATAGGCACCCACCACGATGCCCAGCTAAATTTTGTATTTTTAGTAGAGATGGGGGTTTCACCATGTTGTCCAGGCTGGTCTCCGACTCCTGCCCTCAGGTGATCTGCCCGCCTCAGCCTCCCGAAGTTGCCAGGATTACAGGCGTGAGCCAGTGCGCCCAGCCGGACTCCTCTGTATTTCCGTAGAAGTTATTAGTTATCCTTTGTAGCAATAAATTAGTCGTCAAGATTCATTGCCGTTGTAATGATCTTTAACCTTGGTCTAGTTTTCATTTTTAAGAGGCAAATTGACTTCATTTACTTAAAAAGAGGAAAACTCCACTTGGTTAGAAGAGCAATGTAAGCTGGGCGCGGTGGCTCACGCCTGTAATCCCAGCACTTTGGGAGGCCGAGGCGTGTGGATCACAAGGTCAGGAGATGGAGACCATCCTGGCTAACACGGTGAAACCCTGTCTCTACTAAAAATACAAAAAGTTAGCCAGGCATGGTGGTGGGCACCTGTAGTCCCAGCTATTCGGGAGGCTGAGGCAGGAGAATTGCTTGAACCCGGGAGGTAGAGGTTGCAGTGAGCCGAGATCACGCCACTGCACTCCAGCCTGGGGGACAGAGCAAGACTCCGTCTCAAAAAAATAAAGAAGAGCAATGTAAACTGATTGTAGAAAATACATAAAAAGTATATAGAGGAAAACAGAGATGAGATAAGTGTTTACTGCACATCAACTTACTTCAGGACCCACAATCACCAGGTGCACATTGGGCTCCTCCTGATGCCAGGCTTGGGAAGAAAAAAGAAGACAAAAAAACACTTCAAATGGGTTTAAGTCACAGCTGCAAGCACAACTAACTTCAATATAAATTTCTCAATAACATAAATTATTTCATATCATTTGGCTTTCATTCATAATATTAGGCAATTTAAATTATATTTATTTAGAATTTCTGTATTTGACATTTTATGATTTTAAGTGAATTTCTACAATATTATCCATTGTCCAGATTTCTAATTTACTGGATAACTAGGACTAGTCTCCAATATCACCCCAATTCAATGTGGACTTTGGAATATACCAAGACTGTATCGATTACCTTAAACAATAACCAAAACTCCAAATGCATCACACAAATCAGCATGTGTGAAATATTTTCAGGTAAAATTATTTTAGTCCTATCATTATTTGCTATTTTTATGATTTTCTCAGAACCTGAGGGCACAGGACAGTGGAAAACTAAACAGAAATTCCTCCAAAGAGCTGCTGATCCCATGCATTATTTTTCTGTTCTTTTCCAAAGTAGCAATCTAGAAACAGTTCTGCTCACGTGCAAAGAATGAGGAAAGAAAACTCAGGGCCCTGAAGAGAGAAATGCTGAGATGGGCGCCCACAAGGAATTCTATAAACAGTGGAGGAAGGTAGCCAGCAAACACACCTGAAAATGCGTCCACCAGATAGAGAGGATCCTTAACTTGTCGAAGTCCACATATCAGAAGAAATATGTGCAAATTATCAGCACTTTGGTTAATCTCTGTAAGAGAAGAGTTCAGAATGTTTTCAGTGGGGAGGGCTCTGGATGCTGCAGTAGCAATGACATCACAGATGCATTCAGAAGTGGAGGCCTCTGACTTCGAGGCCAGCTTCTCCTACTCTTATTATTATTATTATTATTATTATTATTATTATTATTATTATTGAGACAGAGTCTTGCTCTGTTGTCCAGGCTGAGTGCAGTGGTGCAATCTCGGCTCGGCTCACTGCAACCTCCTCCTCCTGGGTTCAAGCAATTCTCCTGCCTCAGCCTCCTGAGTAGCTGGGATTATAGGCATGCACCACCACACCTGGCTAATTTTTGTATTTTTAGTAGACATGGGGTTTCACCATGTTGGCCAGGTTGGTCTCAAACTCTGACCTCAGGTGATCTGCCCGCCTTGGGCTCCCAAAGTGCTGGGATTACAGGCGTGAGCCACCACACCCCGCCCCTACTCTTACTTTTATATTAATTTCCTTGCTGTAAACTAATGATTTCTGGTGGGAAAAAATGGAGCTGAGCTCAGGCTGTAAAATGCAACTTTTGCTGCAAAGAAAAAGGATGAGGCACGGGGGAACTGACTCAACTATGACTGAAATAGGAGCCAGACGTTCTAGAAAAGATTTAGATGCAATTCTAGATAGGAAGAATAATGTCTTGATGAAACTAGAAAAATGGTTTATATATTAATGTCCTCATGAACTCATATATGCATAGAGAGATCCACACACCTAAATGAATGCATGTCCTGGAATCAACCCAAACGCCCATCAATGATAGACTGGATCAAGAAAACATGGTACATATACACCATGGAATACTATGCAGCCATAAAAAGGAACGAGATCATGTCCTTTGCAGGGACATGGATAGAGTTGGGAGCCATTATCCTCAGCAAACTAATGCAGGCAGAGAAAACTAAAAACCGAATGTTCTCACTTATCAGTGGGAGCTGAATGATGAGAGCACATGGACACATGGGGGAAGGACACACTGGGGCCTGTCGGAGGGTTGGGGTCGCAGGAGGCAGAGCATCAGGAAGAATAGCTAATGGATGCTTGGGCTTAACACCTAAGTGATTGGATAATCTGTGTAGCAAACCACCATGGCACATTGTTAACCTACATAATAAACCTGCACATCCTGCACATGTACCCAGAACTTAAAATAAAAGTTGAAGAAAAGATAAACAAACACATGTCCATAGGTATATAAAGGAAAATGTATACAGATACCAAACCATCACATTGTACACCTCACATACATATAATTTCATTAATTGTACCTCAATAAATATGGAAAAAGTAAAAAAAAAAAACAAAAAACAATTTATTTATGAAGAAAAGAAAGAAGCAGCATTGTTTCCCAGGTTGGAAGCTGTCACTAAGACTGCTTGTGGTGGATGGCCACAGTCTTTGCAGCCCTTCCCATCTGAAGTGGAACAGATCACTGTACCCCAAGACCCGGGGCTGGCCTGGGACTTCCAATGGCTGTCAGTGGCAGTGGCCATATGTGATTTCCAAGCCTGGGCGGGGGAAGACTTTGTGCTTCCCACTCTCCCCACTGCCCCGTTCACACCGGTACCCTCTAATCTGGCCCCGCGATCTCTGTTCTCATTCTTAAGAATGAGGCTTTTTGGCTGGGCATGGTGGCTCACCAGGATCACTTGAGGTCAGGAGTTCAACATCAGCCAGGCCAAGATGGTGAAACCCCATCTCTACCAAAAATACAAAAATTAACTGGGCGTGGTGGCGGGGGCCTGTAATCCCAGCAATTCAGGAGGCTGAGGCAGGAGAATCACTTGAACCCGGGAGGCGGAGGTTGCAGTGAGCCAAGGTCACTGCACTCTAGTCTGGGTGACAGAGCAAGATGTCTCAAAAAAATAAATAAATAAATAAAAGAGGCTTTTTCTTTTTTTTTCTTTTTTTTTTTGAGACCAAGTCTCACTCTGTCAACTATGCTGGAGTGCAGCAGCACGATCTCGGCTCAGTGCAACCTCCACCTCCCCGGTTCAAGCAATTCTCATCCCTCAGCCTCCCAAGTAGCTGGGATTACAGGCACACACCACCACCCCGAGCTACTTTTTGTATTTTTAGTGGAGATGGGGTTTCGCCATGTTGGCCAGGCTGGTCTCGAACTCCTGACCTCAAGTGATCCGCCCACCTTGGCCTCCCAAAGTGTTAGGATTACAGGCATGAGCCAGTGCTCCAGGCCAAGAATGAGGCTTTAGTCTGGAGACTCCCGGCTGCATGAGGCCCTGGACACATTATGAGCTCATGCAGGACCCAGTGAGGGTTGGGCCGTCTGTAAGTGTCCAAGTGAGCCCAGCGGACACACATGAAGCAGCCCTCGCAGGGCCAAACCCCAGCATCAGGAGAAATGCAGGGGTGGCTGCTTTCAGCTGGTGCATTTTTTTTTTAATGAGAAAATATGTTTAATTTTGTAATAAAAGTTTCTGAAAAAGAGGCGTAAATTTAGACACATTTGCTTCACAGTCCAAATTCCTATAGTGAATCTGCTCTCTAAAGTGAGGGATCCTGGCCAGACGCAGTGGCTCACGCCTGTAATCCCAACATTGTGGGAGGCGGGAGGGCAGATCACCTGAGGTCAGGAGTTCGAGACCAGCCTGACCAACGTGGTGAAATCCCGTCTCTACTAAAAATACAAAAATTAGCTGGCTGTGGTAGCAGGCACTTGTAATCCCAGCTACTGGGGAGGCTGAGGCAGGATAATCGCTTAAACCCGGGAGGCGGAGGTTGCAGTAAGCAGAGATGGTGCACTGCACTCCCAGCCTGGGTAACAGAGTGAGACTCCATCTCAAAAAAAAAAAGAAAAGAAAAAAAGTGAGGGATCCAGACCAAGACATCTGCAGATACAGGAAAAAGCTGAGCCTTATTAGCAAAGACTTTGGAGGCATTAGAAGGTCCAAACCCCCCACCACAGAACAAATGGGAGCAGGTGGTGCATCCTGCGGTGGCTTATTACAGCTCAGTACACGACGCATGCAATAGAAATTGCTAATATATTTTACACAAGCCGACCTAAAACTTCAGCATTTATAACCTGTATAATTGGCCATAAAATTATGCAGGTTCAAGGTTTTCTTTCCCAGCACAGGCATTCGTCCATTATTTAATTCAAGCACTTTCATTTTCTCTATGCTATTCCAAATCTTGAACAAGAATACAACTAGTGTGAATATAATGACTTATGGCGACACCACTTTAATGCAATCACAAAAGCTTCAAAAAATTAATACCCAACGGGAGCAAATCTTACTGAAATGTTAAGATCGAGATGTCGCTCTTAGAAAAGCCTTGGAAAATTGTCACAGCCTCTGAATAAGCCGCTGACAATCTGCATTGTCAATTTTCATTGAATATGTAGAGTTTTTAATATTTCCTTAATACTCTTTTTTTTTTTTTTTTTTTTTTTTGAGATGGAGTCTCAGCCTGTAGCCCAGGCTGGAGTGCAGTGGTGCGTTCTCGGCTCACTGCAACCTCTGCCTCTTGGGTTCAAGCGATTCTCCTGCCTCAGCTCCCTGAGTAGCTGAGACTACAGGCACAGGCCATCATGCCCGGCTCTTTTTGGTATTTTTGGTACAGATGAGGTTTCACCATGTTGGCCAGGCTGGGCTCAAACTCCTGACCTCAGGTGATCCACTGGCTTCATCCTCCCAAAACGCTGGGATTACAGGCATGAGCCACCGCACCTGGCCCTTTCCTTAATATTCTAAGTATCCTGAAGCTAACTTTAGAAATGCAAACCTTAGTGAGTCCTTGTTTGACCAAAAGTCTAAGCTAGACGCTACATGCAGAATTTGAATTGTAGGTCAGAAGAATTTGAGGTTAGGCATTTGAATATGAGGTCAAGAGTCAAGCTATTCATTTTAATAAATGATTGTTAAAAATGGAGAAAACTTTTCAAGATTGAGAGGTCAGGTAGGAGAAACAGTCCAAGCCTACATTACTAGGCAAAAGCCACTAATGAATGCTAAAATTTGCAAGTGAAAGTTTGATGAGGATAGAGATTAAGAGCACCCTCTCAAAAATTACTTACTAATTACAAAGGAAATATAATACCTGTACAGTACACGGAGAAACCAGGGAATACCAGTTTAACTAGGGGAGGAAGCCTTAGCCCAGCACACATAGCTGGTGTGTATACACACACACACACACACACACACACACACAGAGTTTACATAGTCAGAAAAAGATCTCCAGTATTGGGACAAGCTGACGCTGTACACATCCATATGTGACACACTGAGAAGGGAGAAACATCACTTCCCCCATATTCTTGATGTGCATGGAATGTCTATTCATATACACAGAAGGGGGAAGAGGGAAAGAAGGAAGGTACAAGGAGAATCACAAAGGTACCAAAAAGAGGGGGAAGTCAAGAATCAGTATTACCGAATTGGAAAAAAAAAAAAAAGTAAATGTCAAACAAACAAACAATCTACAAAGATGGCATCCAGAGATGGTATTGAAAGCACTGTGTGAAGAACGCAGGTGACGTCAAGATGAAGAGACTCTGTTTAATTCTTCATTTTTGCTATGTGAGAAGTATGAGTGCTGGAAACCTATGTTGTTCCTCTACTCTGACACACTTAGCTACTGAGAACTCGAGGCTCTGAAGACGCATTGGCATTTTGGTCACACAGGCTGTAAAAAAGTGGCCCTCCAACTACCCCCGTCCTGGGATCCCTTGGAAAGATGGCCCTGAGAAGAGAATAATCCATAAGATACAATATTGATTTTCAGAGTTTTTTGACTATGACATACGGTAAGATAAACATATTATGTTGCAACTCAGTCACACGAGATATATAAATACACACATACACATACATAGACATAGAGTTTATATATGATTAAAAACATACTTTAGGCTGACTACATGCAAGCCACTTCGATGTTTTCTATTTGATTTCACTTCAATGTTTAAAAGTGCTGGTCCCTAACTTACTCAATTCATTATGAGACCCCTGACCTGCAAGACGCTGCAGGGAGATGGAGTGAATCCTATATTCCTTTCCTCTCCCCTCATCTTCTTCCTGGGTTGGAGATTAAGTGTAATGGGAATATAGGAAACTAAATTAGAAAATGATAGAATAAAGGGCTATAGACTTGTCTTACTCTAGGTTAAAAAAAAAAAACTAAAAGAAAGAGACAGCATTTGGATTTGAGTAGCTTATGTGCACTTTCCACATACCAAAATATCATTCACCAAAAATAAAGATTATAGAGGAAAAATCCTGATCAAGTGTTCAAGGGCTCAGGCTCATCACACGTAAGCATCAACTCTGATGAATTACACTTCGGGCTCCCTAAAGCCCCTGACAGCTTTAAGGTGGTATAAATTCTTAGCTTTTAACAAAGAACTATTAAATAAGGTTGGCCTGCTGATGCTCAGAGACAGGGCACATACCTGACTAATTTTTTTAATAAATGTTGTCTCCTCCTTTTAATGCCAAACTTATTTTTATTACCTTTGCTTTTCCTCTAATATCTAGGTTATCCATGAGTCAAGATTTGAACTCGTCACTTAACAAATGTCTTTCCGATAGAACCATTTCCTGGAGAACGGTATTTTTATCTTCAAAACAAAATGTGTTGTTTTCACGATCTGGCATATTGCTGCCAACAGCTACACTCCACATTGCTTAATCTCCCAAGTATGAGTCATGAGCGGGCTCAGGAACAGAAACCCAATCCACGCTGAGGCAGTCTCTATGCCCTGTATTCTATTCTAGAAGCTGTCTTTATTATTTTCTTTTTTCTTTCTTTCTTTTTTTTGAGACAAAGTTTCACTCTTGTTGTCCAGGCTGGAGTGCAATGCCGCAATCTCACCTCACTGCAACCTCCGCCTCCCAGGTCCAAGCAATTCTCCTGTCTCAGCCTCCCAAGTAGCTGGGATTACAGACATGCACTACCACACCTGGCTAATTTTTGTATTTTTAATAGAGACAGGACTTCACCATGTTGGTCAAGCTGGTCTTGAACTCCTGACCCTCAAGTGATCCGCTGCCTCGGCCTCCGGCCTCCCGAAGTGCTGGGATTACAGGCGTGAGCCACTGCGCCAGGACACACTCTTCATTATTTTTCACTTGTTATTACAAAAAAAAAGTACTTCAGTCGAACACATTAGACTTACTAAATTATAGCTGAAAAAGCTGATTTGGGGGCTATGCAAGAATAAAGGCTTCTACTAACACTAGTTTTCCATACAAAAAACAAGTGAGTTTTCCTAGGACTAGCCTGAGGAAGAAAAGTGCTACAATCTGAGTTAGGCAAATTTGAGTTTCCATTATAGAAATACAAATAGAGTTGACAGAGAGATAGAGAGAGAGATGGAGGGGGAGAGAGAGAGAGAGAGAGAGAGAGAGAGAGAGAGAGAGAGAGAGAGAAATAAGCAATAAAACTAGAAATACAATAAAACAGAAATCAGAAAAACAGGAAGGAGTTACCCAGTCAATTTAAGCTTTCATACGTTTTAGGTTTGATAGCCTGAAAGGAATCATGACTTTAGATGTGTTGGTTATTGAAATTTAAAGGCAAAATTCATAGAACATGGAATCATCACATTTAAAATGTATCTAGAAATGCACAGAAAAACTCAAAGACCAGGTAACTAATTTGATGTCTACACATCTATCTTCCAATCAGAATAGCTATTGTCAATATCGTGTGAAAAAATTACAACCATGCCATTTACTACACTTAACCTGCTTTATTATTTATTTGTTCTTAGTTGACCTGTTTGTATGTGAGATAATGGTAAGCATAAGAGGGGTTTGATGTTTTAAATTAAGGAGACTTACTCATTCTTTAGCTGGGGCTTAGAGATAGAATTGAGTATGGTCAGAAAACCTGTGACATGCCGGAAGAGGAGAATGCATCGCCACGTGGACATCAGACATTTAAGAAGCACACTACACACCCTGGTGACTAATCAATCACTCAACTGTTTATATGCAGTGTTAAATGAAGCCCTTCCCACCCACTCCCCCTGATTTCAAGGTTAATAGTTGGTGAGAAGGCAGATGGTATCTGATCACTAATAGTGTCTACCAACTTCACTCTACCTTCTGTTTTCACTGTCTGAAGCTCCAAGTGGGAGGGACAAATCACAGTCACAGGTTTCCAATGCTCCAGAGGCCAAGGGAAGATAGAGTAAGGTTGATGAGGACGGCCCATCCCCAGAGCCTGAGAGACGACAAAGACAAACGATGGCACAAATGCGAACAGATGCCTGATCATAAAACCCAGAGACGCAGATTAATCCTACATCTACCCTTAAGCCGTTATCTGCCACTGTCAGCTATCAGAGCCACAACCAGTCTCTCTAAGCCCATATATTCTGAATACATTTACAACTTCTAATTGCACACATTAAGATTAAGCAGCAGCCAAGTAGGTCTCCAGAGGAAAACGCTTTGTAAGGAGTGTTTAAAATCTCCTGGCTGTTCCCTTAATCATTCAATAGCAAGACCAACGAAACAGTCAACCCTGAGACTATGGAATGTGATGACAAATCATTCTCCTACTGGAAATTATGAATCTTAGTTACAACGCCATTGCGTCCTGTGATAGATTGAAGACAGACTAACCTTACAACAGGAAATTGAAAATGGGCCCACTCGTTCTGAATAATGGTACATGTAACTGACATGACAAAGCAGCTGAGGTCGTGTGGGTTCATCTGTAATACTGAGAACAGCCATGCTAGTGTGGCTGAGATTGATGAATACACTACGAAAATTATTTCTGATAAAATGCTTGGAAATTTTTCTTTTCAATAGAACTTAATACTGACATAGAGTATGTGGTAGAGGCTTTGTTTCAAGTCTTTTTTGTTTCATTTTATCTTATTTTATTTTAAGTTCCAGGATACGTGTGCAGGATGTGCAGGTGTGTTACACAGGTAAACGTGTGCCATGGTGGTTTGCTGCATCTATCAACCCATCACCTAGGTATTAAGCCCAGCATGCATTAGCTATTTTTCCTGATGCTCTCCTGATGCCCCCAGCCCTACCCTCTCCTGACAGGTCCCAGTGTGTGTTATTCCCCTCCCTGTGTCCACATGTTCTCATTGTTCAGCTCCCACTTATAAGTTGAGAACATGCGGTGTTTGGTTTTCTGTTCCTGCCTTAGTTTGCTGAGGATAACGGCTTCCAGCTTCATCCATGTTCCTGCAAAGGACATGATCTTGTTCGTTTTTATGGCTGCATAGTATTCCACGGTGTCTATGTACCACATTTTCTTTATCCAGTCTATCACTGATGGGCATTTGGGTTGATTCCATGTCTTTGCTATTGTGAATAGTGCTGCAATGAACATACACGTGCATGTATCTTTATAACAGAATGATATATATTCCTTTGGGTATATACCCAGTAATGGGATTGCTGGGTCAAATAGTATCTTTGTGGAATTGCCACACTGTCTTCCAAAACGGTTGAACTAATTTACATCCCCACTAACAGGGTAAAAGCGTTCTTATTTCTCCACAAGCTCGCCAGCATCTGTTGTTTTTTGGCCTCTTAATAATCGCCATTCTGACTGATGTGCGATGTTATCTCATTGTGGTTTCGATTTGCATTTCTCTAATGATCAGTGGATGATGAACTTTTTTCATATGTTTTTTGGCTGCATGTATGTCTTCTTGTTTCAAGTCTTTAGCATGAAAACAGACTTGGGGTGTCTTTCTGTTTGCTGAGGGCAGAGAATTGATTTTGCATCTTCAGTCTCTTCTTAGAAGTTTGCAGCAGGAGGCTAGGCGAGGTGGCTCATGCCTGTAATCCCGGCACTTTGGGAAGCTGAGGCAGATGGCTTACTTGAGCTCAGGAGTTGAAGACCAGCCTGGCCAACATGGTGAAAACCCTCTCTCTCCAAAAAATACAGAAAATTAGCCAGGTGTGGTGGGGCGTGCCTGTAATCCCAGCTACTTGAGAGGCTAAGGCAGGAGAATCGCTTGAAGCCAGGAGGTGGAGGTTCAATGTAACAGGATTTTACAGAAATTGATGAGTTGAGCCCCAAATTTAAATTGATATGCAAAAAACCTAGAATAGCTAAAATAATTCTGAAACAAAGTTATTGACTAACACTACTTGGTTTCTAGACTTACTATTACCCTATACCAACAAAACAGCATGATATTGGAATAAAGATAGGCATAGATAATGGAAGGCCACATACAGTAAACTGACTTTCAACGAAGGCACCAGAGCAATTCAATGGGCAAAGAAAAACATTTCCAATAAATGACGCCGGAACCATCTGGATATTGTTAAGAAAAAAAAACAGATCCCTACCTCATACAACACACAAATAGTAATTTCAGATGGATTTATAATCTTAAATGAAAGAGCTACAGCACTAAAACTTCTAAAGACATTTTAAAAAGAAAGAAAAACATCTTTGTGACCCTAGGGTAGGTAAAGATTTTGTAGACAGGACTCAAAAGCACTAACCATCAAAGAAAAAGTTTGATAAACTCGACTTCAATAAAATTTAAGCCTCTTCTGCTCTTCAAAAGACATGGTTAAGCAAACAAAAATATAAACCAGATAATGGGAGAAAATATTAACAATATATTTATCTGACAAAAGGCTTGTACCTAGAATATAAGGAAGTTCTACAAACCAATAATTAGAAGACACACACACACAATTGGCTAGACACTCACGAAACAAGATACATGAATGGCCAACGCGCACATAAAAAGGTGCTGAACAAAATTAATCATCAGGGAAATGAAACTTAGAAGAATGACAATGAGACACCATTTCATTATCTCCCTAGAACAACTAAAATTGAAAAGACTGTCTACTCCACCGGTGGGCAAGAATGTGGAGTAACTGAAGCTCTTGTCAGCTTCTGTGGAAGTGTAAGATGGCACACCTTGGAGAACTGTTTGGATATTTTTTATAATGTTAATCATATAGTCAAGCTATTTGACTTAGAGGCATTTATCCAAGAGAAGTGAAAACATAGGTCACCAAAAAACCTTGCACAAGGATATTCATAGTAAATGTATTTGTAACGGTTAAAAATGGAAAACAAGCTAAAAGTTCATCAATAGAAGAAGAGATAAACAATTTGTGATATATGGAATGAAATACACCATTCCAAAATAGAATACTAAGAAAAAAGGTCTACAGATACACACAATAGGGATAAATCTCAAACACATTAGTTGAACAAAGAAAGCCAGATACAAAAAATTATTCAATGCATGACTCCACTTAGATGAAGTTCAAGAACAGGTAAAACTAATCTAAGATAAGAAAAATTAGACTAGGAATCGCCTATAAAGAGACAGAAATTAAATATGGAAGAGGGCATGAGAGAACTTTCTTGAGTGGTGGAAATGTTATCTATCTTGATTGGGGTATTTGTCACATGGGTATATACATTTGTCAAACATTTGCCTAATTTTACACTTGAGATCTCTGCATTTCACTGCATACAAACTATAGAATTATTTTAAAAAAAGGATGAGTTCACTCTATTCTACTGACATAATGAGCAAAGAAGGCAGGTTAGAGTAGTAAGTGAAGCTTGACTTTGTCTTTTAAACATCATTATTTACATGTAAATTGTTGAGAAAGATCACATCAAACATTAATAGCAGTTTCTTTTTGGTGATGAAATTTCAAGTGATTAAAATTTTTGTTGCATTTTTTGGCCAGGCCCAGTGGCTCATGCCTGGATTCCCAGCACTTTGGGAGGCTGAGGTGGGTGGATCACCTGATCAGGAGTTCGAGACCAGCCTGGCCAATACGGCAAAACCCCGTCTCCATTAAAAATACAAAAATTAGCCAGGCATGGTGGCGCATGCATGTAGTACCAGCTACTTAGGAGGCTGAGGCAGGAGAATCACTTGAACCCGGGAGGTAGAGGCTGCAGTGAGTCTAGATCACACCACTGCACTCCAGCCTGGGCAACAGAACGAGACTCCATCTCAAAAAAAAAAAAAAATGTGTTGCATATTCTGATATTTTCTCATTTTTCTACAATGGTAATTTAACTACGTGTATAATTAGTAAAGTAAAATAAAATGAACACATGAGGTTGTTATTCTTATAAAGAACAAATGTCACAGGAAATGATACTGAAAATTTGGAAAGCAGGTGCTAAAAACAGCATCAGAAAGGGCCAGAGCCCCTGTCTCTCTGGCTTTCTAGCCCTGCTGTTCCTCAAAAGGATAAAACTACTCATGAAGCCGCAGACAGAGGGAAATGAACCTTGTTCTCTCTGACAACCACTTTTTCAAAACCGCATGAACGTCACAAGCTCCTGAAAGTAACTGACAAGATGCACTTCATCAAAATCCTCTAAGAAGATCTCATGTCTCACCAGAGCGTTGAAGAAAGGTATTCCAGTTAAAAGCGGCGTTTGGTGTTGTTGCAATTCCTGGGTCAAAGAAACAAAAAAAGGGCAAGTTCACTTTGAAGCGACTGCTGAAATACAATGAGTTATTTTGTGTTGAGGCTTATTATTATTATTACTATTATTCTTATTATTTTGAGACAGAGTCTCGCTCTGTCACCCAGGCTGCAGTGCAGTGCCACGATCTCTGCTCACTGCAACCTCCTCTTCCCGGTTTGAAGCGATTCTCCTGCCTCAGCCTCCCGAGTAGCTGGGAGTATAGGCGCCCGCTGCCACACCCGGCTAATTTTTGTATTTTTAGTAGAGACAGGGTTTCACCATGTTGGCCAGGCTGGTCTCGAACTCCTGACTTCAAGTGATCCTCCCGCCTCAGCCTCCCAAAGTGCTGGGATTACAGGTGTAAGCCACCACACACGGCCCACTTGTGTTGAAGTTTAAATAACAGTAGCACCTGGTTTTTATAAAGCCGCTCGATGCTCTGAGTGTGTCACTGAAGTCCCATGAATCCTTCAGCACAGGAGGGTTAAAAAGAGCCCATGGATTCCACATGAGAAAAGACGCACCCCTTTCAGCCCCAGGATCCATGACAGGCCCAAACGGGGTTAGGGGTTAGACAAACCTTGAGTTCCTTAAAAATGCCAGGAAGTAACAGGTTTCAAAAACACTGTCAGCTAAGCCCCATGTGAAAATTATACCTCCCTGTAAAATTCCCACTCTCAACCCTCACCAACTCATGCCTGATGGTCTGTTGGCTATTACTTCTTCAGAGAGAGAAGTTACATTTAATTTTTGCTGAAAAAAAAAATGACTATTTTACAATTTAGAAATTCAGAGGCAACGTCTAACACGTTATCTTGGTAACAGAAACATTTTGAAATTTTATAAAATGTAAGTAAATCAAGTCATCTAACCACCTCCAAAATCCACCTGCATAATCGTTATTCACACTGAATCATACTGACAGCGGCTATTTAACAAGCGCCCATTTCAAGCCAGCCCTGGGCTCCGACTGCATGTAGGCGCTTTCCATACTCCACTGTAACCCTTAAAGGCCCACTGAGCAGACTGCTTCCTCCAGTTTATCCAGCTGGACACTGATGTTCAAAGAGGTTAAACGCACTTCAAAATGCGCAGGGTGGAGGTGGTAGACGCTGTGTTCAAACCTACGCGCTGCCTCAGAGCCCAGGTTTTTCCTGCTGCACCAGCTAAAAATGTCACTGAAGCCAATGCAGCAAGGACACGGTGATGACAGGATGCCGTGCCTCACTAAGGTGCGCCTGAGCACCATGGAAGTCCTCAGGAGGCCCGAACGCCTGGCCTCAGCCTCTGCACTCGTTCTAACCTGAGCTTGGGGCCAATTACATGTTCTTCCTTGGATCTAGTCTTTCCATTATTTCTATCATGTAGTACAGTGGTTTACAAACTGTGTTTAGAGAGGCCGGGCACGGTGGCTCACACCTGGAACCCCAGCAATCTGGGAGGCCAAGGCGGACAGATCACCTGAGGTCAGGAGTTCAAGATCAGCCTAGCCAACACAGTAAAACCCTGTCTCTACAAAATACACAAAAATTAGCTGGGCGTGGTGGGGGGGCACCTGTAATCCCAGCTACTCGGGAGGCTGAGGCAGGAGAATTGCTTGAACCCAGGAGGCGGAGGTTGACGTGAACCAAGATTGCGCCACTGCACTCCAGCCTGGGCGACAGAGCAAGACTTCATCTCAAAACAAAAACAAAAAACTGTGTTTAAACCTCAGAGGGTTTGATGAAGGGCCTCAGATGCCACCATAGGGGCAGAATTGGGCAGGGAGGAAGGAGGAGTATGAAGGGAGAAGAGTTCCAGTTCCCCCAACTCAAGTCAGCTGAAACAGAAGCTCCGCATTTGGTTTGGTTTGTTTTTTCCAAACATACTGCTGATGGAGTATATCGTACTTCTACTGGCAGAAAATGTTAAGTGATCCGCATTTTAAATCATTATTTTATAATTTCTCCTATTTATCTTTTATTCTAATGTTAGAAAAATCTTAACAATGTAGCCATTCTCAGGCAGATTGCTTGAGCCCAGGAGTTCAAGACCAACCTGGGCAACATGGCGAAACCCCATTTCTACAAGGAATACAAAAAAAATCAGCTGGGCATGGCGGCTCATGCCTGCCTATAGTCCCAGCTACTGGGGGGGCTGAGGCTAGAGAAACGCTTTAACCCAGGAGGCAGAGGTTGCAGTAAGCCGAGATCGCACAACCGCACTCCAGCCTAGGCGACAGAGCCAGACCTTGTCTCAAAAAAGAAAAAAAAAAGTAGCCATTTCACTGATTATTTTTAAGTAAATCTGAGAAATCATATTATCTCCTTCATAAACATCTCAATATGTGTCTCTTAAGGATGCAAACTTATTCTTTTAAATATATATATATATTTATCACATATAAATATGCATCTATTTTGATATATTCATTCTCTATCCCTGTACATAAGTAAATAAATATTTTAAAAATCTTACCTTGACTCTGGACATAGACCTTACCCTTAGCATGCGGCTTTTGAAAGGAGGGGAGAGAGAAAAGAAAAGTACATTGGACAGTGCATGACAACTGCTTTTTAGAAATAAAATGAAGGTCATTAACAAAAAAAGCCGTCCTGGAAAACATCACTGAGAATCATCTACACAGCTGCTCATAGACTTATTACTCTGTAAGAGCAAAGCATTACTTCTGCTTTTTAATAGGTTTTGCCATTAAAAATACAGCATCTATAAGGTAAGAAGCACACACACAAAAAGTCTCTTAAATGAGGCCTAATGCAATTTTGCAATTTTACACTTGCTATATTAGTGGAGACATTACTGAAGTTCAGCCAGAGAGCATGCCAGTGCCGGCCCAGCTGATGCAGCTCCCGCCCCTGCGTGGAGGTGGAGGTTTGGGGAAGCATGTTATGGCTTATGCATCCCTGAGGGGAAGACTGCTTCCACCACCCCCAGAAAAAAAGAAGAAAGGAGCAGGAGGAGAAGGAGGAGCTGCCAATATGTTGGGAAACCAAAGACAGGCCCCAGGAGGCAGATCCTTCCAGGCAAGGGAGGACAGCCGGGTGGAAAGCGTCTGGTAAGTTACCTCCCTGGCACCAAGCAAAAGGCGGCCCTTGCATGACGGATATGGATATTTGTACCAAGATATCAACTTACTATTCCTTGCCATGTTTTCTGGTGGAATGTCACAAAACTACTAGAGAGAAATTGAATCCATTTCTCCAGTTCATTTTGAAACAGTGGCAGGAATATTTTTAAGGTGACGTTTAGATGGAAAGGTGGAGGCAGGAGCAGAGTGATGGAGCAAGTCCATGCCAAGGACGGTTTCTCTCAAGTGATCAAAACAGGCCGTCATTTTGGTGAAAGAGTCCAAAAATGGATGTCTTTTTGTCATGTGACCTAAGCCTGATCAATGCATTAAGTGACTGAACTAGCTAGATCCCTGGAGGTCACAGAAGACACACCCCTGTCCTTCCTCGGTGTAGGGATACAGTGTGGTCTTTAGGGCACCAGGGAGCCCTCGGCACTGCATGGGGTATGCTGATCCACGTTGGACGTTGTCCCCACTTCAGTTTTATATTTTGGGACACAAGCTAAAGTGAAGTAGCCCTGCCAAGGGCGAGACAATCAACAGGAAGAAGGAGACTGGCCCTCCCCAAGCCTGGGAAGGTTTGGTAGAGGCAGCATCCAGGCAGAAGGTGGGTGGCACGGCCAGGCATGGTGGCTCACCCATATGATCCCAGCACTTTGGGAGGCCGAGGCAGGCAAATCATTTGAGGTCAGGAGGTCAAAACCAGTCTGGGCAACATGGTGAAACCCTGTCTCTACTAAAAATACAAAAATTAGCCGGGTGTGGCGGCATGCGCCTGTAATCCCAGCTGCTTGGGAGGCTGAGGCAGGACAATCGCTTGAACCCGGGAGGCGGAGGTTGCAGTGAGCCGACATTGCGCCACTGCACTCCAGACTAAGCGACAGAGTGAGACTCTGCCTGAAAAATAAAAAAAATAAAGAAGGTGGTGGGTACACACGAGGCTCGGTATGGTGTTGGTTTTGTCCTTAGCATCGCATTTTGTATTTCACTACAGGAAGCATCTCAAGCCTCCAGAAGTCTTGCCTCTCCTCCCCACTTCATCGTGCAAGCAGGTATGTGTGGTATTCCAAATGCCCTTAAAATAGTAAACCTTTAAGAGAGAGTTTCAAAGACCTCTTCTCTACCAGTTAAAAAAGACATTAACTTTAATGAAAAAAAAAAAAAGGCTAAAGGCGACCATTGAAATTAGAAATTGCAGTTCAGAGCCCTAAACTACTCCTTATGCTGAATTATAATTTCCCTGGAAAGCTGGAAGAGCTGTTACTGGAGTGTAGTGGAGGCTTGGAGTGTTTCTTCCTAAAACAACCCTGTGTCCAAAACACTCGCCTGGCAACATCTTGAAGATGGATGGTAAAGCACTCACAATAGAACACCATGGCATTTAACTTAATATAACTTAATATAAGTGTTTGACAATAACAGATTCAGCATAATCCTAGATAAATATAAGGTGAGGCAACATAGAGTTTATAGTTTTTGTCACTATTTTCATTGGAAATAGGCTCTGCAATTAGCAATACATAAACTCAAAATGTTCCTGTCAAGAAACTCCTTTTTCCACCAAAAAAAAAAAAAAAAAAAAAGAGTTAAACTTGTATCTCAGCTCTGTCAGCAGAAGGAATTGACTGAAAGTGAAGATTTCTGGACTTATCTGCTGATCTTCCCACATCTCTGAGCATCATTTTTCTAATCATTTGAAAAGCGTTGCATAAATGGTATTTTCAGATCTCATCCAGGCAAACAGAGGAAATAAAGTTGCAGTATAAAGGAAGTCTGGACCTGAGTTATTTGTAATCATTGCAATAAAAGAAATCTGGCAAAAGCCAATTGGCTTATATTGATTTTGAAAAACATTTTCTATATGAAAGTGTAACAAATACAAATTAGCTTTCTTTGCTCAATATTTATTATTGTTCTCTCTGCCTTGAAATAACATGAGTCAAAGTCCTTGTGTACGGCCTGCCTTGCAGATTAGCTCATCAGTGCACACAATGGCAAACACTGAGGTGTGTCTATCAGCAACTGTTACCTCTTTGGCTCATTACTGGATATAAAAAGCCAGGATCCTATTGGATAGATACCTATAAATAGATGGACTTCTAACAGACCCAAGGACTAACTGATACCTTTTCATGCTGGAAATAACATCAACCAAAGAACTTCCCATTCTTTGACTAAACATAAGCCAGAGATTCACCTTCTAAAATTAAACTTTCTGCAAATGGAAACCACAATAGATTATTTTTGAAATACAGGCACAATTTTATGCTCTACAGATGACAAAAATAATAGTTTTTGTTCTGAAATTATAATACAACTTCAGACTGTGGCTTTGTAAAAACTACTTGTAAAACGATTACAAACTGCTTAAAAGAAATGATGGCCCATACATATAAAGTTGCAAAATATATTTATGCCACAAAACACAAAGAAATTGGGCACTTTTCAAGGTCACAGTGTCTTTTTTCCTCCCTCTACTCTTTTCCCTTAGAAATCTGTTATCGTGCATAAAAAAAAAGAAAGTAATATTCAAAAGGAAGGCGAGGTGTGGGGAGATTCAGCCTTGCCACTGAACTCCTGCAATGGAACCAACCACACAAAGAACAATTTTTCTTTTCTTTTCTTTTCTTTTTTTACTAGGAAGTACTTTAATCATTTTTCATAGAAAAAAAATGTCCAGACACTAACACTTCACAACATTTTAACAACAAAGAAAGAGGTTTTCAAGAGTTGGGATTCTGGAATATGAGGAAGAAGCGTTGGTGTCCTGCTTCATTATAGATGGATGGCACAGGTCAGAAACGGGAGACTAGCTGCGAAGCCAATATCAAAACCCAGTGGAATGACGCTTGGACCTATCGTGTTTATTTTTTATTTATTTATTTATTTATTTATTTTTGAGACGGAGTCTCGCTCTGTCGCCCAGGCTGGAGTGCAGGGGCGCGATCTCGGCTCACTGCAAGCTCTGCCTCCCGGGTTCACGCCATTCTCCTGCCTCAGCCTCCCGAGTAGCTGGGACTACAGGCGCCCGTCACCACGCCCGGCTAATTTTTTGTATTTTTAGTAGAGACGGGGTTTCACCGTGTTAGCCAAGATGGTCTCGATCTCCTGACCTCGTGATCCGCCCTCCTCGGCCTCCCAAAGTGCTGGGATTACAGGCGTGAGCCACCGCGCCCGGCCTGTCGTGTTTATTTTCCTTCCTGCTGCCCTCCGTGTCCCACAGAAACGCCAGCCACCATACAGAGCCCAGCACCTAGCTGAGCTGCCAGTCTTCCGCCTTGGGTAGGAGAACAATTAAAAAAAAAAGAAGAAGAAAGAAGGAAAGAAAGAAAGAAGGAAGGATGGAAGGAAAGAAGGAAAGAAAAAAAGAAAGAAGGAAAGAAAGAAGGAAAGAGGGAAAGAAGGAAAGAAAGGAAGAAAGGAAAGAAAAAGAAAGAAAGAAAGAGAGAGAGAGAGAAAGAAAGAGAAAGAAAAGAAAGAAAGAAAAGAAAGAAAGAAAGGGAAAGAAAGAAAGAAAGAAAGAAGGAAAGTAAAAGAAAATACGTGGGTGAGATGAGAAAGAAATGTTGAAACTAGACTGGGGTAGGATTCTGTCAGGTCCAATATGGAGCAGCAATAGAGATGAAGTTAACACAATCCGGCCAGGCGCGGGGACTCACACCTGTAATCCCAGCACTTTCGGAGGCTGCAGTGAGCTGAGATCGCACCACTGCACTCCAGCGTGGGGGACAGAACAAGACTCGTCTAAAAAATAAATAGTTAAATAAATTTAAAAGAACAACCCGTGACCCTTCACAAAATAAAAGGATGAGAGTGTGGCACCCCATCTACTGGGGCGACTCAAGAAACAGGAACATCAACAGGAAATTTCCAGAGAAGATTTTTGTTTTTTTAAACAATTAAATGTATGGAGTAAACAACTCAGAATGATTGTTCATTTTATTCAGAAGATTCCCCTACCATGCTCTGCCTGGGCAATTTAATGAATTACAAACAATACTTGTGATGGTACCACACATTTGAGCCCCGGGTCATGGAAAAAGTAAACTCAAGATCTATGCTCTGGAATGGATGCGTTTTTCATACTTCTGAGTTCCTTTCAAACTTCTCAATTCCCAGGGATCTCACATGGGGGCAAACAAACAAACAAAAAAACCCACACAGACATAAAGAACATTTGCAGTTCCATCCAGAAATCTCCAATGAGGGCTCACCTTCATAGAAGCTATTAAAAATGATTAGTGGCGGGGCACGGTGGCTTACGCCTGTAATCCCAGCACTTTGGGAGGCTGAGGCGGGTGGATCACAAGATCAGGAGATCAAGACCAGCCTGGCTAACACGGTGAAACCTCGTCTCTACTAAATATACAAAAAATTAGCTGGGTGTGGTGGCGGGCACCTGTAGTCCCAGCTACTCGGGAGGCTGAGGCAGGAGAATGGCGTGAACCCGGGAGGCAGAGCTTGCAGTGAGCCGAGATCACGCCACTGTGCTCCAGCCTGGGCAACAAAGCGAGACTCGGTCTCAAAAAAAAAAAAAAAAAAAAGATTAGCTTCCTGGGACATGATCAATCCCTGGAGCTTCTCCTGCAGAGGTGAGAGGGTTGGCACAGAAAAGAGGTAGTCTAGAGGTGAAACCCACGTGTTCAATGCATTTTTATGTTTCCAGGAGGGTGGGAACTCTAATAAAAGGTATGGTCTGTGTAGTTTCAGCTGCTGCCAAGATGACTTTCCGAGGTAATCAGACATAAAGCAATGGGGCCATGCAGGAAGAGGGAGAAGTAATAAGTAGCTCAAAAGACAGCATGCTTCTACTGCAGACTTTAGGGATAAGGAGACACGCAGCTCATTCCGATTAGGCCAGCGCTAACATCTGCACTGACTTGTGGAGCTCACCTGTACAGGAACTGCACTTGTGACAGCCAATGAGATCTGTCTTGCTTTCTATATTTTAATTTCCAAAAGAATTTTGATGAGTAAATGTACACAAAGTAAAATTACACTTTAGGTTTTGCCTAACACAGCAACTTGAAGAAGTTACTTTTCTTTCACAAGTGCCAAGGCAAAGTAGATAAATTAGGCCCCAGAAGGGGGTGACTCAAAGTTTCCAGAAAAAAAAAAGAAAAAAAAAAAAAGAAAAACCTCACTCTAAAGATAACACCTGAAAACTTAGCCTTTGCAAAGCATATTGATGGGCCATTATGAATGACACTGTGCTTTTTTTTGTTTGAATTTGATAACTGCTTCAAGCAATATTTACTCAAACAGGATTTTTTAAATATAGCTCATAAATAAATATTTGAGTTTAGATAATGTCCTCTTAGAAGAATGCTTATTAGGAAAAGAGTGTGAAAACAGGCATGAGGGGTTTTGAGCCCAATGGAGACATATTAAACCATAACCATTGCTTCTCCTGGTAGAAGCGTCCATTAAGATACACATTTAATTTGTTCGTGGGTGTTTTTTTCTTCTTGGTGAAATTTTTACATTTTCTGGTGAAATTCTGATGAATTTAGACAAAGCGCTCTAAACGTGGACTAGAACTAGAAGTACTCAAGTTTGCATCCTGAATATCTATTACATATTGTAGCAAGAAATCAAAATCCTACATAAAATATTTTCAAACTTCCCACAACATATATTTCAGGATCAGAAATGTGAAATGAATCAAATTCTTGAAAATGTCAAATCAATATTATAATATCAGAAACTGGCCAGCACAGACGCTCACGCCTGTAATTCTAGCATTTTAGGAGGTTGATGCAGGAGAACTACTTGAGGCCAGGAGTTCAAGAGTAGCCTGGGCAACGCAGTGAGACCTTATCTCCACAAAAAAAAAAAAGTCAAAATTTCAGCCAGGTGTGGTGGCATGGGCCTGTAGTCCCAGCTACCCAGGAGGCTGAGGGGGAGAGGATCGTCTGAGCCCACGAGTTTGAGGCTGCAGTGAGCCACGATCACGCCACTGCACTCCATCCAGCCTGGGCAACAGAGTGAGACTCCTTTAATAAAGAAAAAAAAAAAACACTTAAAAGATATATTATAATATCACAAACCAACATAGTAATGCCATCCCAAAACATAACCTACGTTGATCACGCGTGCTAGGCATTAACAGCCTAGCATGCTGACCTGGTGAGGAGCCCACTAGGATTGTATATTTTACAAAGTAGGTACAATGTCAAATTAAGGCTGATATAAACAACACTAAAA
Organism: Homo sapiens; assembly: GCF_000001405.40. NCBI lineage: Eukaryota > Metazoa > Chordata > Mammalia > Primates > Hominidae > Homo > Homo sapiens. The sequence goes on along the minus strand of NC_000012.12, from coordinate 128,905,640 downwards.
AATAATGACTTGAGCATAAACAAAGGCATTTCAAATTAAAAGAGATAAAACCGTCTTTACTGAAATCCAATCAAACTAACTTGTGAAGGTCAGCCAGAGATAGGTAGGCGATCATAAACCCAGCTCCCAAGACAACATT